>NT_187600.1:1013544-1351393 GCF_000001405.40 Homo sapiens | reverse complement strand
GAATTCTTTATTGATTCTTTTTTATTTGTTTTTAGAGACAGGCTCTCACCCTGTTGCACAGTTTGAAGAACAGTTGTATGATCAAAGCTCACTGTAATTTTGAACACCTGGCTCACATAATCTTCCCATCTTTGCTTCCTGAGTATCTAGAAGTAGAGGGGAACGCCACCCCTCACCTGCTTATTCTTTAAAATATTTTTTCAGAGAAATAACATCTCTTTATGTTGCTCAGGTTGGCTTCGATTGCCTCGTCTCACGGGATTTCCCTCATTTTTGCTTCTGAAAGTGGTGTGATTATAGCGATGATCCACTGCATCTGGCCTGAATTTATTCTTTAGTTGTAAAACATGAACCCAACAATTAACTGCCTGAATATTTTCTGCAGCGAGTTAGTTAAAAGTATCTGATAAGATTCCTTCCAATATGATTCAAGAGGAGTATTTTCTGCTGATGTTCCTTCCAATTTCCTTGCTGAAGATCACAAGAGTCTGTGGAAAAGATGTAACAAAAAGGCAGCCTCAAACTCTTCATGATTGGAGTGGATATCACACAGGAATCACTTTCAGTATTTTGTAACACATGCATGCAATAGGACAAAGATGATCTCTGGGGGTAAACTCTATAAACGTATGGGCCTTTTAGCTGCCAAGTCATAGGGTAATAACTGATGCACCCTGAGGAGTGGAACATGATTCCATAGTGCTAGTGGGAGAACCTTTGGCCAAGGGAGTTTTACATTTTATTAAAGATTTGATCATTTTTATGTAGAGATGCCATTTTTAAAACATTCCTAGAAGATTGTTGAGTAGGATTCATTCTGTCTTATATGAACAATGATAATGCTCTCCATGGTTAGATAATATTATAAACTAGATTGAGCTAGAGCGTTTGGTGTATTTAATCACTTTTTTTAGCTTCCATTAGCATTTGGATTAAATGAAAATCATAACAAACAGTCTCTCAGACCACAGTGCGATCAAATTAGAACTCAGAATTAAGAAACTCATTCAAAACCACACAACTACATGGAAACTGAACAACCTGCTTCTGAATGACTACTGGGTAAATAATGAAATTAAGGCAGAAATAAACAAGTTCTTTGAAACCAATGAGAACAAAGACACAACATACCAGAATCTCTCGGACACAGCTAAAGCAGTGTTTAGAGGGAAACTTATAGGACTAAATGCTCATGAGAGAAAGCAAGAAAGATCTGAAATCGACACCCTAACATCACAGTTAATAGAACTAGAGAAGCAAGAGCAAACCAATTCAAAAACTAGCAGAAGACAAGAAATAACGAAGATCAGAGCAGAACTGAAGGAGATAGAGACAGGAAAAACCCTTCAAAAATCAATGAATCCAGGAGATAGTTTTTTGAAAAGATTAACAAAATAGATAGACTGCTAGCCATACTAATAAAGAAGAAATGAGAGAAGAATCAAATGGACACAATAAAAAAATGATAAAGAGGACATCACCACTGATCCCACTGAAATACAAACTACCATCAGGGAATACTATAAACACCTCTATGCATATAAACTAGAAAATCTAGAAGAAATGGATAAATTTTTGGACACATACACCCTCCCAAGACTAAACCAGGAAGAAATAGAATCCCTGAATAGATGAATAACAAGTTCTGAAATTAAGTCAGTAATTAATAATAGCCTACTAATAATATTATTAATAGTAATTAATAATAGCCAACTAAAAAAAGACCACTACCAGGTGGATTCACAGCTGAATTCTACCAGGGGTACAAAGAGGAGCTGGTACCATTCCTCCTGAAACTATTCCTAACAATAGAAAAAGAGGGACTCCTCCCTAACTCATTTTATGAGGCCAGCATCACCCTGATACCAAAACCTGTCAGAGACACAACAAAAAAAGAAAATTTCAGGCCAATATCCCTGAAGAACATCGATGCAAAAATCCTCAATAAAATACTGGCAAACCGAACCCAGAAGCACATCAAAAAGCTCATCCAACAGGATCAAGTCGGCTTCATCCCTGGGATACAAGGGTGGTTTGACATATGCAAAACAATAAACATAATCCATCACGTAAACAGAACCAATGACAAAAACCACATGATTATCTCAATAGATGCAGAAAAGGCCTTTGATAAAATCCAACACCACTTCATGCTAAAACCTCTGAATAAACCAGGTATTGATGGAAAGTATCTCAAAATAATAAGAGCTATTTATGACAAACCCACAGCCAATATCATACTGAACAGGCAAAAGCTGGAAGCATTCCCTTTGAAAACTGGCACAAGACAAGGGTGCTCTCTCTCACCACTCCTATTCAACATAGTATTGGAAGTTCTGGCCAGGGCAATCAGGCAAGAGAAAGAAATAAAGGGTACTCAAAATAGGAAAAGAGGAAGTCATATTGTCTCTGTTTGCAGATGACATGATTTTATATTTAGAAAACCCCATCGTCTCAGCCCAAAAACTCCTTAAGCTGATAAGCAACTTCAGCAAAGTCCCAGGATATAAAGTCAATGTGCAAAAATCACAAGCATTCCTATACACCAATAATAGACAAAAAGAGAGCCAAATCATGAGTGAACTCCCATTCAAAATTGCTACAAAGAGAATAAAATACCTGGGAATACAACTTACAAGGGATGTGAAGAACCCCTTCAAGGAGAACTACAAACCACTGCTCAACAAAATAAGAGAGGACATGAACAAATGGAAAAACATTCCATGCTCATGAATAGGAAGAATCAATATTGCCAAATGGCCATACGGCCCAAAGTAATTTATAGATTCAATGCTATTCCCATCAAGCTACCATTGACTTCCTTCACAGAATTAGGAAAAGCTACTTAAATTTCATATGGGACCAAAAAAGATCCCGTATAGCCAAGACAATCCTGAGCAAAAAGAACAAAACTGGAGGCATCACGCTACCTGACTTCAAACTATACTACAAGGCTACAGTAACCAAAACAGCATGGTACTTGTACCAAAACAGACATATAGACCAATAGAACAGAACAGAGGCCTCAGAAATAACATCACACAGCTACAACCATCTGATCTTTGAAAAACCTGACAAAAACAGCAATGGGGAAAGGATTCCCTATTTTATAAACAGTGCTGGGAAAACTGGCTAGCCATATGTAGAAAGTTAAAACTGGATCCCTTCCTTAGACCTTATATAAAAATTAACTCAAGATGGATTAAAGACTTAAACATAAGACCTAAAACCATACAAACCCTAGAAGAAAACCTAGGCAGTACCATTCAGGACATAGGCATGGGCAAAGACTTCATGACTAAAACATCAAAGGCAATGGCAACAAAAGCCAAAATTGACAAATGGGATCTAATTAAACTAAGGAGCTTCTGCACAGCAAAAGAAACTACCATCAGAGTGAACAGGCAACCTACAGACTGGGAGAATGTTTGTGCAATCTATCTATCTGACAAAAGGGCTAATATCCAGAATCTACAAAGAACTTAAATTTACAAGGAAAAGACAAACAATCCCATCAAAAAGTGGGCGAAACATATGAACACTTGCTTCTCAAAAGAAGACACATGAAAAAAAAAGCTCATCCTTACTGGTCATTAGAGGAATGCAAATCAAAACCACAATGAGATACCATCTCACACCAGTTAGAATGGCCATCATTAAAAAGTCAGGAAACAACAGATGCTGGAAAGGATGTGGAGAAATAGGAACGCTTTTACACTGTTGGTGGGAGTGTAAATTGGTTCAACTATTGTGGAAGACAGTGTGGCGATTCCTCAAGCATCAAGAACCAGAAATTCCATTTGACCCAGCAATCCCATTACTGGGTATATCAGCAAAGGATTATAAATCATTCTACTGTGTCTTACGTGACACATGAACACATATGTTTATTGCAGCACTGTTCATAATTGCAAAGACTTGGAAACAACCCTTATGCCCATCAGTGATAGACTGGATAAAGAAAATGTGGAAAATATACACCATGGAATACTCTGCAGCCATAAAAAGGATGAGTTCATGTCATTTTCAGGGACATGGATAAAGCTGGAAACCGTCATTCTCAGCAAACTAACACAAGAACAGAAAATCAAACACTGTATGTTCTCACTCAAAAGTGGGAATTGAACAATGAGAACACATGGACACAGGGAGGGGAACATCACACACAGGGGCCTGTCACGGGGTGGGGAAGCTAGGGGAGGGATAGCATTAGGAGAAATACCAAATGTAGATGATGGGTTGATGAGTGCAGCAAACCACCATGGCACATATATACCTATGTAACAAACCTGTACATTCTGCACATGTATCCCATAACTTAAAGTATAATAAAAAATAGTAACTCAAAAAATTATGTTAATCAGTTCTCTAGTAGGTAGAAATTCATCTGGGAGTTTCTTCTCTTGTCCATTTTGATAGGATCTGCAGAAGACATAAGAACCCTCTCTGTTAAAAATATTCCTAAGTTGTACACCATCTAGAAACATATATACTTAATTATAATTTTTAATTTATTAAAAAGCTTTAATAAGTGCAATGTTTTCTGCCTTCTGAGTTGATTTCATAACACATAGAAGGATATATCCTGAATGAAACTTTGTACTAGTAATACAAATTAAAGGTTAATAACCTCTACTTTTATTATTGAGGTATTACCCACCAATATATAATCTTAAATCAGTGCTCTCAATGGGGCTTTTACCTAAATAATATAAAAAATATTTTCCTGATCTTGACACAAAATAGATGTGAACACATTCTTCATATTCAGCCATGTCTCCTGTCTATTACATTATGAACCACATGCTAACTTTGATTTACTTGGGACTTGTTCTAATTTCAAACTAGTTATTTTTTATCTTCATGCAGCTAGATTATTATGTGTGAGTATTTTATCAGAGAGTGATAAAGATAATTTAAACAAGTAATTGTGTGTCTCAGGACTCTTCTTGGGTTCTGAGACAAGAAATGCCATTACTACCTGAAGGATTGAGACAACTTTGAAAATGTCAGAGGAATCATCTCTAATTGCTTCTAAATTTCAGTTTTATCAATTCTTATGCTTTCTGAATTATTTTTGATTTTAGTTATTAAAGGATTCTTTCTTTTTCTCTTAATCTAGCTAAGAATTTGTCCTTTTTTAAGAAAAAACTCTTAGGTTTGTTGATTTTTCTATTGCTTGTAAAGTCTTTTTTCACTTATTTCATTTACTCTAAAGCCTCATAAACACATTGGTGACAGGTAGATGGAGAACTTGATTGTAAATGCCCTGTTTTTGTTAGACCCAGCTGATCATGTCAGGAAGCCCCCTGAGGGGTCTAGGAGCTGACTGTGGCTCCCACCACTGGACAAGGATGAGAACCTCCATGCTTTGGGGATGGGAGGACATGCAGGGCAGTGTGAGGGGAGGAGGGTTGCTGGCAGGTCCAGCATTGCTTCCCCTGGCTGCACCACTCATGTCCTTCCTCACTCAGAGATTCAGTCATTTCTTCCCAGGTGGAAAAATCAGTTAACTTTATCTTTGATATATGGATGGGAGCCCAAGATAGAGGCTTGTCAGTCATTATTTCTGTGCCTGCTGCCTTGGGAATGTCTGAATTTCTCATGCTCTGTCCTGGGTCTATACCCCAGTGGCTCCCCTACTCCATGGCACCCACCTGTGCCTGTGCATG
The DNA here is from genome assembly GCF_000001405.40 of Homo sapiens. NCBI lineage: Eukaryota > Metazoa > Chordata > Mammalia > Primates > Hominidae > Homo > Homo sapiens. The sequence continues at coordinate 1,345,721 of NT_187600.1, read as the reverse complement.
GCCCCTGATCACAGCCTCCGTGAAACATCTGGTTTGGCTCAGGAAGAACCCTCCCTGCCTTGTTTTCCTGCTGTCCCTGGTCCACATCCTTCTCCATCCACAGGCTCTCAGTGGTGCCTCCCATCCACACTGACCCTACGTGGGTTCATATCTTGTCCACCACTTCCTCTCTCTTTTCTTCTGCATCTTGCTTTTTATTCCAACAGCCTGTTTCCACCTCACCTGGACTTATGTACAGGAAAGTGTTTACTGAGCAGGCTTGTGTTGTGCAAACCCTGAAGATTACTGAAAAAGTGCTTTCTCAAGCCACATCCATATTCAGCTCCTGGGAGATGATATCTGCTTTTTTGGCATACTCCTCCTGGAAATATTTTTAAACCATTTTATTAAGGTAAGGATTACATCTATAAGACTATACGTTATTTAACATACTTAATTCATTGAGTTAAGTATGCAAAGTTACCATCACCATCAAGGTCATAAACATAGCAATGACTTCCAAAACATTCCTCTTTATTCTTTTTATTCTTAGTATTATGATTATTATTATTAGTTGAAATGTATTTTTGCTTGTGTGTCTCTGTCTCTGTGTGTGTAGCCTGGGTGCACACTATGCTAGCTGTTTCCATAATGACTTATGGGGAATGCCTATTATTGCTGAAGGGGCCAGCGTCTGAGCACTGGAGGTCAGTTATGCAGGTGCCACACACATCTGTGATGGGCCCCAATAAACAGCACTGGGCACCAGCACTCAGGTGAGCTTCCCTGGTGGACAATGCTTCACACGTATTGTCATGCATCACTGCTGGGAGAACTGGGGACAAGAGACTTCTCAGGGAAAGAACACCTGGGAGCTTGTGCCTGGATTCTCAGGGCCTTCCCACTGGTTCCTTTGCTCATTTTAATTCATATTCATTTGCTATAATAAAGCTGCACCCACGAGAATAACAGCTTGTCTTGAGTCCTTTATTTGTACTGATTATGGGGCCTGAGGATGGTCTTGGGACACTCAACACAATTACATCAGAGGTGTAAATTGCTAGAAAGACCCTGACTACTGACACATGTCTATAGCATTTATAATATCAAAGGATGAGAAAGTGTAGGATAAAAGACATTCAGTGCCTGGATGGCTATAGAATCACATGGCATGAGATGATGTGTGCACTCCAATAAGGAGCAGGAAGTGAAAGTAATCCATGGAATTTAGAAACGACGGACACAGCTCCCTAGGAGTTGTTCCCTGAACAAGAACAAGTAAAAATAATGAAGAACAACCTGAGTATGCAACTCATATCTGTGATAGCTAAAATAATAGTAAAAAGATGCACATCCAGCCCTGCAGTGTGCCCTGTGAGCCAAGGCTGCTAGACTCCCATTCACTGCCAAAGGGTACAGTTGTCCAGAAACAACACACAACACACAAGAGCTACACAGATGGTAGCCCAGGGTTTGGACTGGGGAGGGGAATCCACTTGACAACTAGAACAGGGAGGATAGTGTGGAAAGTGGCATCATTTTGTGATATGAATGATATCATTAATAGATATCATCAGATCGTGAACAACATTAGCCAATGGACTAGGAGACTGACTGATGTAGCAGATTCTCTTTGGCTTCATGTGTTGCATAAGGGAGGAGCATGTTTGGGAAGATGCTGGACCCACAGCTCACAATAGACACATCACAGATGGCTCTAGCTGATCCCAACCTCAAGTAGGATGCTTCTGATGGGACAGCTTTCCTCAAGCACTGGATCCCGATCATGTAAAGTTTCTCTACCCTGAGAATGAGACTGCCCTTTCTCTCTTTAAAATGCAAAGTGGGCTCTCCAGATGAGGAGCCCAATGCTGTATATGGAAGCCATAGTGCTATGTGTTTATGTTGATACCGACGGTCATTGCTTAGCATGCATCTTATCCAGGTCCTGCTGCTGTGTGTTTCTGTTGATGCTGCTGGACATTGCTTCGCATGCACCTTACCTAGGTCATGGCCTGTGCTGTGATAAAGAGAAGTCCTTTTGCTTCTGCACCCCAGGTACAACTCCTGTGAGCAATCTGGCAAATATTTTAGAAACTGTGTAGTTTGTATTGCCTTGTCTTTTCATTTGAATCTTTTAGATGATAAGGAAATGAGAGTGGTTCACAAGATAATGGGGCAGACACAGGGGATAGTTAAGGGCCTCCTCCAAGCAATGTGGATATCATAAAATGAATGTTAAAAAATGAAAGAACTAAACAAGAAGGTGCTGGGGTTGACACAAAGGACTTAAAACAGAACTACCAGGAGTTGGGTGCAGCAATGGCAATCCCTTCAGTTCCATCAGCAATTCAGAGACCTAAACAAATATTCCCTATTTATGTTGAATTGGCAGACTGTAGAAATGTAGAAGACAAAATGACCAGAAAAAATGTGTGATTTGGCATGGGTGAAGGTCTGGCAAGTTAATCAAGTTGAGGACTGTTGAAGCCCTAGGGTGGTCCTGCCTTTGCTGGGTGCCCAGACCATAATGGCACTCATGGGAAATTGCCAGCAAGTAGAAACTAGGTGTTTTTTTTTTTTTTGTAGTTCTTATTATCAGGCATATGTGCATTTGAATTTTGTCTTCATAGCATTTCCTGGTTCTATTTCTCATTTTTTAAAACACACGTGATTTCATCTAGATTTATCACCTTCACAGGGTCACAGAGAAGGGTAGGAAGAAGGGAGGCCCTGGTTTGGGTCTTGTAGGACCATGGACAAGAGTGCGGAGGGACAACAGGGGGTTGTAAGACATTATTAAGACCTTATTCTGCCTCTCCCAAGAGGCTCAGTTCAGCCGTTTTTCTGCAGTTGCGGTTCTGGGTTATAAACCTTGTAGACTCTTCCCTTCAGGCCAGGGCGGCAACTATGCAAATTCAAGTGGGGGCCTCCCCACTTAAACCCAGGGCTCTCCTCCACAGTGAGTCTCCTTCACCACCCAGCTGGGATCTCAGTGCTTTCTTTTCTGTCCTCCTCCAGGATGGGGTCAACCGTCATCCTTTCCCTCGTCCTGGCTGTTCTCCAAGGTCAGTCCTGCCCAGGGTTTGAGGTCACAGAGAAGAATGGGCAGAAGGGAGCCCCTGATGCAAATTTTGTGTCTCCCACACAGGTGTCTTTGCCGAGGTGCAGCTGTTGCAGTCTGCAGCAGAGGTGAAAAGACCCGGGGAGTCTCTGAGGATCTCCTGTAAGACTTCTGGATACAGCTTTACCAGCTACTGGATCCACTGGGTGCGCCAGATGCCCGGGAAAGAACTGGAGTGGATGGGGAGCATCTATCCTGGGAACTCTGATACCAGATACAGCCCATCCTTCCAAGGCCACGTCACCATCTCAGCCGACAGCTCCAGCAGCACCGCCTACCTGCAGTGGAGCAGCCTGAAGGCCTCGGACGCCGCCATGTATTATTGTGTGAGAGGGACCATCTAAAACCTTCCGCGGTGCAGGTGCAGAGTGAGCTGCCAGACACACCCTCCCCAGGGGCCTCTCTATTCATCCGGGGAGGAAACACTGGCTGTTTGTGTCCTCAGGAGCAAAAACCAGAGAACAACATGGGAGCGTTCCTAACCCCTAAGGCAACTGGATGGGAGACCTGACCCATCCAGTTCTCTGAGGGGGCTCTTGTGTGTTCTACAAGGTTGTTCATGGTGTATATTACATGGTTAACATCAAAAGGCTGCCTAATAGGCACCTCTTCAATATAATAGTCTTTTAATTAGTGAAAATTTTACACAGTTCATCATTGCTTGCTTGCCTTCCTCCCTTCTGTCCGCTCTTACTCCCTCCTTCTTTTATTTTCTACTTACTTTTCCAAAATCATTTAACCCCTTTTTGTACCATTAATAAGTTATCTTGTTTTTGTTGTTGTTTTCCTTTTAACAATATGCACTGAATAATTCATCTTTGTGCCAATTCGTAAATATTTTGATATAACAAAGACTTCTGTCATAAATAGATTTCCTGTGAGTAATCTTGCAAATATTTTAGAACCTGTTTGGTTAAGAATAAATTAAAATAAATAGACAAATTTTTAAAGACATACAACCTATCAAAACTGAACCACCAAGAAATAAAAAATCTGGGCTGGGCGTGGTTGCTCATATGTGTATTCTCAGCACTTTGGGAGACCGATGCGGGTGGATCACCTCAGGTCAGGAGTTCAAGATCAGCCTGGCCAACATGGCAAAACCCCGTCTCTACTAAAAATACACAGATTAGCTGGGTGTGGTGGTGTTCACCCGCAGTCCCATAGTCCCGGCTACTCGGGAGGCTGAGGTAGGAGAATGACTTGAACCTGGGAGGCAGAGGTTGCAGAAAGCCAAAATCGAGCCACTGCACTCCAGACTGAGCAACAGAGTGAGACTCCAATTAAAAAAAATCTGAACAGACCAATGAGTAAAGAGATCGAGTCAGTGATTTTTCCAACATCTCGAATCAAAGTCCAGAACTTCATGGCTTCACTACTGAATTTTATCAAAAATTAAAAAAAACCTAGAATCTCTACTCAAATTTCCAACAAAATAAAGAGAAAGAAATATATCCAAGCTTATTTTGGAAGGCCCTATTTCCAAAGCAAGGAAAAGACACTACAAGTAAATAAAACTACAGGCCAATATCCCTGATTATCATAGTTTCAAAAACTCTCAAGAGTGATGAGATGACAAACAAAATTAAACAGCAGATTAAGAATAGAATTCACCATTATCTGTGTCTCCCATACCCAGAGAGGCTGCTGCTTGCCCTGCACAAGGATACTCTGAGCAGAAACCTACCTGGCCCAGCCCTCACCTTGCTTTATGCAGCCATCTGCCCTGGCAGCTTAACACAAAGGACAGCATCTTTTGGGAGATACATGGCCACACCCACTGCCTGAGAATCCACAGTAGCCCCTATTCCTGGGCAACATAAGCCAAGCAAAAACCCCACTGTTAATACTGTAGCTGGTGCTCTTTGGAAAGCACCATCTCCAAGCAGGAAGCCAATAAACAGTCCATCACAGTATCTCCTGGTAGACTATCACTGCACCCAGAAAGGAGAAAATGACTGTGTGATCTCAGCTATGACCAGTGCCTGCACCACTCTGGATGACCAGGAGGTCCTGAGTCTGTCCATGTGAACAGTTCATTACCGCTATAACCAGCATTCAAGAAAGCCAGTACACAAAGGCTATCAATATCTAAGGAATTTCAGTCTCCATCACTCCCCTGCTGCTTCCATCAGACCTGGTTCACTGCTCACTGCTGAAAAATTGAGGACACATCACACCACCGGATCCCTCACATACATTCCCCAACACCAGCCTGAAGTGTGTCAACTTCACTGGGCGGCTAGACCTAGAGAAGCAACAACACTCACAGTAGTATGGCTCCCAGGTTCTCCTGCTCCTAGGGGAAGGGAGTGCACCACATTGAGGGAACACCCTGTGGGACAGGAGAATCTGGATGGCAGGCCTTGAACATCAATCAGATCCCTCCATTGGTGGGAAACTTCTTTTAGTAGAGGCAGTTACAGTGCTGAGCTCAGCAGAGAAAGTCTTCAGCTCTGTCTCAACAGTCAGATATCCCTGGTGCATGTGAAAAACTTGAAGAAGAGGAAGTCTTTCCCCCTTGTACACCACTGCAGGCACACTTGGGGTCTCTCCCATAAGAGCTCAGTACGGGTGCAACTATAGACAGCATTTCTGGAACACATCATGTTGACTGCATCCCCCAGAAAGAGCACTCTCCAGGTTCAGGTTTTGGCCAGACACAGAGTCACAATTCCTCTGTATTTAACACTTCAACTTTTGTACAGAGGAAAAGACATGCCTGTCTGATCTGAATAGCTGGAATCCTGGGATACGGGAGTGTCTTAGAGGTGCATAACTTTCCTACAGACCTGGCAAGACAGCTGAGGTGGCTCCAACCCTTCCCCCAGATAAGACCTCAGTGTGACTCACTAAAAGCTCCTCCAGCCAACTCTGTCAAGGCTGGGACTTCATTTACCACCTGATTTAGCCACAGCTGGTTTCTATCCAGGGACAAGCCCCCTACTGGTCTGAAGCCTGAACCATCAAACTAGCAAATAAATCACTGGGGGAAAATAAATAAATACGTGCATGCCACAGAGGAATGAACTAAGGTTTAATAGACCTCAACCATTCTAACCCCATAGAAGACAGTGAACTTGCTCACATACTGAGCAGATTTCTACTGCAATCAACACATAGGAAAGCCATCATACAAAGATTCTCCATAACCACGGAACTCTTACAGAGTCTTCACCCCTCTAAGGACCAAAAACCAAATTAGACTGTAATTAATTATAACCATTAAAGTCTCATTCTTAAGGGAAAAAATAAATTTAAAAACAAACAAAAGAAACAGTTAAAACAAACATAATTTCAATACTAGTTAGAAGAAATAGTCTACCAAAATAAGAGGAAATGAGAAAAATAACTCAAGTAATATGACAAAACAGGGTGCTATAACATCCCAAAAAGGTCACACTAGGTCTCCAGCAATAAACTTTAACCAAAATGAAGTCTTTAAAATACCAGATAAGAAATTCAGAATGTTGATTATTAAGCTACTCAAGAAGATATAATAAGAAGGTGAATATCATCATAAACAAATGTATAAAAGCAGTTCAGAATATAAATACAAATTTTTATAGAGAGATAGATATCATAAAGAGAAACCAATCAGAACTTCTGAAAATAAAAGACAAAATGCAGGGAAATAGTAAGGGAATTACAAAATGCCATGGAAAGTTTTAAAAATAGACTAGAAAAAAGTAGAAGAAAAAATAAACAAGAGACTAGAAAAAGTACAAAATAAAAAGTTGAAGTAAAAAATTAGATGAAAAAAGAAGAAGAATAAAGTAGAAATAAGAAAAAAGAAGAAATAAAAAAGACTATTTTTGAAATAATCAAATCAGAGAAAAATAAATTTAGAAAGAACCAAAAGAAGTAAACACAGTCTCCAGGAAATATGGGATTATGTAAAATGACCAAACCTCAGCATAATTGGTGTTCCTGAAGAAGAAAAAAAATAATATGTTTGGAAAACTTATTTGAGAGAAAAATTGAGAAATACATTCCTGGCCTGCCTAGAGACCTAGATATCCAAATCCAAGAAGTTCAAAGAACTCCTGGGAAATGTATTGCAAAACTGCCTTCACCAAGCTTATAGTCATCAGGCTACCGAAAGTTAACATGAAGGAAATAATTCTAAGAGCAGCAATACAAAACAAAACAAAAAACCCATCAGACTAATGGCAGACTTCTCAGCAGAAACTTCACCAGCCAGATGGATTAAGCTTCTATCTTCAAATTCCTTAAATAGAACAACTTTCAATCAAGAATTTTGTATCCTGCCAAACTGTTTGATAAATGAAAAAGAAGTAAAGTCATTTTCAGAATCACCAGTGCTCAGGGAATTCGTCACTACCAAACCAGCAGTACAAGAAATGCTAAAAGGAGTTGCAAACCTTGAAACAAAAGCCCAGTAAGCACATAAAGGGAACCTCTTAAGAGCCTGAAACTCACAGGCCTATAAAACAATAACACAGTGAAAAAAAAAAACTAGGTAAGAATTAACATGGCAAAGAAAACAGTAACTCATATCTAAATATTCACATTGAATGTAAATGGCCTAAATGCTCCATATAAAAGATACACAATGGCAGAATAGATTAAAAAATCACAATGGAAATATCTGATGTCTCTAAAAGATCCCCCTAACACACAAAGATTTACATAAACTCAAGGTAAAAGGTTGGAAGAAGGTATTTCACAAAAATGGAAACCAAGAGTGAGCAGGAGTAGCTATTTTGATATCAGACAAAATGGACTTCAAAGCAACAACAGTAAAAAAAAGACATAGATGATCACTATACAATTACAAAAGGATCAATTCAATAAGAAAATACTACAATTCTAAATTTATAGGCACCAAACACCAGAGGAACTAGATTCATAAAACAAGTACTATTAGAGATTTAAAAAAATGAGAGCGAAACAATCAGAGTGGGAGACTTTAATACAATCATAACAGCACTAGACAGATCTTCGAGACTGAAAGTCAACAGAGAAAAAATGCACTTAAATAACTCACTGAAACAAATGGATGTAGCAGATGTGTACAGAACATTCTGTCCAAGATCTGCAGAATAAACATTCTTGTAATCAGTACATGCAACATTCTACAAGATAGAACATATAATAGGTCACAAAACAAGTCTCAATGAATTTTTAAAACAGTGAAATCATATCAAGTATCTTCTCAGACCACAGGAGAATAAAACTAAAAATGAACTCTCAAAGAAACCCTTACAACTGAACAAATACATAGAAATTAAGAAATCTGCTCCTGAGTAATATCTGGGTTAACAATGGCATAAGATGAAAATTTAAAAATTACCTTAATTAAATGGTAACAAGTTATTGAAACCTTAAGAATACAGCAAAAGCAGTGGTAAGAGGAAAGTTTATAGTGACTACTGCCTACGTGAAAAAGCCGGAAAGAGCACAAGTTGTCAACCTAATGTTGACACGAGAAAAAAGAAAAAATTAAAGAAAGAAAATATAAATCAAAAAAGAGAAAGAAACAAGCTGCCTGTGTTAGGCTGACTCACGTCAAAGGCAGTAACACGCAAAGTTTCAATGATGTTATCTAAGGGCCGGAGCTCAGAGGAATGGGCTCTGAAGACTCTCCCAGCACTCCCTCAGCATAAGGATGAAAAGAGGTAAGTTTTCCTATCTCTCCTTTAGTGTAAGTGAACTTCCCTGTCGAATCTCATCCCCTCTGCTATGTAAACTATACCTTGCCTCTTGCTCTGTACGTTTTAGGAGTTTCTGTTTTTCCTGTAGTTAATGATTGCAGGTTCCTGCTTCTGCATCTAAGCAGTACAGCCTGAGCAGGTCTGGCTTGTAGCCAGCTACATGCCATGGTGGGGGTGGCAGGATGAGTCTTTGTGAGACTCCTTTGAACTAAGCAGGTAATGACCATCTGGGCTGCATGGGAAGGAGTATTGCTAACCCTGAGTTACAAGCCTGGCTTTGTTTGATTAACGGCCTCTGTCTTGCCTCTGTACGTGCGCGTTCGTGCCACTTAGGAGGAGGTGTATAAGCAAAACCTTGTCTTTGTTCGGGGCCCAGTTGTTTGGACGTTGAGTCCCTTGGGACAGAGTGCACTCAGTGAAGACCCTCCTGCTATGCCCCGAGGTGTCCCTTGCCCTCCTGATGTTCCGCAACCTTTCTTGCGAGCCAGCAGCCAGGAGGAGAAGAGAGGACAGATTGGCTGTCTCCTTTGCCGGAGGGTCTGGGGCTCTGGTCGCGGCGATCTGTGACCCCAGGGCGGCCTCGGGGAGCACTTCAGCCCGGAGGGGAGACCGGCTCTCCAGGCCCCCGGGGCCCCTCCCCTGACAGCGCAAAGGAGCGCGGAAAGGGCTGCGGGATGATCCCAGAAGCAGCGCTAATGAACCGCGGTCGGCTTTTGGGGCCCAAGGCAGGACCCGTCCCACGAGGACGGAGGGGAGCCCCATCACCTGCCGGGCTGTGCGTCTAGTCCGACCCAGGGAGGCTGCGGCGGCGAGAGGGGGTCGCTCACTCGGGTACCGCAGACGCCGCAACCGACGCGGCACAGGAGAGAGGCCCGCCAGGCCGGTTAGGAAAGGGAACTGGGGAGGGGAAGTGGGTGAAAGGGCGTGCAAGAGACGGCTGCAGGAGGGGCCGGTGCGGGGAGTGACGTGGGAGGCGCAGATCTCAGCGTGGACTGGGCGCTCCCAGCGAAGCCTGGGGCCGACCTGGGATAGCGGCGAAGCGGCTGGTAGGAGCTGCCCCGTGGCAGCAGCGGCCGTGCTGGGAATAGGGGACTCTCCTAGCCAGGCGGCCCCGAAAACTCCTGTAATAGGAGACGCTCTGCTCGGTAAAAAAGGAAGTCAGAGTGAGTGTGCGTCGTAGAGGGAGGAAATGGGAGGAAAATCGTGGAAACCCACTCCACTGGAATGTATACTAAAGAATTTTAAGAAAGGTTTTGCAGCGGATTATGGAATTAAGCTGACCCCCTGAAGTTGAAAACTCTCTGTGAATCAGAATGGCCTTCTTTAGGGGTCGGCTGCCGGCCGAGGGTGCTATATAGATAGGGAGGTGATTGGCCGGGTGTTTAAGGTGGTGACCGGGGTGGGAGGACAGCCAGGGTACCCAGATCAATTTCCCTATATCGATTCATGGCTCAATGTTATACAAAACTGACCAGCGTGGTTGCACCCCCCAGCAGCATATTGTAAGACGCCTGTGGCCCGAGCAGCCGAAGACAAAATGAAAGTAAAATCAGCCATGCTGGCAGCTGCAGAGAAAAAGGGAAAGTCACAGGAAAGCCGAGATAAACCAGTTCTGCGGGCACCTCAGGAGGAAACAGAATTTCCTCCTCCTCCTCATGTTCCAAGCCACCCCCCTTTGCCGAGACCAACTGCTCCCTCTGCAAGTTCAGCTGTGAGGCCAGCAGCCCCAGCTGTCCATGGGGAGTTAAATCCGGGAGAGTATACTCCCCCAGCCTCAACTAAGAAGGAGGAATTGGAGCTGCAGGAAGTTAGAGTGGAAAGCCCAGAAAGTCAGGCAGGCCATCTCAGGTCTGGCCGCACCTGAGTCCTGCAAATGCGTCTCAGGGAGACGAGGGGACCTGTCTATTATGACCAGCATGGCCACATCCAGAGGGGAGAGTGAACTTTCGTTTACCAGCCCTTTTCAACCACTGACCTCCTAAAGTGGAAGCATCATATTCCCTCTTACATGGAGAAGCCACAGGCTCTCGTTGACTTGATGCAGTCCGTTTTTCAGACACACAATCCAACGTGACCAGATTGAAAACAGCTTCTTTTGACCCTGTTTAATATGGAGGAATGGCAGAGAGTGACACAGGCAGCCCTCCAGTGGCTAAAACTAATGCACCTGCAGACACAGTTAATGCCCAGACATATGCATATTTGACCCTGTTTAATATGGAGGAATGGCAGAGGGTGACACAGGCAGCCCTCCGGTGGCTAAAACTAATGCACCTGCAGACACAGTTAATGCCCAGGCATATGCACGGGTCAGTTCCCTGAAACAAACCCCAATTGGGACCCAAATGATGCAACCCAGTTGCAGCACCTGCAGCGGTACTGAGAGGCAATCTTTCATGGGCTGAAGGATGGTGGGAGAAAAGCAGTTAATATAGGAAAAATCTCGGAGGTGCTCCAGGGAGCAGTTGAGAGCCCAAGCCAGTTGTATTAGAGACTTTGTGAGGCTTATCGGCTGTACACCCTGTTCAACCCTGAGACTACTGAGAATCAGCATGTGGTAAATATGTCATTTGTAGGTCAGGCCCAGGGTGATATCAGGCAAAATTTGCAGAAGATGGAAGGTTTCGCGGGTATGAATGCTACTCAGCTTATTGAGGTAGCCACCAAGGTGTACATTAACAATGATCAGGAGGCAAAGAGGGAGGCTGATTGAAGGCTTAAGAAGAAGGCTGATTTACTGGCAGCTGCCCTTACGGGAAGGGAAGCTGGTTTTGCAAGGGGATGCGGGTATGGATGAGGGCATGGAAGAGGCCGGACTGGATGGGGATTTGAGAGTCAGCTGAGACTAGAAAGAGATCAATGTGTGCAGTGCAAAAGGAAAGGACACTGGAAGAATGAGTGTCCAGAGAATAACAAGGAGAATGGTCAGGGCTGTGGTATGGGAAGGCCACCAGCAGGGGGCTGCCGCACCTGGGAGGAACCAGACACTGACCTAATCGGACTGGCCAGGGCTGAAGGATATGAGGACTAGGACAGACCGGGCTCTTTCTCTTTGGGCACCCAAGAGCCTATGTTCAGATTAGAAGTGGAGGCCAACTAGTGGACTTTATGGTAGATACTGGGGCTGAGCACTCAGCAGTGACCCGACCTATAGGGCCGCTATCCAAGAACTGTGCAACTATTGCAGGAGCCACTGGAGTCTCAGAGAAGAGGCCTTTCTGTCAGTCAAAGAGGCGTGTTATAGGAGGACAAGGAGTCCAACAAGAATTCCTGTACCTCCCAAATTGTCCAGTTCCTTCGCTGGAAAGAGACCCATTTCAAAAACTGCAGGCACAGATTACATTTGGGCCACAAGGGGATGTAACTTTAAATCTAGCTCACTCAGAGGCTATGGTGTTAACCCTTACTGTCCCACGGGCTGAGGAATGGAGACTATATGCAGGAAAGACTCCAGAACCAGGAGTAAATTAAATGCGTGGGTTACTTACTAAAATTACTGGAGTTTGGGCTGAAAGTAACCTGCCGGAACTGGCAGTAAATCCGGCACCAATTGTAGTGGAGTTAAAACTGGGAGCGACTCTGGTTCATGTCCGTCAGTACCCGCTTCTCCCTGAGGCCATACGGGAGTCCACAAACACTTAGATTGACTTCACAGGTGAGGAACCATAGTCAAATGCCAGTCACTATGGAACACCCCTCTCTTGCCAGTGTGGAAGCCGTCTGGAGAATATAGGCCAGTGCAGGACTTGTGTGCAGTAAACCAGGCCACGGTGACCATCCACCCAGTGCTGCCAAACCTGTATACTTTAATGGGACATATTCCAGTGAGTGCCACTTGGTTTACAGTCCTAGATTTGAAGGACACATTTTTCTGTCTCCAGCTGGCACCGATTAGTCAGCCTGTTTTTGCTTTGCAATGGGGTGAATCACAGTATACTTGAACAAGACTGCCACAGGGATTTAAGACTCTCCCACAATCTTTGAAGAGGCACTGGCCTCAGACCTTAAAGCCTACACCCCACCAAGCAGTGACTGTGTCTTGCTCTAGTACATTGATGATCTTCTTCTAGCAGCCCCAACCTGGAAGGACTGCTTTCAGGAGACCCAAGACCTCCTGCACCTGTTATGGAAGGCAGGATATAAAGGCAGGATATAAAGTGTCAGGGAAAAAGGATCAAATCTGCTCTGAAAGTGTCCAGTATTTAGGCTTCTATATAAGCGAAGGGAAAAGATTGCTTGGTAGTGAATGAAAGCAGGCTTTTGTGTGCTTCCCACTCCAACCACCTGGTGACAAATGAGAGAGTTACTAAAGGCAGCTGGGTTCTGCCACATCTGGATCCCATGTTTCTCACTCATGGGTAAGCCATTGTATGAAGCCACAAAGAGGGGAAAGAAGGAGCCCCTCCTCTGGGAGGCCACCCAGGAAAAGGCCTTTTAATAAATCAAAGGAGACTTGACTGAAGCTCCAGCTTTAGGGTTGCCAGATCTAACTAAGCTTTTCTTTTTATATGCCCATGAGTGAAAAGGAATGGTCATAGGGGTCCTAACTCAAGTCATAGGGTCATGGCACCACCCGGTGGCATATTTATCCAGGCAATTAGATACTGTGGCACTTGCATGGACCCTTGTTTAAGGCATTAGCTGCTACTGCTTCACTGGCACAGGAAGCTAATAAACTGACTTTGGGACGGCAACTGATAATCCAGGTACCATACTCGGTTATAACTTTAATGGACAAAAGGGGGCACCAATGGTTATAAAATCCGAGAATGATTTGATATCAAGAGCTCTTATGTGAAAATCCCTGCATAACTTTAGAGACTGTAAATACCCTAAACCTGGCTACCTTGCCCCCTTCATTGCTGTGTGGACGTAGCAGATGAAGTGTTCTCAAGCCAGAGAGATTTGACAGATCGGCCCCTCGGGGACCCGGACATTGAATATTTCACTGATGGGAGCAGCTTCATCCTAGAGGGGCCCGCCGAGCAGGGTATGCAGTAGTGACTTTGGACTCAGTAGCAGAGGCATAGTCTTTGCCTACAGGAACTTCTGCTCAGAAAGCAGAGCTAATAGCTCTGACAAGGGCTCATTGGCTAGCAAAAGACCAAAAGACCAATATTCACACAAACTCTAAATATGCTTTTGCCATTTTGAATGTTCATGGGGCTATTTACAAAGAAAGAGGACTCTTGACTGATGGAGGGAAAGAAAGAAAGTACAAGGAAGAAATTCTACAGCCCTTAGATGCTGTGTGGGCCCCGAAGCAGGTGGCTGTAATGCACTGTAGGGGGCACCTGAGGGCAGGAACATCAGAGGTGAAAGGAAACAGAAAGGCAGACAAGAGGCAAAGCAGACTGCAGTGGTGACTCTGCCTTCTAAAGAGGAAGCCTTGGCTATGCCTCTCCTTCCAGAAATTCCCCTCCCAGAGACCCCAAGCTACACTCCAAATGAAAGGGCTTTTTTTGCCCAAGAAAATGGGAGCTACGTTGAAGGAGGATGGTGGAAATTCTCCAATGGGAGGCTAGCCATAACTGAAATGGTGGCCCCCAGATTTGTAAAGCAGTTCCACCAAGGGACTCACATGGGAAAAACGGCACTAGAGACATTATTAGGTTGTCACTTCTATGTGTCCCAGCTTACGGCTATCACTTGAGCAGTTTGTGAACGGTGTTTAACTTGTGCTCATAACAACCCTCGACAAGGGCCCACTTGACCCCCCAGGAATTCAGGAAACAAGAGCCATCCCTGTGAAAACCTGCTTATGGGCTTCACCAAACTGTCCTGAGCAGGGGGCTATCAGTACATGTTGGTGCTTGTCTGCACCTTTTCAGGATGGGTCGAGGCCTTCTCCACCCAGACAAAGAAGGCATGAGAGGCGACCAAGGTATTGTTAAGAGACGTTATTCCCAGATTTGGACTACCCCTGACTCTGGGGTTAGACAATGGACTGGCATTTGTGGCTGAAGTAGTGCAGGACTTAACTCGACTATTAGGAATAAAATGGAAATTATATACAGCCTGTAGGCTGCAGAGCTCAGGTAAAGTGGAGCACATGAACTGGACACTAAAACAGCTACTGAAGAAATTTTGTGAGGAAACTCACCTGAGGTGGGATCAGGTCTTACCCGTGGTCCTCCTCCAAGTCGGGTGCACCCGCACAAAACAAACCGGGTGTTCACCCTATGAGATTTTATTCGGCCGGCCACCCCCAATCACAGGTCAAATTAAAGGTGATCTCTGTGAGTTAGGAGAACTCTAAGGAAGCAAATGCAGGCTTTAGGGCTAGCTATGCAGAAAGTGCATGGCTGGGTGCAAGAAAGAATGCCCATTGGTCTGACAGACCCAGTACACCCTTTCAAACCTGGGGACCTCGTTGGGGTTAAGAAATGGAATCATAACTCTGGGACCCATATGTGATGGGCCCCATGTTGTAATTTTGTCCACTCCCACTGCTGTTAAAGTTCAGAAATCGTGCCTTGGATCCACCACGACTGGCTGAAACCGGCAGCCCAGGACCAGAGGACCAGCTAGCAGGACCCAGACCATCCGACCCAGCTGACCCTGCGACGAGACTGGGTTCCCAGCGGAGAGGACAACAGCCCGGCTCTGCTTACTTCGGAAGCTGACCAGTCTATGCATGGTGGAAGCTTGAGAAAACAGCAAGCTCTGCTCTAGTCACTCTGGAAGCTGACTAGTTTACGCATGGCAGAAAGCTTGAGTCGTCATCATCAGATGAGTAAATGTGGCCAGAGATCTTAGGTCCAGTAATCTTATTTGTATTATTAATTATATTACTGCTGTGCTATTGCTTCAACAAATCTCCTCCACCCTGCCCATGCTAGGTGTAAGAATGCTACACCTTGCCTTGTTTCTGTCGATCCCCATATCTGTCCTAGGAGAGGAAGAGCCTATAGAGGAATGTCCACATTGCATGTGTACTACGTGGATAGGTAATACACTAGTTAAGACTTTATTGTACCATACATACTATGAACGCACAGGAACCCCTCTGGGGACTTGTATGTACAACCAAACGAACTATTCAGTTTGTGACCCAGGGGATAGCTAGCTTTATGTATACTATGACCCTAAGCTTTTACCTGGGCCTGGTTTGAGATTCGCACTGGGTCAAGGGAAGGAAGTCTTTTAAACAAGACCGAAGTTTCTCTCTCCCACAAGGGAGTCACATCTTTGTATTTTGATATTTGCCAGATAACATCCATAGACTCACTCTTTCCCGTAATCCACAGTTCCATGGAGTACTATAATAGCTGCCATAAAAGTAAGTGTGCATCCCCTGCTTGCTCCACCGGTTCCCTGGTAACAACTTGCTGGGGCTTTGCAACATGGCCTACTAACCAACAATCACTAGGGCTAATCATGCTTACCAAAATACCTTCAGAACCAGATTGTAAAACTAACATTTGCAATCCTGTGAATCTTACCACCTTGGAGCCAAATTGGCTCGTATGGACTACAGGTTTAAAAGCACCACTGAGGGTACAAGCCAGCAGCCAAGAAATAGACTCAAGAGTCTATGTCTATATTATATACATAAAAAAAAACCTGAATCCTTCTTGCCCAGCAGCAGTTCCAAGTCTTTAAGTCATTCAATGAGCACTTTAAGCAGGAGGTACCTGAAGCTCCTCCTCCTATAGCTGTAGATCTGTTTGCACGGTTGGCTGAAAACAGCTGGCAGCTTAGGTGTTTCCTCATGCTTTGTCTGTGGAGGAACAAATATGGGAAACCAGTGGCCTTGGGAAACAAAAGAGCTATCGCCTCAAGAAAATTACACTTTAACCCTTTCATCCCCAGAGCCGGCACTCACGAGCTCAAGTGTCTGGCTGCTAAAATCTTCTGTCATTGGAAGATTCTGCATTGCCCACTGGGGAAAAGCCTTTACAAACCCAGTAGGGGAATTAGTCTGCCTAGGACAGCAATATTACAATGAGACATTAGGGAAAACTTTATGGCGGGGCAATAATAAGCAAGGTAAAGATACAACCAGGTTGCCATGCCATAATCCATTTTCCCATTTTCACTCTTTAAACCACTCCTGGTATCAACTAGAGGCACCAAATGAACACCTAGCAAGCACCTTCTGGCCTCGACTGGATCTGTGGGCCATGAGCTTATTGGCAATTACCTGCCAATTGGACAGGGGCCTGTGTGTTGGGGACAATAAGACCATCTTTCTTCCTTGACCCGTTACAACAGGGAGAGGTTTTAGGGTATCCTATCTATGATGAAATTAAGGGGAGGAGCAAAAGGAATATAGACATAAAAAAAGATATAAAGATAGGAGATTGGAAGGACACCGATTGGCCTCCTGAAAGAATAATTTAATACTATGGGCCAGCTACATGGGCACAAGATGGGATGCAGGGATACTGTACCCCTATTTACATGCTCAACAGCATCATAAGGTTGCAGGCAGTACTTGAAATCATCACCAATGAAACTGCAAATGCATTAGACCTGCTGGCCCAGCAAGCCACAAAGATGAGAAATGCCATTTATCAAAATAGGCTAGGCTTGGACTACCTCCTAGCCCAGGAAGGAGGCATAGGCGGGAAGTTTAATCTGACAAATTGTTGTTTAGAAATTGATGATAACAGAAAGGCCATCATGGAAATAACTGCAAGAATGCAAAAGCTAGCTCATGTCCCAGTTCAGACCTGGAAGCCAATATGGTCTCTAGATTCCCTTTTTGGAGGTTGGTTTTCAGGTTTTGGCAGTTTTAAAACATTAATAGGGATAGTACTAGCTATATTAGGAGGCTGTTTAATACTCCCCTGCCTCTTACCCCTCCTTATCAGGGGCATCCAATCAACTATAGACGCCGTAGTTGACAAAACCATCACCACTTGACTAATGGCTCTAACTAAATACCAAGCTGTACCAAACGAAGAAAACTTGCCTTATCATGAAGAACAAAGTTGTAGTGATGACTTCTATTAAAATTTCATACATAGGAGGCATCAAAGGCAGGGTATGAGATGGGAAAAAAGAAAAAAATTAAGAAAAAAAGAAAATAGAAATTAAAAAAGAGAAAGAAACAAGCTGCCTGTGTTAGGCTGACTCATGTCAAAGGCAGTAACACGCAAAGTTTCAATAATGTAATTTAAGGGCCAGAGCTCAGAGGAATGTGCTCTGAAGACTCTCCCAGCACTCCCTCAACATAAGGATGTGAAGAGATAAGTTTTCCTATCTCTCCTTTAGTGTAAGTAAACTTCCCCGTCGAATCTCATCCCCTCTGCTATGTAAACTATATCTTGCTCCTTGCTCTGTAAGTTTTTGGAGTTTCTGTTTTTCCTACAGTTAATGATTGTAGGTTCCTGCTTCTGCATCTAAGCAGTATAGCCTGAGCAGGTCTGGCTAGTAGCCAGCTAGACGCCATAGTGGGGGTCGCAAGATGAGTCTTTGTGAGACTCCTTTGAACTAAGCAGATAATGACCATCTGGGCAGCATAGTAAGGAGTATACTAAACTTGAGTTATAAGCCTGTCTTAGTTTGTTTAACGGCCTTTGTCTTGCCTCTGTACATTCGCGTTTGCACCACTTAGGAGTAGGTATATAAGCAAAACCTTGTCTTTGTTCGGGGCCCAGTTTTTTGGACGTTGAGTCCACTGAGACAGAGTGCACTCAATAAAGGATCCTCCTGCTATACCCTGAGGTCTCCCTTGCCCTCCTAAATTTCTGCAACAATGTCACACCTCAAGAAACTGGAGAAATAAGAACAAACTAAACCTAGATCCAGAAGAAGAAAAGAAATAACAAAGATCAGAGCAGAACTAAATGAAAATCAAACAAAAAACACAAAAAACCAATGAAATAAAAAGTTGGTTATTTGAAAAAATAATCAAATTCATGGACCATTAGCTATATTAACCAAGAAAAGAAGAGCAAAGATCCAGATAAGTTCAATTAGAAATGAAATGAGACAATACAATCTACACTGCTAATATATAAAATAATTTGAGACTACTATGTACAACTTCATGTGCACAATCTAGGAGACTTACAGGAAATGGAAAAATTCCTAGAAACATACAACTCTCCTAGATTAAATCAAGAAGAAACAGTTACTTTGAATAGATGAATAATAAACAATGAGATTGAATCAGTAATTCAAGAATTGCCAACAATACCAACAACAAAATAGGGCCAGGTGAATTCACATTTGAAGTCTACACAAAATTCAAAGAAAAATTGCTACCATTTTTTCTGAAACTATTTTTTAAATTTAGAAAAAAAGAATCCTCCCTAAATTATTCTCTAAAGCTACTATAACCCAGATACCCAAACCAGGAAAACACACACACACACACACACACACACACACACACACACTCTCTACATACGAATTTTCCTGGTAAATATAGATGCAAAAATACTCAAAAAATAGCTACCTGAGTCCAACAGCACATCCAAAAGATAATTCATCATGATAAAAGTAGGTTTCAACTCAGAAATGGAAGGATTATTTGAACATACACAAGTCAATAAATGTAACACATCACATAAACAGAACTAAAAACAAAAACTATAGGATTATCTCAATAGATGCAGAAAAAGCATTTAACAAAATTCAGCGTTTTTAATTATAAAAATTCTAAGTCAGGTAGGCATAGAAGGAACTGACCTCAAACTAATAAAGGTTATATAGGAAAAACTCACACCCAACATCATGCTGAATGTGAAAAAGTTAAAAGCATTCCCCCTGGGAACAGAAACAATAGAAGAATGTCCATGTTCACCAGTTCTATTCAACATAGTGCTAGAAGTTCTACCCAGAGCAATTAATCAGAAGAAAAAAATAAAGGGCATCCATATTGAGAAAGAGAAAGTCAAACTATCACTGTTTACAGATGAAGTGATTATATACCTAGAAAACCCTAAACTCCCCCAAAATACTGTTAGTTTTAGTAAATGAATTCACTTATGTCTCAGGTTACAAAATAAATGTACACAAATTGGTAGCACTGCTATACATCAACAACAACAAAGCTGCGAATCAAATCAAGAACTCCATTTCTTTTACAGAAGCTACAAAAAGATATTTAGGAATATACTTAACCAAAAAGGTAAAAGATTTCTACAAGGAGAACTACAAAACACTGCTGAAAGAAATCATAGATGACACAAACAAATGGAAATGAATCCCATGCTCATGGATTGGAAGAAGCAATATTGTGAACATGACCGTAATGCCCAAAGCAATCTACAGATTCAGTGCAATTCTTATGAAAATACCCACATTATTTTTTACAGAATTAAAAAATAATAATGTTAAAATTCATATGAAACCAAAAAAGCCCAAATAGCCAAATAAATCCTAATAAGAAAAAAATGGAGCCATCACATTACTGAACTTCAAATTATACCACAAGGCTGCAGTTACCTAAACAACATGGTACTGATATAAAGTAGGTTCATAGACCACTGGAACAAAATAGAGAACCCAGAAATAAAGCCAAATATGTAAAGCCAACTGATGTTTTACAAAACATACAAAAATATAAATTGGAAAATAGACACCATATTTAATAAATGGTACTGGGAAAACTAGGAAGCCACATGTAAAAGAATAAGACTGGATCTCTATCTGTCACCATATAAAAAACAACTCCCATTCAAAACTTCAAAGAAATGCATTTACATAAATTGGAAAAAAACTCTTTATAATTTGTATGGCTGGGGTGATTGACCCAGGCTATCAAGATGGAATCATACTACTACTCCACAATGGAGGTAAGAAATAGTATGTTTGGAATACAGGGGGATTTCTTAGGGCATCTCTTAGCATTACTTTGCCATGTGATTAAGGTCAATGGGAAACTACAACAACCTAATCCAGGCAGGCATACAGATGGCTCAGATTCTTCAAGAGTAAAAGTTTAGGTCACTCCACCAGGTAAACAAACAAACAAATGAACAAGAAACAAAACTGACCAGCCAAGGTAACTGCTGAAGGCCAAAAAATACAGAATGGGTAGATACAAGAAAGTTGTTATCAATACCAGGTATGACCATCAACCAGAAATGAGGACTGGAATTGTCATGAGTATGTCTTTCTTATCTTCTTAAGAATATATTTCTGCATGTATATAACTGTACTAAGAAAATGTTTTCTTTTTGTTTTTCATGTAACATAAGATTTATCGACTTCATATTAGCATTTGAGAGTTGTTAACTGTATATAGTGGCATTTAGGTTAAGGATTAGTGCATTTTCAGTTGTATGAAGGATAGCTGTATTATGTTAGGCATAATTATGACCTTACTATTGTCTTTATTTGGAGATCGAGCATGATTTCAGGTGATATGTAGGGATGCTAAGTTGACAACAAGGGATTGGCCTGTGATAGTTAATATTAGGTTTAACTTGATTGGATTAAAGCATGCTTAGATGGCTGGGAAAGTATTGTTTCTTTGTGTGTCTCTTGGGTTTTGCCAGAGGAGGTTGGCATTTGACTAAGTAGCCTGCAAGAGAAAGACCCAGCCCCAATATGGAAGGGCACCATCCACTCAGCTGCCAGCACAGCTAGAATAAAGCAGGTGGAAGAAGAGGAGATAACATTGCTTGCTGCGCCTTCTGTTTTTGTTTTGTTTTGCTTTGTTTTCCTTGCTGGCTGCTTTCTTCTGCTCTTCCTACCCTTGGACATAAGATTTCACGTTCTTTGGCAGTTGAACTATGGGGCGTGAAGCAGGGGCTTGCTGAGGGTTCTTGGGCCCTTGGTCAGAGAATGAAGTGTGCACTGTTGGCTTTTCTGGTTTTGAGACTTCTGGACTTAGACTGAGCCACTACCAGTTTCTCTCTCTTCCCAAGCTTTTAGAAAGCCTATCATGGAACTTTCATTTTGTAATTTTGTGAGAAAATTCTAATAAACTATATTTCCTATATACATATGTTATATTAGTTCTATTTCTCTAGAGAACTCTGGGTAATACAGCTTTGATACAAAAAACAACATTGTTGTATTCACAAAAATGTATCCTAAGATAAGCCAACACATAAAAGTGCATAAAGTATGATTCTATTTCTAGGAATTATAAAAAATGAAAATGAATCTAAAGTAACAAAAAAAGATCAGTAGTTGCCTAAGGACAGATTGGAAAATTATATTTTTCCAAATGCTACAAATGATACTCTCACCTACTATGAGCATTGCTCTCTCCTCAGGAATTTCACCCAAGAACCGACTCTATAGTCGGAGACATGCAAACAGGTTCCTGTTCATGTACGAACTCTTCCTAACACTTTCTTTTCATGTACTTCCTTGACTTATTTGTTGATGAAGGTTGATACCATAAAAATAACTAAACCAGGCTCACATTAGAGAAAAAGAAGAGAGTGATGGAAAGATTAAGCCGGAGCATCCAGTTTCAGTGATTCTTTGACCCTGCCCTCCCTGAAGTCTAGAGGCAGAGGGATGAGCCCTGCTGAGCAGTTCACACTTGTCCACAGGGAGAAAGAGGTGTAAATGTGCCCCCCATCCATGCTCATAAAATGGCCCATGGACAGCTTATCCCCTGTCCATGAAGGGGATGCCACCTGATGTCGGTGCCCTTCCTCAGTGTCCACACCTTAGGGTCTCTGCTAATCTGGGGTTCTCTTCTTATTCTCAGAGGTAGGGTCCCTGTGGATCAAGCCTAGCTGTGGCTGCTTCTCAGCCTGTTCCCTCTGTGTTTGTAAGAGTCCTACAAGAAGTTCACTGGTGGAATCTGGAAGAGAAATGATACAGCCTAACTGTTCTCAGAGCCTTTTTTACAAAGCCTCTGAATTTACCTTCATTGACTCTAGCATGAGCTCAGCCCAGCAGGCTTCAGGACAGGGGTTGGTGTGGGAGGCAAAAGCGAGGGATTCAAGTGGAATTTGTTAGTGGTACCCTCCATCAATACAAAGAAAAATCATAATCCTCAGGGACACCCTTGTCAGCACAGTCTCCCTCAAAATGACCAACCTGAGAGCCGAGGAGAAGGCCATGTATTACTGTGAGAGACACAGGAGATATCCGTGTGGCAACCTAACACAGGGGACACCTGTATTTGTGTCTGAGCCCAGACACAAACCTCCCTGCAGGGAGACAGGAGGGGACCGTGTGACAGACACTGCTCAGAACCACCAAGGGGAGCTCAGAACCAGCAGGAGGCAGTGGGGACACAAAGGAAGACTCAGGAGCCACCAGGGGGCGCTCAGAACCACCTGGGGGTGGTGAGGACACCAGGGGGCGCTGAGGACACAAGGGGAGGATCAGGACACCAGGGTCGGCTCAGGACGCGAGGAGGTGCTCAGGACACCAGGGTCTGCTCAGAACCACCAGGGGGCACTCAGGAACCACCAGGAGAGGCTCAGCCACCACCAGGGGGCACTCAGGACATCAGGAGCTGCTCAGAATCACCAGACGGCGGCTGGGCGCGGTGGCTCACGTCTGTAATCCCAGCACTTTGGGAGGCCGAGGCGGGCGGATCACGAGGTCAGGAGATCGAGACCATCCCGGCTAAAACGGTGAAACCCCGTCTCTACTAAAAATACAAAAAATTAGCCAGGCGTAGTGGCGGGCGCCTGTAGTCCCAGCTACTTGGGAGGCTGAGGCAGGAGAATGGCGTGAACCCGGGTGGCGGAGCTTGCAGTGAGCCGAGATCCCGCCACTGCACTCCAGCCTGGGGTGACAGAGCGAGACTCCGTCTCAAAAAAAAAAAAAAAAAAAAAAAGAATCACCAGACGGCGCACAGGACATGAGGTGGCGCACAGGACATGAGGTGGCACTCAGGACACAAGGGGGAGCTCAGAACCACCTGGGGGTGGTGAGGACACCAGGGGATGCTGAGGACACAAGGGGAGGATCAGGACACCAGGGTCTGCTCAGCAACCACCAGGGGGCGCTCAGGACATCAGGAGCTGCTCAGAATCACCAGACGTCGCTCAGGACATGAGGTGGCACTCAGGACACAAGGGGGAGCTCAGAACCACCAGGGGGCGCTCAGGACATGAGGTGGCGCTCAGGACACAAGGGGGAGCTCAGAACCAACAGGGGGCGCTCGGGACACTAGGGGGTGCTAAGAACACCAAGGGGCGGTCAGGACATCAGGGTTCTCTTAGGAAGCAGTGCATCATCAGGTCCCTGGGGAGGGTGGGTTTCTTTATTTAGGCCTTGTGATTCCTGACCTGGTAAAGTGAAACTCTTCTCAGCATCTTTTGCCATTTCTTCCTTGGAATCCATGTTTCTCTTACCTACAAAATCCTAACTTAGAACAGGAATTCAATTAAACTTTTAATTCTTTATATTTTTGTAATAATACTAGTAATAATATCTCAGTACAATTTTAAAATGAAGAAATTGTGTATGCTTACTTCAAACTATTTACACAGATTTTTGTTACTGTGCTGTGTCAGTCACACTTTTGTAAATGT
This sequence comes from Homo sapiens, assembly GCF_000001405.40. Taxonomy (NCBI): domain Eukaryota; kingdom Metazoa; phylum Chordata; class Mammalia; order Primates; family Hominidae; genus Homo; species Homo sapiens. Next base: position 1,321,524 of record NT_187600.1, on the reverse strand, counting down.
TTTCTAACAATAACTCAGCATATGCATGGTGTTGAGTTTCTTTTTCTTCCATTTGCTGATTGTGAAGATGAAACCCCACTTTAAGGGCTCCTGTCCTCCACTTTGGTGGCCCCTGGTGTTCTGCCCCTCAGTCTGTTTCTCCACCTTCCCTTCTTCTTTCCAAACCTTTTATAATCCTCAATTTCCATTCAAGGAATCAGCAAGCCCGTTTATTATGTCTCATCCATGTCTGGTGAATCAGTTCACTTCCCTTTATGATCACTGAAGCCAACCAAGTATAGGCAGGCAACAGTTCTAAGAATATGCTCATCTACCTGCAGACTCTCTGCCCTCCTCACCCCTTTCAACGGTCCTGCAGACATCACCCCACCCCATCCTCTATCTTCCCTAAGTACCACAGAGTGGGCTCTGCAGCTCCTGCTGCCCACTGTGTGCTCAGCCCTGGGGCTCACTAGTGCTTTGATGATAAAGCCTAAATCCCTAACGTGTTTGCACACTTCCTGACCACCCTCTAGCAAGTTGTCATTGTGAGTGAATCCTGGGAACCCTGTGCTGATATTAATTCTATATTTATGGATATTCTCTAGCATCCAGGAATATTGTCAAATAACCTATCGAGTTGATGTTAAAAATTCATGTGAAGCCATTGCAAAAGAAAAAAGTCTTTAAACTGGAAATTGCTATTTTTTAATACTTAATATTTTTTTAATTTAATATTTAAATGCTATTTAAATTAGAAAAAGGTGATGCCTTTTGTAAAGTACAATGTTATTTCAACCAATCGTGTAATAAAATTTTAATAGAGATGCTTGCCTTATTGATTATTATATTTATTTATAACATTAAATGCATTAAAACATTTATTTAAAAAATATGCTATTAGTAAAAATGGGAAATAAGCTAGCACAGAGTATGTAAAGAATACCATTGTATTTTTCAATGATAGATTTGTCAATAATGGCAGTTACAGTAAGTTTTATTAAAACATGCATTTACATATATTTCTTAATTTACATTGGAATAGACAGACTTACTCATAGAAGAATGTTACTTTGGACTAAAACCTTAAACTATAAATACAAATAAATCCATATAAATTAAATATAATAACACAGAAACAAATGTATGTCACTTTGATGTTTGGAAATGCATTTATTTTTGCCTGTGCACATATATGTTTCATTGCTGGGTGTGTGTGTCTGTGTCTGTATATATGGGTGTGACTGTGAAGTTTCAAAATACATTATTAACTTGTATAGTTATATAAATCTAAGTTTTTTTATGTTAAAAGATAGTAAAAAAACACACACAAAAATATTCTAGAGAGCATTTGCAATAACTAAGGAGTATTCAGGTGTTGTATTAATAATGAAAAACTAGCCAAAATGTTTTTAAACTTTTATTTTAGGTTCAGAAGTACTTGTGCAAGTGTTGTTTTATAGGCAAATTGTGAGTTCTGTTGGTTTGATGTACAGATTATTTTGTCACCAAGGAAATAAGCATAGTACCTGGTAGGTAGTTTTTCAATTCTCACCCTCCTCCCACCCTCCACACTCAAGTAGGACCTAGTGTCTGTTGTTTTCTTTGTGTCAATATGATTAGCTCCCACTTATACATGAGAACAGATGGTTTGTAATTTTCTGTTACTGTGTTACTTTCCTTAGGATAATGACCTCCAGCTCCATCTATGTTGCTGCAAATAACATGATCTTATTCTTCTTATGACTGTGTTGTATTCCATTCTGAAATATACATAAATCAGTAAATGTGATTCATCACACACACACAATCATCTCATTGATCAATATTAACTTTCAATGTAAATCTCCCAGGAATCTTTCATCTTCTCTTGACCCTCCCCTCTCCTCAGGCATCCCAAACCATAGCTTTCTATATATTAGGATACATGAAAATAGGGCCCTCTCTCAGCTGATGAAAACCAGCCCAGCCCTGACTCTGCAGCTCTGGGAGACAAGCCCCAGCCGTGCAGTACCAAGGTGCTTCCATTCAGTGATTAGCACTGAACACTGAAGACATCCCATGGAGTTAGGAATGCGCTGGGTTTTCTTTGTTGTTGTTCTAAAAGGCAATCAAGAAGAACTAGAAATATTGTCTGTGAGTGATATGAGTGAGAGAAACAGTGGATCTGTGTGGCAGTTTCTGACAAGAATGTCTCTGTGTTTGCAGGTGTCCAATGTGAAGTGTAGCTGGTAGAGTCTGGGGGAGGCTTGGTACAGCTTGGGGGGTCCATGTGACTCTCCTGTGCAGCCTCTGGATACACTTTCAGTAACTATGGCATGCACTAGGTGGACCAAGCTCCAGGGAAGGGACTGGAGTGGGTCTTACATTAATGCTAGTGGTGGAGGCATATACTACTCAGACTCTGTGAAGGGCCGGTTGACCATCTCCAGAGAAAACACCAAGAACTCACTGTATCTGCAAATAAACAGTTTCATTGCTGACACCATGGCCGTCTATTACTGTAAGAGACACAGTGAGGAGAAGTCAGTGTGAGCCCAGTCACAAACCTCCTACAGGAACGCTGGGAGGAAAATCAGCTACAGGGCTCACTCAAGGCCCACTGATCAGAGTCCACTCCAGAGGGAGGTTCACATGGAGGTTAGGGGCTGGTTTTCTGTCAGGACATTGGACTTCATCATCTTCTTCCATTACTTTCTTTAGGGAGCCTCTTCATTTTAGAATTCTGTGTGTACTATTGTTATATATACATATATATATATATATATATATAAAATAATCATAGTAATGCGAGGACATATTTTCTCATGCACAAAATGTAGATTGACACTTACAGAGAAGAAAAATTATCAACCAATGTCAAAAACATCAGAGTCCTGGAAAATCTTAAGTGTTCTGGTGGGTCATCTCTAATCAGACCCAGAACAGTAACCTCAGTGAAATTCCATGATTCAGATACTATTTTTGGATTCTGATCATAACCAAGACAGAGTCTGGACCAGGGTCAGTGTCATATAGAACCTCACAGCTTCCATATATGACCCTTCTCTTGACAGTGAAATATGAAATTCAGTATCAGCAGTGATTTGATTTTTCTTTTGCTTTCCGTATTCTTTCTTTTTAGTTGTTGTTGTTTAGTTATTTCTTTTGCTATATCCATTTTCTTTTTTTTTAGTTGTGCCTTTCACTTTTGGCTTTCACTTTTCCATTTGCTTTTCCTGCTTCCTGATAAAGGGAGATGTAATCCCTGTGGTCTAAATTCCAGGGCTCAAGCCTTTTCCTGGGAGCTCAGGTGGGTCTCAGGATGTGGCTCCTGCAGCCACGTGAAAGAGGCTGATGGGACTTTCTTTCCTTCTCATGACTCAGGCATTCCACGGTGTTGTGTGGAGACTCATCTGAGATTGCACGTGGCCATTAGTAGTGAAGGGGATGAGATGTGGGTGTGGACTGATCCTGTGCTGTGCAAATTGTCATTAGTAGTGAAGGGGATGAGATGTGGATGTGGACTGATCCTGTGCTGTGCAAATTGTCATTAGTAGTGAAGGGGATGAGATGTGGGTGTGGACTGATCCTGTGCTGTGCAAATTGTCATTAGTAGTGAAGGGGATGAGATGTGGGTGTGGACTGATCCTGTGCTGTGCAAATTGTCATTAGTAGTGAAGGGGATGAGATGTGGGTGTGGACTGATCCTGTGCTGTGCAAATTGTCATTAGTAGTGAAGGGGATGAGATGTGGGTGTGGACTGATCCTGTGCTGTGCAAATTGTCATGGAGTCACTTTTCTCACCATAGTGTTAGAAAGAGACTGTAAAAGTTGTCAGAATCAAACTGCAACAATTTGTGTTAAAACCTGGGAAATGGAGCTGGGAAGGCCATGAGGGAGGGTTCTCATACACATGCCTTCCATAACAAGAACTGTCATAAATAGATTCTGCAAAACCACAACCTTGCACAAAGGCCAGCACAACCTTAAAATAATTACTTCTCCAAGTACATCTGCCCAGAGGTGCCTGTGCAATATTACACTGATGCCACCCTGGTTATTGATCATTTTATCCCAGGTTAAGTGTCTCAAAACCGCATATGTGGCCCTCCTCATTTTTTCTTTAAAACACTTTCCTTATTTACCTACCGAAATGTGCCCGTGCACATTCCCATTGCAATGCTAATTCTCAAATAAATACCACTTTACTTTAGAGTTTCTTTCTGTCTGATATTCAGGTTTGACAAGCTGCAGATGGACTTGCCAATTTTCTGTGGGATACAGGGTATAATAATTATGAGAGATGTGTAGGCATGTTCAATGTTCATAAGAGCAACCGTAAATAAATGCAGGCTGGAAGTCTCAGAGAGAGCTGAATGTGCTGAAACACCATACTATTTTATCTTCTCCCATTCTTTTCTGATTGGAATCAGACCCAACCAGGTTATCAATGCCAATCTACCTAAGCTAGAGCCAACTGATTACGGTATCAACAGCAACAATAGCTTTTTATTTTCTGCTTGGCTTTGTATTGTTACCTTGTTCCATCCTCTAGAGTATCTATTTCAGCCCTTCGGATACCGGTTTCAGAGGCTTTCCCCTAAAGTGTAATTTCTTAGTTTTGTAGTGGTGATAAGGGAGGAGGTGGGTCTGGATGTGTTTTAGAAGTTCAGGCTGTCATTCTCTCCCAGACAGACACTTTAGTACAGAACGATTTATGTGGTTGTCCCATTTCTACAGGAAAGATATTCAAGAGAATAAGAAAGCTCTTCAGTATTTGGTCCCTGAGAATTTTACACTAGAGCACATTCACCACTCTTGACTTTAAGCAACCTAATTAATGTATTTGAAGCCTTATCTTGAAATAGACTATATTTCATATGGCAGACTCTGCCTCAGGTAATCTCATACCCTGACTTTGTTACTCTCTACAAGAACTTGTCTCTCCCTAAATTTCAGATTTGTTGTTTGTCTTAAAATTTCGATTATCTGAAGTATGAAAGACAATTTGCCAAGTTTCTTATTTTCTGTTCATCTGTTATTGTTGATGTTGTTGTTGTAAAATACAAAAATATATATATTTCTTATCTAAGTACTTCTGCAAGCTGAGTAGCAGATATTTTTGGTAAAACCCAGAATAACAGAAGAGTCCACATATTAATTAGCTTCTTAATAGGAAAAATCATTATAGTAAATTTGTTCACTGGACTGTTACCCATCATTTATAATGTACAAATATCTGATACACACAACAAACTAAAATATCTAGGTATTTATGCTGAGTAAAATAAGCCAAAAAAATAAGTATATATGCTATATTATTCCATTTCTATAAATTCTGGAAAATGAAAACTAACCTACAATAATTTAATGAAGAACAGTTGTTGCCTGAGGAAATGGTAGAAGAAGGGAAAGGGATAGGAGGAAATGTGGAACAGGAGAAAAAATTGAGGCGAATTCACTTGTCCACTTTCTTGATAATGGTGATAGTTATGTCATGTTTATCAATGTATACTTTAAGTATATGAAGTTTATTATCTCTCAATTAGACCTTATAAAGTTTATTACAAGCAAACAAATAAAAAATTAGACAAAAAGAACTGATAGAAAATGGGTAACATATGTTAAATGCCAGTTACCTGAAAATTTATCTGCGTGAACCTTAGTTCTCTCCATAATTTTAGGTGAACGCTGGAGTGTAACAGAGTCACAATATTTTCATTAAGGCAGTAAGTTCTGCAAGCCACACTAGACATGTCCCGCTCTGTCCTGGAGTTAGTTCAGGGAACACAGTGATGAGGAACACGGGCTCAGATACCGGAACTCACTCATCTCAGACATGAGCACTTAGACACATACATAGGCACTCTGTGTGTGGGTTTACTTTCACATCCGTACATGGAGAAACATTGAGTCTCACAGACATAATTTACACACATATTTAAAATATAATAAGGTGTTTGATGCTGTTTATCACAGCACAATTTCCTCGTAAAAGTGCAAATCTTCTAAATACCATAAGTTACCAAACTCCTGCAGGACACCATCATCCTCTCTCGGCAATGCCTTCTCCTCACGTGTCCCACCCTAGAGTTTTTTATGTAGTTGGAAATATGCAAAGGACCCTCCTTCTTTGGTGAAAACCAGCCCTGCCCTCACCCTACAGTTCTGGGATGGGAGACCCAGCCCTGGAATTTCAAGGTTTTTCCACATGGTGATTAGCACTGAACAGAGAACTCACCATGGGGTTTGTGCTGACTTGGGATTTACTTGTTACTATTTTAAAAGTAGATTCAGGGTGAACTAGAGATTTTGAGTGTGAGTGGATAACAGTTAAGGAAACACTGAAAATATGTGCCAGTTTCTGACCAGGATGCCCCTGTGTTTTTGGGTGTCCAGTGTGAGGCGCAGTTGTTGGAGCCTGGGGGAGACTTGGTACAGCCTGGCGCGGTGGGGGTGGGGGTCCCTGAGACTGTCCTGTGCAGCCTCTGGATTTGCCTTCAGTAGCCACTGGATGCACTGGGCCTGCCAGGCTCCAGGGAACAGACTGGAGTGGGTCTCATGTATTAGTACTGATGGGAGTAGCATACGCTATGCACATTCTGGGAAGTTCTGATTCCCCATCTCCAGAAACAATGCCAAGAACACACTCTTATCTGGAAATGAACAGTTTGAGAGCTGAGTACACAGCCACGTATTACTGTGCTGGAGACGCAGTGAAGGGAAGTCAGGTTGAGCCCAGACACAAACCTCTCTGCAGAAACACATGAAGTAAATCAGCTACGGGGGCGCTCAGGACCCACTGATCAGATTCAACCTCAGAGGCAGATGCAGATACAGGGTAGGAGCTGGTTTTCTCATAGTGTTTGTAACTTCCCTCTCCAACTGACAGTTTCCCAGAGAACCTCACTAATTTAGAGTTCTGTGCCTACCAAAAAAATCTCCAAATATACACCTTTTAAAAGGTAGTAATATAAAGGCCTAGTCTCACATGCACAAAATGCAGATCACCACTTCCAGGCATGAGAAGTTCTCAACCACGGTCACCAAGATCAGAGTCCTGAGGAAGCTCAGGGGTGCCTTGTGGGTCTTCTCCAATCACATTCGGGACAGGAAACTAAGTTTAATTCCCTGATTAAAAAAGGCTATAATTCCCTGATTTAAAACGTTTCATTCCCTGATTAAAAAAGGCTGGAATTTTTCTGATTCCAGCCAAGAAAGAGGCTGGGCCAGAGTCAGTGTCACGTACAAGCTCACAGGTTTCACGTCTGCCCCTTCTCCTGATATGAGACTATGCAAAGCAGTATCAGCACTCATCTGCTGCACTTTTTGCTGTCAATCCATTTTCTTTCTTTTCAGCTGTTGTCACTTTTTCGTTTTCTTTTCTGCTCCCTGAAAAAGAAAGATGTGGTCCATGCGGTCTAAATTCCAAGGCTCAAGCTCTTCCGCTGGAGCTCAGGTGGGGCTCAGGCTGTGGCTCCTGCAGCCGCATGGGAGAGGCTGATGGGGCTTTCTTCTTTCCCCAGTGCTTGGGACCCTCCACCGTGTTTCATGGGGACTCATGTGGAAATTTGAGTGGCCCAGGGGAACTGAAGGGCATAAGCTTGTTTGGTGAGAGTGAAACGTGACTGTGGAATTGATTCTTTGTTGTGCAAACCAGAAGAAATTTTGAATTTTGTCAGAATCAAAACGGAGTCACTTTTGTTAAAACTTTTGCAAATGGGACTGGGAAAGGCCATAGAAGCAGGGTTCTCATACACTTACACTTGGTAACAAGAACTACCACAAATAGAGCCTAAAAAACACAACCTTGCACAAAATCCACCACAACTTTAGGAAAAAGCTACCCCCACAAGGATATGTCCTCATGTACTGTGAGTCCAACTTTCCACTGTTGCCACCCTTGTTATTAATCTTTGCAGCCCAGGAAAATTGTCTCAAAGCAACTTAGCAACTTACTTAGCCCTTCTTATTTTAACTTTAACTGCCTAAGAATTTATACCGTGAAGTAATTGCTTCATTTAGTGTTAATATTAATGCCCTTTTGACAATCTTTGAAGCTCTTTTTTTCTGATATTTCTTCCAACATAAAGAATGGGAGCTTTTTCACCATATAAAGAATTTTTAGGAAGATATGATGGAAAGGGAAACTCAATGTATTGTTCAGTGTTTCTGCCTAACACATCAATCTCTTAAAATATTTTGCTGTGTCTGCATGTGATAAAGCAGATGCTAACACTGGAGATAAAAGAAAAAAATGCACAGACCTTCCACATTCCAAATCATAAAGTGGTACTGGATGTGTTTCTGATGAAGTGAACCATGGGTCATAAGTGCTAGTGCAAGTAGCTTTGGAAAATGGAGTTCATAGCTTCTTAAAGTTTTGCTAGTTTTAATTTAAGAATGTTATTTACTATTTCTTTTTAGTACAAGCTTTCCAGAAGATTCTTGATGGTAATGGAAGTGTCGCATTTAAGAATTACAAATGACTCACAGAGTTACTTTGTAATTTTTTCTGTAGGGTGTACATGTCAGTCACTTGACATAAAAGCTCATATGTCACAGATAGAAAAATGAAAATTGAGCCAATTTTAATAACTGCAGTGGAAATAGTTTTTGGCAATGAGTGCTTCAAGACAACCACAAAATAAATCGGCAAAATATTAAAATACAGCAGGAATCTGATCTCAGTTTCTCTGCCTTATAAGAACAAGGCTGTCCCACATCAAAATTATTATTCAAGCTCTAGGAAAAAATACACTTTTGGATTCTGGAAGCTAAAAGCTCTCTCCTTAGATAGTGCTAAAGTACTTGTGAAATGCAGAGTTGTGTTCATGAAAAAGATGACTTTATTGTGATTTTTTTTTTTTTTTTTTTGCCTGTTGACAACTCACCAATCTGTCTCAGATGTAAAGCCCTGCTCTATGGGTTGAATGTGGTTGCACATGACTGGCAGAGACTGATTATTCATATCTCCAGGTGCCCTGTCTTTGGAGCAGCTACAGGAGTCAGGCCCAGACTAGAAGAGCCCACACTGACCTTCTGCATCACTTATGCTCTCTCTGGCCACTACATCACAAACAGTGCTTATGACTGGGCCTGAATCTGCCAGCCCAGGAAAGGGCTGGAATGGATGGGGTGCATTGGTAGTGATGGTGGGGGTCCTACTAGCCTGTGGCAAATGGAAGCATCTCTTTTTTATCAGACTGAATAATATTGTAGTGTTTTCTTATACCACATTTACTTCATCCCTTTGTGCATTAACACTTAGGTTGTTTTTATATATTGGCTGCCATAAATAGAGCTGCAATTAATATAAGAGCACAGGTGTCTTTACAAGTTCATGATTTTATTTCCTTTCCCTGTATTTCCAGAGAAGCGTTTGCTGAGTCATATTGTATTTCCATTTTTGATTTATTTATGAGCTGCTATACTGTTTTTCATAATGGTGCAACTAAAAAATGGTGTAGTCATCATGAAAAACAGTTTTAGTTTTTGACATAATCCAAACACAATGTTTGAATCTGGTTATCTATAGGAGTTTCTAGTAAAATTGGTGAATGTAAATTAAAAAGCAGTAAGAAAAATCTGCAATTCAGAAATAGTGTACCCAGATGGTCTTTCTCTCCGAAATGAAAGAGAAATAAACTATTTCTCAGGTGAGATAAACTAAGATATTTTCTTCACACTTGACCAGTCATACAAGAAATATTCAAGGGAATTTTTGTATAAAAGCCAGCATATGAAAACCATCAGCTTGGAAAAAAACACACAAAACCTATATTTCAATGGTAGAAACAATTAAAAAAGGAGAAAAGAAACAAACATTATTACTACAAAACAACATCAAATCATAAAACCAAACAGAAAGAGAATAAACAAAGATAGAGATATATACATATATACAAACAATCATAAAACAATAAAGAAAATAATTTGAGTAAATACTTATAAATAATAACCTTATGTAATAAAATTCCTCAATTAAAAATACAGTATAAAAATTGATTTTATTAAAGTCCCAACTCTATGCTGCTTACAAGAGACTCAAATCATCTGAGAATCTACACACAGACTGAAAGTGAGTGGGTGGAAAAAAGATATGCTACAAAAATAGAAACCAACAGCACAAATAGCTCTACTTATATCAGACACAAATTTTAAGTCAAATGCTGTAAAGGGAGACCAAAATGGACATTATATAATAAAAAATGATCAATGTAGCAAGAATACGTAACAACTGTAAATATACATATATACATATATGTTATATATATGTAACAAGAACACATAATTGTATATATATACATATATACACACACACATATATACATATGTACCCACACCTGAGAACTCAAATATGTAAAGCAAATCTATTACATAGTAAGGGATAGATACTAACCTTATACAATTATAGTTGGAGAATTTAACACGTTATTTAGCATTGGATATGTTACCTAGCCAAAAATTAACAGACAAACATTGGATTTAAACTGCACTATATTCCAAATGGACCTGAATTTACAGACCATTGCACCAAACAACTTCAGAACACATATTCTTTTTTTTTTAAGAATTAAATGGATGTGTTTATTTATCTTTTTTTATTATTATTATACTTTAAGTTTTAGGGTACATGTGCACAATGTGCAGGTTAGTTACATATGTATACATGTGCCATGCTGGTGTGCTGCACCCATCAACTCGTCATTTAGCATTAGGTATATCTCCTAAAGCTATCCCTCCCCTCTCCCCCCACCCCACAACAGTCCCCAGAGTGTGATGTTCCCCTTCCTGTGTCCATGTGTTCTCATTGTTCAATTCCCACCTGTGAGTGAGAATATGTTTGGTTTTTTGTTCTTGCGATAGTTTACTGAGAATGATGATTTCCAGTTTCATCCATGTCCCTACAAAGGACATGAACTCATCATTTTTTGTGGCTGCATAGTATTCCATGGTGTATATGTGCCACATTTTCTTAATCCAGTCTATCATTGTTGGACATGTGAGTTGGTTCCAAGTCTTTGCTATTGTGAATAGTGCCGCAATAAACATACGTGTGCATGTGTCTTTATAGCAGCATGATTTATAGTCCTTTGGGTATATACCCAGTAATGGGATGGCTGGGTCAAATGGTATTTCCAGTTCTAGATCCCTGAGGAATGGCCACACTGACTTCCACAATGGTTGAACTAGTTTACAGTCCCACCAACAGTGTCAAAGTGTTCCTATTTCTCCACATCCTCTCCAGCACCTGTTGTTTCCTGACTTTTTAATGATTGCCATTCTAACTGGTGTGAGATGGTATCTCATTGTGGTTTTGATTCGCATTTCTCTGGTGGCCAGTGATGGTGAGCATTTTTTCATGCAGAACACATATTCTTTTCTTCAGCGCATGTGATACTCTTCAGAGTTGATCATATATTAATACAGAAAATGTATCAAAAAATTTAAATAAAATTATACCGACGTTTTATCTGACTAAGATAGAGTCAAAGATGGAATCAAACTAAACATCAGTAACTGGAGGAACTTCTTTTTTTTTTTTTTTTGAGATAGACTCTTTCTCTGTATCCCAGGCTGGAGTGCAGTGACAGAATCTCGGCTCACTACAACCTCCACCTTCCGAGTTCAAACCATTCTCCTGCCTCAGCCTCCTGATAAGCTGAAATTACAGGCACCTGCCACCACTCCTGGCTAATTTTGGTATGTTTAGTAGAGAGGGGGTTTCACCATGTTGGCCAGGCTGGTCTTGAAATCCTGACCTAAAGTCATCCACCAGCCTCGGCCTCCAAAGTGCCGGGACTACAGGCATGAGCCACCACCCAGCCTGGAGAAAATTTCAAAAAAATATAAACACAAAAATTAAACAAATCACTCTTACATGGCCAATGGGTGAAAGAAGACATTAAGAAGAAAATAAAAAATGTATGAAACAAACAAAGAAACACAACATACCAAATCTTATGGCGTTTAGTCAAATCACTATTATGAGGCAAGTTTAGAGCAATAAATGCCCACATCAAAAAGTAGAAATATCTTAATTAATCAAAATAACAATGCATGTTAGAGAACTTGAAGAACAAGAAAAAGCTAAATTCAAAATTATTTTTAAAAACAATAAAGAGCAGATTAGATATAAATGGAATTAAGACTAAAAATACCAGAAAATATTAAAATAGCAATAGTCTTTTTAAAAAAGATAAGCAAAATTGAAAGCCATTAGCTGGGCTAACAAAAAAAATATAAAGAGCTAAGACATGAATAAATGAGGTAGAAACAGAAGATGTCTCAACTGATATCCCAGAATTAAAATAAATTAGGAAATACTATAATAAATTATGTGATAAATGTGAAAACCTAGAGGAATTGGATACATTCCTGGCCATATACTACCTGACAAGATTGAAAAAGGAAAAAATAGAAAGCCTTAACAGACCAATAAAAAGTAATGAGAGGGACTCACTTAAAAAATCTATATCCTATTGAACATAAATAAAAAAACCCAAATTACTAGCACAGCAAATCAAACAGCATTTAAATACTAATACTAATACTAATACAGCATGACAAAGTAGAATTCAACCCAGGGATTCAATTATGCTTTAATATACACAAGTGAATAAACATGATATATCACGTATATACGACAAGGATGAAAAACATATTTTTACTTTAATAGATGCAGAATAAGTACTTTATAAAACTCAAAACCTCTTCATGAAAAAAACTCTCAATTATGTGTAGAAAGAACAACACAATAAGACCACATGACAAGTTCATAGCTAACATCATACTTAACAGAAAAAAAGTTTAATGCTTTTCTTCTGAAAACTGGAAAAGACAAGGAAGCCAACTCTCAGCACTTATTCAACACAGTACTGAAGGTACTAGCCAGAGCAGTTAGACAAGAGAAAGAAATAAAGGGGATTACAATTAGAAAAAAGGTAGCCAAATTACCTCTAATTTCAGATGACATAATCATATATATACTAAAGACTCTTGTAAATGCTCTTAGAGCTGATGAATTTAGTAAAGTTTCAAGATACAATATCAACATAGAAATCTCAGTGGGGTTTCTATACACAAACAATAAACTAGGTAAAAAAAATCAAGAAATCCCATTTTCAGTAACTACAAAAACTATTAAACACCTAGGAATACATTTCACCAAGGAGGTGAAAATCCGTAAATGAACAAACTATGAAACACTGATATAATTAATTGAATGAGACAAACACAAAATAAGAAGGACAATCTGTATTCATGAACTGGAATAATTTATATTGTTAGAATGACCATAATGCACATGACAATCTACATATTCAATGTCATCTCTATGAAAATACCAATGGCATTATTCACAGAAATATTAAAAAGCATTATTAAAATTTGTATACAATTGAAAATACCCCAAATGACTAATGCAGTCTTGTGGATAAAAAACAGAGGTGGAGGTATTAACAACCAGATTTCAAAAAAAATTATAAAACTGTAATAACAAAAACAGCGTAGTGCTGGCATAAAAATCCATGGAAAAAAGTAGAGAAACCAAGACATTAATCCATATATTTATAGATAACTTATTTGCAACAGAGGCACCAAAAATATTTATTGTGAAAAGAAAAGTATCCTCAGTAAATTGTGTAGGGAAAAACTGAATATCCATATGCAGATGAATGAACTTACATTCCCACATTTAACTGTATATAAAAATGAAATAAAAATAAGTTAAATACTCAAATGGAAGACCCAAAACTATAAAGCTGCTCTTAAAAACTTAGAAATAATGCTTCATGAAATCTGTCTGGAAAACAATTTTATAAATAAGACCTCAAAAGTACAGTCAACTAAATAAAACACAAACGAATTAAATTTTATCAAACTAAACAGTGTTTACACAGTAAAATAATCCAAATATTGAATAGATAACATAAAAGTGGTAAAATGTATTTTAAACTATTAATTAAACAGGCTATTAATATCCAGAATATACCAGAAAAATAAATGTCTCAACCACAAAAATATAAATAATCTTATTTTATAACAGACAATTAACCCAAATAAGCAGACGTTTCTCAAAGAAACACATACAAGATGCCAGAAAATATTTGAGAAAAAATGCTCACCATCGCTAATAATCAGGAAAGCACAAATTTAAACTACAATGAAATATTATCTCACCCCAGACAGAATAGCCATATTCAAATACATAAAAATAGTGCTAATGTGGATGAAGATAAAATGGGACATGTATACACTGTTGATGAGAATGTACACTCATACAGCCACTATGGAGAGACGTATAGAAGTTAGTAAAACCACAAATGCAACAATCATATGATACAGAAATTTTACGACTGAACATTTGTCCCAAGGACAGGAAATTAATATATTGAAGAGGAAAATCAATATTTTGATGAGATTTCTTCACTCCCATGTTTATTGCAGCCCTGTTCACAGTAGCCAAGTAATTGAATCAACCGAAGTGTTCAATATAAGGTGAGTAGAGAAAGATGATGTGGAATATGTACATAATGGAATTCTACACAGCCATGAAAGATTAAATTGTGTCACTCATAGAAACTTGCATGTAACATATAAGACTCTATGTTAATTGAAAGAGCCAGGAACAGAAAGCTAAACACCACATGTTTTCACTCCCATAAAATAGTCAAGAAATATCCATAAAACATAAATAATTGAAATTGGACATGAACTATAGAAACAATAATTGTCACCTGAATATTTATTTTCCTTCAAATAATATATAATTCAATGATAGTAAGAAGAGTCCTGATAAATAAATCATGTTGAGATAAAGAGCTACTGAATTGTGCATTCCACACTAAATGGAAACAATGCCATAAGATCCAGTGTTGTGTAGGATCTGTTTACCTTTTTACCTCAAATACTACAAGTCACTCCCTTGTTCTAATCACCCCGCAAAACTGATATTTTGTTGCTTTATGTTATGTCAGTAAAAATGATTCCACATTGGAAGCTTCATGTGTTGCTCAGAAATCACCCTGTTGATAAAATGAGCACAACTACAGTTACAACCTTTCTGTAGATATTTTCTGCATATGATCCTCACTTTTTATTTGTTGTTTTTGTTCACAGTTTCTTTAAGCACTCAGAGTTATATAGCATATTTTCAGCATATTTTAATTATTTTCCATTGTTATGGTCAGTGCTCCTGTGGGCTCAAGAGTCAGGTGTTGTGTGACTGCCAGTTGACTTCACTGCCACCTTTACCTACACAAAACACTGCAAGATGAACCATGATGTGTAAGAACCCATCCACAAAGTGCTTCAAATAAAGACAAGGTGACTTGTGTATAGATTTAGTGAGACTGGGGAACAGTTCACGGTGTTATGTTACAGAGGAGCAGAAAGGTGAATCTCTCTCGGAGTTATTGAGGGTGTAAGAGCTGCAGTTTTGGAGGGTGGTGAAAGGCACTTTTGAGTGGGAAGCCCTAGAGCATGTGTGAAAGCTGAAGGAATGATCACCATGCACATGGACGCTGATGAGGCATGTGGTAAGGTCCATTCCCTCCAGATGTTCCTGGATGGGCGGTTGTAGGATGGCTCATGTATATGAAAATGTGGGCAGGGCTGAAATAGGAACAAGGCCATCATCCCACGGGAATGCGAGAAAGCAAAACAGAGATGGACACCCATGAAGAGAGCTCATTAGACCTGGTGAAGGAAAGATAGGAATCTCTTCCAAAGGCTCCGCTGTTCTTGGCTAAATATGAATTGTGGTGATAGACTGAAAATAAGGAGGGGAAGGGAGATATGACTCAAGAGAGGAAAAACCCTAAGACAGCATAAACCAAATCTACACAGAACAATCACATGGTAGATGCCAGGGTGGGGCTGAAACAGGAGCTTCAATCTACTGGGTACCTAGTTGAGATCCTTTGACATTTCTTGTGAGGTAATTCTAGTGATGATGAATTTCCTCAGTTTTCCTTTGTCTGGGAAGTATTTCTCTATCCTTCATTTCATAAGAGATGTTTTATCAATTTTAGGTTCTTGGTTGGCTGCTTTTTCCCCCCAGAAATTTAAATCCAGTTATTTGCTGCATAACAAAGTTTCTGCCAGTAACAGATGGTGGTTCCACGGTGCTATACTTCCTTACTTATCTATATCTCTTTATGTTTAGATACACAAATAATTACTACTATGTTTCCATGGCCAACAGTATTCACTACGGTTGTTTCTGAGTCACTGGGGTGTTGCTTTTTCTGGCCAGAACCCTCTGTGGCCAGTGGCACTTTTGCCTGAGTTCTTGTCCTACATGTGGAAAGAATGAAGTATGCAGCCATGTGGAGGGTAAGCAAGACAAAGCCTAGCTTCATTAAGCATTAGAGCATCTCAGAGGAGACCCCCAGTGAGTAGCTCCTCTCTGTAGGCAGGTAGACTGGTTGAGTGTTCAGCTCTAAGCAGAGAGGGTAGCTCCTCCCTGCAGCCGGTCGTCCTGTGGTCTTCCCAGTTCTCAGGAGAGAGGGTAGCTCCTCCCTGCAGCTGGTCGTCCTGTGGTCTTCCCATTTCTCAGGAGAGAGGGTAGCTCCTCCCTGCAGCTGGTCGTCCTGTCGTCTCTCCATCCTCTGTCCTGCTCCAGCTGAGGCCAGGGGTTTTTACGGACCTCCGAGGGGAGGAAGTGCAAGCCCATTGGTCCATGGGTGCTCATGGGTGGGCCGTAGGAAGCACCACAAGTCCCGACTCTGGTCTGAGGATCTGGGAGCCCCGGCCCAGCCTTCAGGCCCTTCCTGGGGACCCGCCCCTGTGCACAGGAATCTTCCTGCCTCCTGTTGTAGTTCATGGTCCCTGGGGCTCCGCCCTGACTTTGCTCCAAGATCAGAGCAGGCACCAGCAGCAGGAAGAAGCCAGGAAGTGGGAGCAGGCACTTCGGAGCATGCAAGAGCACAGGGCTTTTCCTGGGGACCCCAAGAGTGCAGGGGCGCCTGAGGCCGCAGCCCCCGGTTTGCGGAGCAGGGCTTCTGCCGGCTTCATGGAGCGAGAGGCCCGTGTCTTCAGCCGCAGTTTGGGAGGCTGCAGCCACAGCCGGGGAGGCAGGGCTCCTTCCTGTTCCTCGACCTCCAAGAGCACAGAGTCCGAGCCCACTGCCCTGGTTTGCGCAGCTGGAGCCGCACCTGAGAGATGAGAGCTGCTGCCTGCTCCTGGCTCCCACCGGCTCCGAGGAGCATCAGCCCCTCCACCCCTCCTTGCAGCCTGGGCAGGGGCTCCTGATCCTCTCTGGGCCCTGGCCGGCGTCCAGGGCAGGAGTGACATCTCCACAAGCTCCCCGCATTGCCCCGGTGCTCAGGGAGGCCCGGGCAGAGCTGATGACGACCCCGGCCCGTAGTCGGGAGTGGCGGCCTCCATGGTCACCCTGACATGCGGCTGAACCCTGGGGACGCGGCCCAAGCAGCCTGCACAGAACCTCCCAAGGCCCAGGAACCCCGCACCCTAGGCGGGGTGGGCACAGCGGCTGCTCCGCTGCCCGGGTTTTCAAGGAGGCGCCACTTCCACTTCCCTCCCTGGAACCCCGAAGTTTGACATGGGGGCTCCTTTCTGCCTTGCTCCGCAGCTCCCCTTCCCCCGGAGTGGAGCCCCCTGTTTCCCTGGCGTTCCCTCCCACAGCTGCAGTGTTCTCCATCGGTGTCATCACCTTCCAGCTCTGCTGCCCTGCTCTGCAGACTAAGGCTCTGATTCCGTAAGAGAGGGGAGCTGCTTCCCAGTAGAACCTTGCTGGGGAGCTCTGTTCCCATCTCAGTTCCTGAGGGGTTAAACCAGTGCATTTAGGATACTGGTTTTGGTGGTTTGCCCCTGTTGAGTAATTTCTTAGTTCTCTAGTGGGTGTAAGAGACTTGGCTCTGGAAGCATTTCAGAAGTGTGGGCTCTGATACACCCCAGACAGACACTTTGGGAAGGGAAGATTTTTGTGACTATTCTCATTATAAGGGAAAGGCATTCAAAAGAATAGAAAAACTCTCCAGTATGTGGTTCCTGAGAATTTCTCACTAAAAACATGCTTATCACACTCGACTCAAAACAGTTCAATGTATATTAGTGTATTTTATCTTGTACTAGCCTTTATTGCATTTGGTGAACTCTGCCCCAGTTCAGCTCATACTCTAGCTTTGATTCTCCCTACAAAAACTTGTCTCTCTCTAGATTTCAGATTTGTTGATTGTCTTAAAATTTCAATGATCTGAAGTATTAAAGAAAATTTGCAAAAGTCCATTTTCTCTGATTAACAGTTATTGTTGATTTTATTCTTGTTGTAAAAAAAAGAAATTCTCATCTATGTACATTTCAAACCTGAATAACAAAATTTTTATTAACACCAAAAATAATAAAAGAATCCAAATATTTATCAGCTGCCTAATAGAAAAACAAATCATGGTAACATTGTTCGCTGGAATATTACCCATCATTCATAATAAGGGAATGTCTGATACACAAAATAAGAAGATAAAATTATCAAGTATTTAAATTGAGTAAAATAAGCCAAACAAATAAGAGTATGTATGATTCTATTTTTAAAAATTCTGGAAAATGAAAACTGATCTAAAGTAATATAAAGAAGATTAGTAGTTTCCTGGGAATATGTTGGCAGAAGGGAAGGAGAAAGGATAAGGAAATAGAAATAGGAAGTAGAAGGACAGAAAAGAAGTTGAGGGAATTTCACTTGTCCACCTTCCTTATAATGGTAATAGTTATGCCATGATTATCAGTTTTACACTTTAAATATGTAAAGTTTATAATCTGTCAATCAAATCTTATAAAATGTATTATGAGGAAACAAGTTGAAAATTAGACAATGTAGGAGTGACAGAAAGATAGATATGAGTATGTTGAATGTCAGAGATACCTGAAAGTTTATCTACCTGAACCCTAGTTCTCTCCATAGTTTAAGGTAAACAGGAGAGTGCAGGAAAATCATCCATATTCTGATTAGGCAGTGGCTTCTGCAAACCACACTAGGCCTGGCCGGCTGTGTCCTGGAGTTGGCTAAGGGAGGAGTCAGGGCCAGTGGTGAGAAGTGCAGGCCCAGATACCAGAACTCACTCATCCCAGACATGAGCTCTTAGATACACAGAGAGCCCATCCATGTGTGGATTTATCTTACATCTGTAAGTAGAGAACATTGACTCTTACAGAACATAATTTACACACATAGGTAAATCTGAAATAAGGTGATCAGTGTGAAGATTTTATCACAGCACAGTTTCATAATAAGCACAATTTCTCAAATCCCATTGTTGTCACCCATCTTCCTCAGGACACTTTCATCTGCCCTGGGTCCTGCTCTTTCTTCAGGTGTCTCACCCCAGAGCTTGATATATAGTAGGAGACATGCAAATAGGGCCCTCACTCTGCTGAAGAAAACCAGCCCTGCAGCTCTGGGAGAGGAGCCCCAGCCCTGGGATTCCCAGCTGTTTCTGCTTGCTGATCAGGACTGCACACAGAGAACTCACCATGGAGTTTGGGCTGAGCTGGGTTTTCCTTGTTGCTATTTTAAAAGGTGATTCATGGAGAACTGGAGATATGGAGTGTGAATGGACATGAGTGAGATAAGCAGTGGATGTGTGTGGCAGTTTCTGACCAGGGTGTCTCTGTGTTTGCAGGTGTCCAGTGTGAGGTGCAGCTGGTGGAGTCCGGGGGAGGCTTAGTTCAGCCTGGGGGGTCCCTGAGACTCTCCTGTGCAGCCTCTGGATTCACCTTCAGTAGCTACTGGATGCACTGGGTCCGCCAAGCTCCAGGGAAGGGGCTGGTGTGGGTCTCACGTATTAATAGTGATGGGAGTAGCACAAGCTACGCGGACTCCGTGAAGGGCCGATTCACCATCTCCAGAGACAACGCCAAGAACACGCTGTATCTGCAAATGAACAGTCTGAGAGCCGAGGACACGGCTGTGTATTACTGTGCAAGAGACACAGTGAGGGGAAGTCAATGTGAGCCCAGACACAAACCTCGCTGCAGGGGCATCTGAGACCACGAGGGGGTGTCCTGGGCCCTGTGAACTGGGCTGCTCTCCGTGGCAGCGGCTGGTGGTGCTAAAGGCTGATTTTCTCTCAGCATCTGGGGCTGATTCATCAAGTTTCCTCAGAGAACCTTTCAGATTTACAATTCTGTACTTACGTTTAATGTCTCTGAATGTGACACTTTCCTTCCCTGGTGTGTCTTTGTTTTTGTGACAAGAGGACACATTCTCACCTCCACAGAAGCCCGAGTGTCACTTTGGGGACAGAAATGACCCTGCCCTGGTCACCAGAATCAGAGTCCCGAGGAAGCCCAGGAGGACCTGGGAAGTGTTTTTCAATCAGACTCAGGGCAGGCGTCTCCGTGGGAATCTCTGATTGGAACAGGCTTTGGGATTCAGATTGGGACCAAGAGGGAGGCTCACCCAGGGCCAGGGTCCTTAGAATCCTGACAGTTTTCACAGTAACCCCATCGTCCTTTAAAACTGAACATCTAACTCAGAACTGACCCATTTGGTCCTTTCTCTGTAATCCATTTTCCTTTTCTCTAGGCTTCATTCTTACACTTCCCTTTTCACCTTCATTCTGAAAATGGAGGGTGTGCTTCCTGTGGTCTAAACCACAGGCCTCAGATGCATTACCTGGAACTCAGGTGTGGCTCTGGCTATGGCTCCTGTGGACCTGGCAGGCTGAGGGATCTTTCTCATTCCCTGGTGCCTGCATGCCCCTGCTGTCTTCTATGCGTGGATGCATTTGGGAAATGCAAGTGGACACTCATAGTCGTTTCCTCAAATGGGATACTGTTGTAGAGCTGATCTTGTGCTTCTCACCCTGTCACAGAGCCCCCACTCTCACTTGTGGATTTTTGGGAGAGCTGAGGATGGACACTTTATTGGGCTGTGAGCTCTGCATGATGGCAATCGTGAGGTCTGGGTGGGCACAGCCAGAGCCAATGGAGCTGGCCAAAAGGAAAGACAGGACGGAATTCCTGGGAAGTCCTACAGCTGCTGTCTACCATAGAGTTCCATTGTCTTCTCCTCTGCTAGGATTAAACCAGACCGACCAAGTTCATCTAGGACAATCTTCCTGACCTAGAGAAGTGATGACAGGCTTTAATAACACCTGTATTATACATCAGAGCAACACCTAGATTAGTGTTTGATTGAATAATTGAGACTATGTCCTAGTCAAGGTGACACACAAAATCAATTATTACCATGATTAATATTTTATATTGATTAATATTTTAATACTAATATTAATCAATGCAATATTGATTTAATATTAATTAATATTTTATATTTGACAATAGAATCAGACTCATGTTATAAATAATTTTGCAAATATATGTATATTATTATTGGTCTTCTGAGCATAAATCTCCATTAGCCGATTAAGTGTGCATGCATTGGTCGAAGGAGGGCATCCACCCTTTTGAGGGAAAATGCATGGAGGGTAAATGAGGCTGGGAAGCTGATGGCATATGATGGAAGCCTGTCCCTGAGTGAAGGAGAGAGGGAGGCAGGATTGGGTGGAACTTTCCTACATTTCTGTGCTGTGCAAAGAAACTCCAGATTATCACTGAGTCTCCTGCAAGTCAAAGTTGCCCCTCAGGAAACCCCCATCACTCCCAGCAATGACTCTGCCCCAGATGAGTGCAAGGCTCACTCTATTCCTGAGAAAGGAGCACAGGATATGGGATTTAGCATGAGCCACGTCATGGACGTCAGAGAGCAGGAGCTGGGTGCATGATCCAAGTGCACTGTTCTGCCTGTAGGTGGAGAGAGGAAGGTGCATTCCCAGAGCTAACACACTGTGGATTTTTATACAGAATACACGTTTTCACCTGATTTATTGGAAGGCATATGAAAAAATGTGCAGTCCACAAACAATTGTAATTTCCAAATTTACCACAATTGCATTATTTCTTCATTCTGCATGATGTCCTGGAACAGAGTTACATTTTTCATGGGTATTGTTTCATGGATTGAGGACATGAATTTCACACCTGCCTTTTTAGCCATGTGCAGAGACCTTGAGTAGAGCATGTCTGGACCTCATCTACACTATCTCTCATGCCCCAAGGGAAAGAGTGGAGACTTGACTGACTGCAAACTTTGGGGTGGGAGCTGCTCCTGCACACCTCAGAGGCTGCAGAGACCCCAAGTGCAGTTTTATTGAGTTGGGGTGTCTTTCTATGTGGGGGAATTATGGGCTGCCCCACTCCTGGTGATTGCTGGTCAGCTCTAAAGACGGGTTCAGAATGAGGTCACCTGGTAACCTTTCTCACTGCAGCTCCATTATGTAAATTACCACTACCAGATTCCAGGTAATAATGCAAGCTCTATTTTTGCGACCTCATTTTCTTATCTTTTTTGTTCATAAGTTTGGTTATAGAAAATGTTACCACCTAGTTTCCTGATTCAAATCCTATAATTTGCTGAACTACTCAGGATGTTTTTTAATGTGCCCAGTATTTGGGAAATATAAATGAACAGCCATGTGTGGTTCACTGAGTGGACATAGTCAGTTAAGTACATTAGTAAAAACATGATTGCTGAATTGTATAGTGAAACTACAATTAGATTTGCAGAAAATTGCCTCCAGTAATGTCTGAAGGGAGAGCCACCCAGCCAATCCCGTCTCTGGGCTTGGAGGAAGCTCACTACACAGGCCAGGTCACATGGGTGATATCCAAGGTGCAGCTCCCAGCGTTACTGTGCTATTTTCCAGGAACCAGACATACAACTTGGCATCTCAGAAGAAGATCTCCAAGATTTCCTTTACCTGGACTTCATGGGCAGCACAGGACCAGCAGGAGATGCTCAGAACTCACCCAAGGCAGAACCCCAGGGAAGAGCAGGTGCGGAGAGGAACCAGCCAGGGAACCTCTGACCACCATCTAGGGTTGCCTTCTTTTCCTTCACAGCATGGAGCCCTCAGGAGACCACCCACTAGGTTGTCTGTAACTCACGTCCTTCTTGTCTTGAAGCAAAACAGACATAAATATGAATTTGCAGTTAGCCCCTTGAACCTGGGTCAATTTTTTCTGAGAATGCCAACTTAATCGTCAACATCATGGGCATTATATCAAAATCGAGATGGATATTTAGTCACCAGGAAGACAGTTTGTCTCATGGTAGAAGTGCTTATTCAATTAAAAATTACATTTTAATGAAAAGGTCTCTAAGTGAGGACTGTTCAAATAATAAAGTATTAGTGAAGTATCAGAAAAATAAATGGCACCATTATCTTTGGTATCCAGTTAATCTATAAAGCATATCAATATTCATGTTGTAAGTGGCCTAGGACAAGTTATGGCAGTATTTAGGCTATAAGGAGACATTGCTTTCCTTCTTAGATAGGAATGTCCTTTTTTATCATACTTTAAGTTCTGGGGTACATGTGCAGAATGTGCATGTTTGTTACATAGGTATACAAGTGCCATGGTGGTTTGCTGCACTCATCAACCCGTCATCGACATTAGGTATTACTCCTAATGCTATCCCTCCCCTAGCCCCCCACCCCCCAACAGGCCCCAGTGTGTGATGTTCCCCTCCCTGTGTCCATGTGTTCTCATTCTTCAACTCCCACTTATGAGTGAGAACATGCAGTGTTTGGTTTTCTGTTCCTGTGTTAGTTTGCTGAGAATGATGGTTTCCAGCTTCATCAATGTCCCTGCAAAGGACATGAACAGGAAATTCCTTCTAAATGAACTGTGTTTTGACAAATATTATCCAGTGACTCTTCCTACATGGGGTTTCTACATGATCTATTTTTCTTTTCCAAAAACAAATCACTCAAGTTTCTCATCTCCTGAGTGAGAAAAATTTTCCCCAAACACAATCTCAGTCTAGGTAGACACCTTCATGAATGAGCCTTCATTCTCAGACAGGCACACACTGTCCCCATGTGGATGCTTCTCTCAGACAGGCACACATATCCCCACATGGTTGGGATCATCTGCTGGGACTTTGCCCCATGGGGATCTCTATTATCACTGGGGCAAGTTAGCACCTCGATCCTCATCCACACTGTGGCCTTTGATGTCTGTGACCTGCCACACCCTGTCTGTCCCTCAGTGTCTAGAATGGTGAAGTAGTCCACCCCAGGGATGGAGGAAGATCCCAGATTTTCCTGTGAAGGAGACAGAATGCCAATCACAGAGATGGAAATCTCTCACATCCCTCCTGGGTCATATTCTGGGCAGGGTCTCTGAAGTCACCCCTGGATCAGTGTCCTAAGATGTCTCCCTCTATTTCCTTGGGAAGAACCCATAGAAAGACAAATAAGTTTTTCTATTAGGGCATCGTAGAACTTGTGCTTTCTTGTGTGACAAATATAGGTATTTTGACTATTTTAAAAATTAGATATAATATTAAGTCTACCAAATATGTAAATATATAAGCTTTATAATGTATCCCTACAGGGATGTCTCCTGGAATTGAGAATTGAATATATATATATATATATATATATATATATATTCCAAGATAAATCTTGGTGAACATTATAAAATTGACTCTAATATTTATGTTCAAGATGATCATTTCAAAAAAGTTTTAACAACAGAGACCAGATGTATCTTTCCACCAGAAATAACTGTAAAACACAGTGAAATTTTTTAAACATGATTTTAAGGTATTTTACATCAAATAACAAGGACAGTGATTGCTGAGGTGGGGAAAATATACAAAAGGAGCCCTCTGATGAACGCATGCTTTGCTACTTTTTAAAGAGAGTTTCCAGGCCACAGTGCTGAAGAGGAACCAGGTAGATTTGAAGTTGAGGAAAAGGAGCTGAGATCCCAGACAGGCCAAGAAGTGTGGAGATCACAGACTAGACAGTGGATAGCAGAACACTGTTCAGAGAGTGAGCCCCGTAGATGGCCGGAGAGAGACCCAGCCTTGGTAGAGTGTGGATCAGTGTATGGGAACCCTGGAAAGTTGTACATGAGAACACACCTTACTCTAGGGGGCTTGCCTTAAAATCTAAAATTACCCTAAAATTTAAACATAATCAGTTACAAATTTTAAAACATAAAGAAAGACACCATGTTAAAGAAAGATAAAGGAAAGGTGGATTTGCAATATTAAAATATAAAAAGTGTATTTCTGAACAAATGATAATACTGATGAGGGGGGACAAGTTTATTCCATCACGGCAAATGATTTAAGAGAAGAACATTCC
Organism: Homo sapiens; assembly: GCF_000001405.40. Taxonomy (NCBI): domain Eukaryota; kingdom Metazoa; phylum Chordata; class Mammalia; order Primates; family Hominidae; genus Homo; species Homo sapiens. The sequence goes on along the minus strand of NT_187600.1, from coordinate 1,296,376 downwards.
AAATGCTTATGGCCCTAATGAGGAAGCTTCAATCACGAATATAAATAGAGTTATCTCATTACCAGTGTGATGGTGTGAGAAACTTCAAGATTTCCAAAGAGACAACCTAATCTGGTAAAAATTATAGAAACCCAACCTGTACTATCAAGGAAAATTATTCTGAGAACACACAGTAAATGAAATCCATTGACTGACATAAAGTCCTCCTGTTGACTGAAGGGTTATGACCCCCCACAAGGCATATGTTGGAATCTCAACTCCATCGTGACGGTGGCAGGAGGTGGGGCCTTTGGTCTCCTTTGAAAGGTGTTGAGGCTCCGTTTCATGAATGGAATCAGCGTCCTGATACAATACCCCAGAGAGCTCCCTCTTTCCTTCCACCAGGTGTGGTCACAGTAGGAAGGTGGCAATCTATAAATAAAGAATTGGGACATCACCAGATACCAATCTTTAAGTCATCTTTATCTTGAACTTCCCAGCCTTGAAAATTGGGACAAATGCATTTATGTTATTTCTGAGCCACCCAGTCCATGATATCCTCTTATAGCAACTCAAACAGTCTTAGCAAGTGCAGTGAGGATCACAATACTTGAGAGAAGAGCATTACCTCTTCTTTACATCTCAGGATCACAGAATCTTGACCTTGGGCTGAACTGACAAGAAGGTGGTGCTTCCCTCTCCCCCAGATCTCAGTTGAGGTCATGATGTCAGATCTTTATGGTGGAGACTAAATTCCTGCCTGTGATTTGATGGATGCCTTTCTCCTCCCAGCCTCACTCACAAGACATAGTTTCCATGTCAGGTGTTATAGACCAAGAACAGGTGGACCCCGATTATTCTCACCCCAGCTCACTTGTAGGGCAGAGGTTCTGGGAGCTTCCTGGGAGAGGAACAGTGAGATCATACAAGTCCATCACTTCCATGCAGTTTTCTGTACTTAAAGCAGGAGTGTCCTTCTGAGCTGCTTGAACCCTTTCTTCTGCACCAAGGTAGAGACTGGCATGTTTTTCTAGTGATACAGTCAGGGCATAAAAACAGTGATAGAAAGCTCTCTCTAAAGGGCGTGACCAGATTTGCAGTAGAATGAGAATAGTTTCAACCCTAAAGTTCATCTAAAATGTTAGTGGTTTTCATGGTAAGTAATTAATAGAAACCTGACAGCTCCATGACAGCAATATAGAAATCAATAGTCCACTCATTTTAACAGAGAGAATTAGAAAACCTATAATTTAAGAATAACCAGCTGGGCACTGTGGCTCTGCCTGCAGTTGAATTTACTTGGGAGTTTGAGGTGAGAGGATCACTTGAGCCCAGGATTTCAAGCGCAGCCTGGAAACATAGCTAGACTTAATTTCTTGAAAAAAATCAGTGCTATTTTGGGGTCAGAACAATCCTCAAAAATGGTCCCCGGAAAGAAGCCCAAATTTAATTGCACCAGATTGTTGAACGATTTATGCTACAAAACAGTGTCACATGTCAGAAATGAGCACAGTGTAACATCTACATGGTTTGTTAAGAGACACAAATGGTCAAGTAGAACAATCAGGTAATTAGGCTGTCGAAGGCAACACTGCCAAATGACAGCATTTCCGTGGAAACTGCGTGTACATCCAGGACTGCACCTGTGAACGATGACATCATACCCTTCACAGTGTCGAGGAAAGAGACATCACTCAAACAGACAAGCCAAGGGACTTCAGAAAATATAAGGGGAAATACAGTGTGCAAATATGTAAAAAATGCAATAAGATGATTACTCCTAAATGAATATCAAGACACAATCACATAATATGAAATTAAATTTTCCTGAATGATAGGATTACTACCAATCACCCCCCAGGACACCCTCATCTACTCTGTGCACAGCCTTCTCGTCAGGCGTCCCAGCCCAGACCTTGCTATGTAGCAGAAGACATGCAAATAAGACCCCCCTTTTTGCTGATGAAAAGCAGCCCAGCCCTGACCCTGCAGCTCTGGGAGAGGAGCTCCAGCCTTGGGATTCCCAGCTGTCTCCACTCGGTGATCGGCACTGAATACAGGAGACTCACCATGGAGTTTGGGCTGAGCTGGGTTTTCCTTGTTGCTATTTTAAAAGGTGATTCATGGGGAACTAGAGATACTGAGTGTGAGTGGACATGAGTGAGAGAAACAGTGGACGTGTGTGGCACTTTCTGACCAGGGTGTCTCTGTGTTTGCAGGTGTCCAGTGTGAGGTGCAGCTGGTGGAGTCCGGGGGAGGCTTGGTCCAGCCTGGGGGGTCCCTGAAACTCTCCTGTGCAGCCTCTGGGTTCACCTTCAGTGGCTCTGCTATGCACTGGGTCCGCCAGGCTTCCGGGAAAGGGCTGGAGTGGGTTGGCCGTATTAGAAGCAAAGCTAACAGTTACGCGACAGCATATGCTGCGTCGGTGAAAGGCAGGTTCACCATCTCCAGAGATGATTCAAAGAACACGGCGTATCTGCAAATGAACAGCCTGAAAACCGAGGACACGGCCGTGTATTACTGTACTAGACACACAGTGAGGGGAGGTCAGTGTGAGCCCGGACACAAACCTCCCTGCAGGGGCGCGCGGGGCTACCAGGGGGCGCTCGGGACTCACTGAGGGCGGGACAGGTCCCAGGAACAGGTGCAGCGGTAGGTTTTCTTTCTCCTCAGCTGGAGAAGTCAGGTTTGTGTTTTCAGAACTCTGGAGTCTTACAGGTTGCTACATTTTCATACAGTTATTAGTATGTATTTATTATCATTGGTATTTAAGTTTTAATAATTTTAAACCTTTTATGTAGTGTTATTTTTTAAAACTGTTTACTTTCATTTGCAGTTATTCTTCCAGAGTTTCATTAACATCTATTGCTATGAGCAACTACATAGCTATGAGAGCATAAATTTACACCTGTAGACGTAGGTCTAAATGCCACAAACCTGTGCATAAATGTATAGTGACTTATATTTAACATTATAATAAGATAATTTTTAAAATATATCCTAAACGATCAAACTTACTGATGAACTAAATATAAATTATCAGAGTAATGCATAATTGATTTCAATAATTTTATATTGTTTATATTAATTAATATCTATTTCTTTACTGAAACATAATATATTGGTCATTTCAAAATAGCTACGATACATTTCAAATGGCCTTGATGCTAATAATGAAAAGATTTTGAGGTGATTAATATGCTAATTAGTTATATTTAATTATTCCATATTGTATTAATATATCAAAACATTGCTTTGTACCTCATAAATAGATACAGTCGTAATTTGTCAATTTTCAAGACAGTTATTTAATCCATCCTGGGTCATAATCTTTTTTTCCCCTGTCCATGGCTGATTGGATTGTCCTGATAAACCCATCCATACGCCTGCCTCCCGCAGGCTTCTGAGACGGGCTCCATGAAGGCCAGAAGCAGGCACCCTGTGAGAGTCCACACGACCTGGAGCCTCCCTCTCCTTGGATTAGGCCATCTCCTCGGGATCGCAGGGCTCTTCATTATCCTCACCCCCTTGTTGTACCAAACAAGCAACATCACACTTTAATTCATCACGCTTTGCTTTAATTTTCCCCCCAAAAATCAAGGTAATAATTTTAGCAATAAACATCACAACCTACTATGAGTAAGTCCTTTCCAACGTACTAAGGTTTCTTCTGAGGACTTTACATGTATTACACAGTTTAAATTTCTTTATGAAATGAGATACCAATATCTCTATATTAGAGATTGTTTTTCTAAGTCGTTTCTGACAATTAATTTGTCCAAGGGCCTGTAAGGATTCTGTTAGAAATCCAGGATAAAATTTGAAATTTCAGCAGTAATATCTGGAAAAACATTGAGACTATATTTAACTTCGTACACGTGCTCTCAAATATCCTTATTTCCCTAAAGGTTGTTCTCAGTTATTATTTTACACATGATATCTATAATTAATACTAATAACACAGGTTAAAATATTATCTCAATTATTTAACGACTTTTGATAATAACAAAATACATATTCCACATATTTTTGACCAGTTTGTTTTCTCTATGAAACACGTGTTTATTAACTTATTATTATCAGATGTCACCCTTATCTTTCTGATTTCTGGGATTTAATTCTAGCAGGTATCGTTTAGTATATTTTATTAATTCATATTATATTGTTCACATTTTCAGTATGATTTTATTATTTGCATTGTTTATTGAATTTGAAACTTTCTTACATAATTTTTTAAATTTTTTATTTTCATGAGATGTAATTTCAATATAAGTAATAATGCATAGATCTGCAATGTACCATTACAGGATTTCTGGCAAATGTAAACACACTTGTCCCCAACAGCCAAGGTTGGATGTAGAGGAGGCCCATTCCCCCAGCACAAGCGACCTTCTCTGTGCTTCCAGTCAGCTCCCACATTTAACACAATGTTTTGATTTCTGCCACTGTAGATTCACTGTTCATGTTTTGATTTTCATATAAATGGATTCAAACATTATAGACCCCTTTTCTGGTAAGGGGCTACTTTTGTTATTTTTGACGTTTATTTATGCTATTTCATATGTAAAATTGCATCTGTATATTGTCATTTATTCACTTAACAGACTGCCTCTGATATAAAATCTCAAAGTTTTGATATATATGGATAAAGAGAGAGGGAGAGAGAGAGAGGGAGAAATTTTATACTTGAGTCAGTGCATTTAACAATAAACGACAGTAAGCTGATCCATTTCCCTGTCAATGCACTTTTAATTTGTTTCTGGTTTATTAACATCATAAGCAAAGCTGCTGCACATATTTTTTGTTTTTCTATTTACCTTTTCTCATTTTTATTGAGAAAGTATGTGGAAATATCCATTTCTTCATCATAAAAGTAAACTTCATTTGTTCAGCTTTATGGAACTATAATTGACAATAAAATTGTATATATTTGAGGTGCACCACTTGATATTTTGGTATAAATTGTGAAATTTTCACTATGACCAAGGAGTTAGCATGTCTGTTACCCTACATTTGCCATTTTCTTCCTTTAATTTATATGTGTGTGTCCAATGAGAGCACCTGAGATCTATCCCTTTACCAGAGATCAAGTTTGCAATACAGTGTTGATAGCTATAGTCCCATTGCTTTACATTAGACCTCCAGAACCCATTCAACCTGCACAACTGAAACTTTATGCCCTTGACAAGAATCATTCTATTTCCACTCCTCCCAGCCCTGGGAACCACTTTTCTACTCTCTGCTTCTAAGAATTTGAATATTTTAGATTCCCCATATAAATGAGATAATGCAGCATTTGTCTTTCTGTGTCTGGCTTATTCCACTTAGCATAATGTTCTCCAGGCCCATCCATGTTGTTGGAAATGTTATAATTTCCTTATTTTTAGAGGTCACATAATATTCCATTGTATGTGTATACATTTGCTTTATACACCCATTTACCTACGGTCACTAACTTTAAAAAAATTCTAGGCCATTATGAATAATCTTGTAATAAACATATTTTTTACTTACTGATTTTATTTCCTTTGAATACGCAGCCAGAAGTGGGATCACCAGATCACGTAATAGTTTTACTTTCAATTTATAAAATAACTTTTACTACCACTCCACTGAATAATTCTCTTTTCACCAGCTAACTGTCAGCATTTTGTTATCTTTTGTGTCTGTGATAATAGTCATGGTAATGAACGTGAGGTGATATCTCATTGTGGTTTTGATTTGGATTCCCCTGATGATTAGCAATGTGGAACACCTTTCCATGTCCTGCTGGCCATGCATATGTCTTCCCTTGAATACAATGTCTATGTACAGTTTTGCCCTCTTAAAAATCAGGGGTTTTTTTTGCTATTGTATGGGTTCTTTACACATTTAGATAGATCCCTTTGTCAGATATATAGCTTCAAGTAATTTATTTGTCTATGATTTTGGTGTCGAATCCAAATAAATCATTTTCCAGATCAACTCTGGAAAGCTTCTTTTTTCCCTGTTTTCTTCTATGAGTTTACAATTTTAGATATCATATTATATCCAAGCCTTGAGTACATTTTTAGGTGATTTTTGTATATGAGATGAGATGAGGTCTCATTTTTTTCTGCATATGGATGCTCAGTTTTTACACCATTTGTTAAAAAGGCAATCTTTTCCTTATTGTGTGTCCTTGGAACAAAAAATCTGGGAGATACACAAAAGAGGAAAATCTTAGACCAATATTCCTGATGATAGACCTAAAAATCTTCAAGAAAATACTAGGAAATTGAATATAGCAGCACATTAAAAAGTTATTACATTATGATCCAGTAGATTTTACTCCTTTCATGCAAGGCTAGTTCAACATACACAAATCAATAAAGGTGCTCCACCACATAAGCAGAATCAAAAGCAAAAACTATATAATTATCTCAATAGATCCAGAGAAACTTTCAATAAGATTCAACATTCTTCATGATAAAAACCTTCAACAGACTAGACATCAAAGAAACTTAGCTTAAAATGATAAGAGCCATGTATGACAAACCCACAACTGACACCATACTGAATCAACAAAAGCTCAAATCATTCCCCTTCATAACTGGAACAAAACAAGAATACCCACTCTCACCACTCCTATTCAACATAGTAGTGGATGTTCTAGCCAGAGAAATCAAACAAGAGAAAGAAATAAAAGGCATCCCCACAAGTAAATAAGAATTCAAACTATCTATTTTTGCTGTTGATAGGATCCTATGCATAGAAAATTCTATAGACTCTGCCAAAAGAATCCTAGAATTGATAAACAACTTTAGTAATGTTTCAGGATACAGAATAAATATACGAAAATCAGTAGCTTTTTTATACACCAACGACATCCAGGCATAGAGAAAAATAAATGACACGATCCCACTTACAACATCTACAAAAAAAGAAATACCTAGGAATACAGCTAACCAAGGAGGTGAAAGATCTCTACAAGAAGAACTACAACCTCTCCAGCACATGTTGTTTCCTGACTTTTTAATGATCGCCATTCTAGCTGGTGTGAGATGGTATCTCATTGTGGTTTTGATTTGCATTTCTCTGATGGCGAGTGATGATGAGCAGTTTTTCATGTGTCTGTTGACTGCATAAATGTCTTCTTTCGAGAAGTGTCTGTTCATATCCTTCACCCACTTTTTGATGGGGTTGTTTGTTTTTTTCTTGTAAATTTGTTTGAGTTCATTGTAGATTCTGGACATTAGCCCTTTGTCAGATGAGTAGATTGCAAACATTTTCTCCCATTCGTTAGGTTGCTTGTTCACTCTGTTGGTAGTTTCTTTTGCTGTGCAGAAGCTCTTTAGTTTAATTAGATCCCATTTGTCAATTTTGGCTTGTGTTGCCATTGCTTTTGGTGTTTTAGACATGAAGTCCTTGCCCATGCTTATGTCCTGAATGGTATTGCCTAGATTTTCTTCTAGGGTTTCTATGGTTTTAGGTCTAACATTTAAGTTTTTAATCCATCTTGAATTAATTTTTCTATAAGGTGTAAGGAAGAGATCCAGTTTCAGCTTTCTACATATGGCTAGCCAGTTTTCCCAGCACCATTTATTAAATAGGGAATCCTTTCCCCATTTCTTGTTTTTGTCAGGTTTGTCAAAGATCAGATAGTTGTAGATATGTGGCATTATTTCTGAGGGCTCTGTTCTGTTCCATTGGTCTATATCTCTGGTTTGGTACCAGTACCATGCTGTTTTGGTTACTGTAGCCTTGGAAACAACAGGTAACAACAGGTGCTGGAGAGGATGTGGAGAAATAGGAACACTTTTACACTGTTGGTGGGACTGTAAACTAGTTCAAACATTGTGGAAGTCAGTATGGCAATTTCTCAGGGATCTAGAACTAGAAATACCATTTGACCCAGCCATTCCATTACTGGGTATATACCAAAAGGATTATAAACCATGCTGCTATAAAAACACATGCACACGTATGTTTATTGTGGCACTATTCACAATAGCAAAGACTTGGAACCAACTCAGATGTCCAACAATGATAGACTGGATTAAGAAAATGTGGCACATATACACCATGGAATACTATGCAGCCATAAAAAATGATGAGTTCATGTCCTTTGTAGGGACATGGATGAAGCTGGAAACCATCATTCTCAGCAAACTATCGCAAGGACAAAAAACCAAACACCGCATATTCTCACTCATAGGTGAGAATTGAACAATGAGAACACATGGACACAGGAAGGGGAACATCACACACCGGGGCCTGTTGTGGGGTGGGGGGAGGAGGGAGGGATAGCATTAGGAGATACACGTAATGCTAAATGATGAGTTAATGGGTGCAGCAGACCAACATGGCACATGTATACATATGTAACAAACCTGCACATTGTGCACATGTACCCTAAAACTTAAAGTATAATTAAAAAAAACAATTACAACGAAAATCCTTAATGTCTCTTGAGTAGGTAGAGAACATATATTTTATCTAAGTAACTTGCTCTAAACTGCAAACCAAAATAAGATGATTCAATAAAGTATTTTGTAAACTAGTCTTTAGCAAAAAAAAAAAAAGAACTACAAAACACTGCAGAAAGAAATCAGAAAGTAAACAAATAAATTGAAAAAAAAATTCCATGCTCATGGAATGGGAGAAATAATATTGCAAAAATGGCAATATTATCCTTCAATATTTATCGATTCAATGTTATTATCAAAATACCAGTTTTATTCTTCTAGAAATATAAGAAAAGTATTCTAAAATTTGTATGTAACCAAAAAAGAACAAAAACAGCCAAAGTAATCCTCAGCCAAAAGAACAATGCCAGGGACATCACACTATTTGACTTCAAACTCTACTATAAAGCCACAGTAACAAAAACTGTTTGGTACTTGTACAAGAATAAACACATAGACAAATGAAATAGAATAGAAAACTCAGAAATAAAGCTGCACACCCACAACCATCTGTTTTTTGACAACCCTGAAAAAAATAAACAAGCAATGGGGAAAAGACAACCTAGTCAATAAATGGTGCTGGGATAACTTGCTAGCCATATGCAGAAGATGGGAACTTGACTCGTGACTATCACCATATGAAAAAGAAAATTAACTCAAAATGGATTATAGCTTTAACTAAGACTTCAAACTACAAAAAGCTAGGAAGACAACCTAGGAATACTCTTCTCTGCATTGGCCTTGGCAAAGAATTACTGGCTCTGAGACCAGGCATTTTTTGTAACAGTGATTTATTTTCTGGGGTACATATCATGGAGTGGGATTGCTGATTGAACGATAGATCTATTTTAGTTGCTTGATAAGCCTTTACAATTTTTTTCACATAGGTTGCACTAATTTACATTACCAACAACAGTGTATAAATGCATTTTCTCTGAATTCTCATCCATATCTATAATTTTTTGACTTCATAATAATAGGCACTTTGACTGATGTAAAGTTGTGTCTCACTGTTGTTTTAATATTAATTTATCTAATGATTAATGTTGTTCAGCTTTTTATTTCCATATGCTTTTTGGCCATTTGAATATCTTCTTCACAAAATGTCTGTTGATGTCTTTTGCCCACATTTTAATGGTGTAATTTATTTATTTGTTGTTGTTGCTGAGTTGTCTGTGTTCTTGTTAGATTCTAGATGTTAGTTATTTATTGCACAGTAATGTAATAAATCTAAAAGTCAGGAAACAACAGGTGCTGGAGAGGATGTGGAGAAATAGGAACACTTTTACACTGTTGGTGGGACTGTAAACTAGTTCAACCATTGTGGAAGTCAGTGTGGCGATTCCTCAGGGATCTAGAACTAGAAATATCATTTGACCCAGCAATCCCATTACTGAGTATATACCATCCCATGACTGGGTATATACCCAAAGGATTATAAATCATGCTGCTATAAAGACACATGCACACGTATGTTTATTGTAGCACTATTCACAATAGCAAAGACTTGGAACCAACCCAAGTGTCCAACAATGATAGACTGGATTAAGAAAATGTGGCACATATACACCATGGAATACTATGCAGCCATAAAAGATGATGAGTTCACGTCCTTTGTAGGGACATGGATGAAGCTGGAAACCATCACTCTCAGCAAACTATCGCAAGGACAAAAAACCAAACACCACATGTTCTCACTCATAGGTGGGAATTGAACAATGAGAGCACATGGACACAGGAAGGGGAACATCACACACTGGGGCCTGTTGTGGGGTTGGAGGGGCGGTGGGGAGGGATAGCATTAGGAGAAATACCTAATGTTAAATGATGAGTTAATGGGTGCAGCACACCAACATGGCACACATATACATATGCAACAAACCTGCACATTGTGCACACATACCCTAAAACTTAAAGTGTAATAAAAAAAATAAAATTAAAAAAATCAATTGCAAAAAAACTGTTGAAACTATGAAAATATGAGGTAATTAAACAACACAATTTTGACCAATCATTGGCTCACCAATAAAATTAAGATATTAATTTTTAAAAATACAAAGAAAAATGAAGCCACAACATACCAAACCCTCTGAGATACAGGAAGAGCAGTACTAAGAGCTTATAGTTCTAAATGTCTATGAAAAAATAGAAAGATTATAAACTAGCAATCTATTGATTTACTTCAAGGAACTAGATATTTTAGAACAAACCAACCCCAGAGCTAGAAGAAGAAAATAAATAAAGATCATGGCAGATTTCAAAAATATTGAAACAAAAAAGCAAAATATAAGGAATCAACAAAACAAAATGTGGTTATTTTAAAACATGAACACAATTGATAGAGCACTAACTAGGTCAACAAAAAAAAAAAGACAGAAGATTCAAGTTAGCACAAGCAGAAATGATAAAGGTGGTATTATAACTGACCCAATGGAAATACAAAAGATTATCAAGACATACTGAATATGTCTATGCTCACAAACTAGAAAATCTAGAGGAAATCAATAAATTTCTGGAAATATTCAACTACCCCCCAAAATTGAACCAGGAAGGAAAAGAAATCCTAAATAGACCAATGCGAGTAATAAGACTGAATCAGAAACTGAAAATCTCCCAACCCCAAAAGCCCAGAACCAGATAAATTCAAGGTCTAATTTTACCAGATGTACCATTCTTACTGGAACTATTCCAAAGGATTAAAGAGAAGAGATTCTTTCCCACCTTTGTCTAAAATACTCGTATCACCTAATACCAAAATCAGGCAAGGATACAACTACAACAACAAAAAGCTACAGGGAAATATCCCTAATGAACATAGATACAAAATAGTAAACAGAATACTAGCTAGCTGAAACCAACAGCACAATAAAAGATAATACATCATGACCAATTGGGTTTTATTCCAGGGATGCAAAGCTTGTCTAAAATAAACACATCAATAAATATGATTCAACATATAACATAATTAAAAACAGAAAACATAAGACCATCTCAATGAATGCAAAAAAGTCATTCAATAAAATTCAATATCCCTTCATGAAAAATTCCTCAACAAGCTTAGCATCAAAGAAACCTACCTCAAAACTATAAAAGCCACATACAACAACCAACAAAAAACTCTTAAATAAATCAATAGAACAGGGATCTTCTTAAATTTAGTAAAAACCTATGCAACTGATTTATTCAATATGCTGGACTTGGTAGTGAAGAAATGAATGACTTTAACTAAAAAAAAAAGCCACATATAACAAAACAACATTATATGGAATGAGAAAAAGTTGCAAAAATATTCCTGAAGAACGTGAGCAAGAATGCACACTTTCACCACTCCTACTGGACGTATTACTGAAAGTCCTAGCCAGAATAATCAGAAAGGAAAAAAGAAATGTATGTTTCAAGTTCCAAGCTAAGGAATCCAGGAGTGGCAGACCCAGAGACTTGTTTTTTAATCTATGAATAACATCCAAACCCCTGACCGATCCCTTGGAACACAGGATTTAGGGGTGATTGAGGCTCTTTCTTTTGGGTTAAATGAAAGTTGCTAGGTGGAGGGTGTTAAGTAAAAATTACTACATAAGCTGCATAGTTTTGTCAAATGGTTGTAGTTTTCTTGTCCAGCCTGCTGTTCCTGAACCACCCTATATGAAAGCCCTCAATAAACTATATGTCTTGTTCACTGGTTTGGCCTGTTGTACACGATGCCAGTCCTATTGGAGTCCATATTGGTCTGGCGTGACATCCAGTCAACCTGGTAAAAGGTCCAAAAAAAATCTCATGAGCACCCAGACAATGGAATCTAAAAAGAGGAGACCCCTGCAGAAACCTTGGGCAGGCTGTTAATTTCTACGTGGGGCCCAACAGCCGTTATCCATGATGGATGGGGCCCAGTGCCTGAGTATGGGGATACCGCCACAATGCCAAAAGTTCTGGAAGAACCTCTTCAGTGGGTGCATCTTACAAAGTGAAAGTCAGATGTCCAGGCTGTTGCATTATCAGGTGAGTGGTTCTTCCTGACTGCACTCTGAGAAGCCACTGAGACAGTGCTCACTGTGTATGCTACAGTGTGTCAGTCACAAGAAGAGCTACTCCTAGAAAAACATGCCAGACTAGCTCAGACTAATCAGAGACCTTTCTGTCCTGCCTGTGGAAGCAGAATGGCAAATTGGGGACCGCCGCTTGTGGAGCAGCACATTTGAAGGATTTCTGGCCATCACATGAATTAGTTACGGCTGTGATGACTAAACTGTCATGGGACCCTAAGACCTAGTTCCCATAAAGAGTTCTAGGGGGAGGAGGATGAAGTTTGGGGTAAGCCCATGGGGGTTCCTGTCCTCTCTACACATCTGGTGGCTACCACCAAGGTAAAAATGGGCCAACTGCACCAGCAGAGGCGAGCCCCAGAGACATTTCCCACCTGAAATAAGGAAACACACCACAATGTGGGATTCCACCACTGCGGAATTGCTGACACTTAGAAATGGGTTCAGACAGAAGAAGAGAGAGTTGATCACAGGGTGGCTTCTTCATCTGTGAGGCATGCGGGAGGAGGGCATTATACTCCCTGAACTCAAGATTAGTAAAGTGACATCCATCACAAACCATCTGGGCCTGAGGCAGCACCTCGATGGTGTCAGTCATGGAGATTGGACCATCCCTCTCCTTAGCTGGGTGGTTGCAGACTGCAAGGGACCCTGGTGAAACGAGGGAGATGTCCGCTTTATTAGTGTGTTCTCGTATTGCTAGAAAGAAATACCTGAAACTGAGTAATTCACATAGAAAATAGGTTTAATTTACTCATGATTCTGCTGGCTGTATGGGAAGCATGATGAAAAATCTGTTCAGCTTCTGGAGAGGCCTCAGGAAATTTACAATGATAGTGAAAGGCAAAAGGGGAGCAGCCACTTTATATGGTGGGAGCAGGAGCAAAGAAAGAGTGAGGGTGGAGGTCCCACACACTGTTAAACAACCAAATCTCATGAGAACTCATTTACTATCATAGCAAGGGGACCGTGCTAACCATTATTCATAAATCCGGACCCACGATACAACCACCGGGCCCCGCCTCAAACATTAGGGAAGCAAAATCACATACAGTTGTTATGACAGGTGGGACATCCTGAAAACCTCTCTAGGCATGTCCCACACGGCCCTGGAGCTGTCTCAGGGGAGCAGTCTCCTCCAGTGTTTAGACGCACAGGCACGGATAATAGGGCTAAGTCTGGCCAGATGTGTGATATTCAACACATTGCACAACTGCTCTGTTCTGTATGTAATTTATCTTCTCTACAAATGTAACATTGATGGTTGCATTAAATATATTCTGCAAATATGTAAAAATAAAATAAGATGATGATTGCTAAATGATTATCAAGGCACAATCACATAATCCGAAGTTACAATTTCCTGAGAGATAGGATTACTGCCCATGCTTACCAGGACACTCACATCTGCTCTGGGCACTGCCTTCTCCTCAGGCGTCCCACCCCAGAGCTTGCTATATAGTAGGAGACATGCAAATAGGGTCCTCCCTCTGCTGATGAAAACCAGCCCAGCCCTGACCCTGCAGCTCTGAGAGCGGAGCCCCAGCCCCAGAATTCCCAGGTGTTTTCATTTGGTGATCAGCACTGAACACAGAGGACTCACCATGGAGTTTGGGCTGAGCTGGGTTTTCCTTGTTGTTATTTTACAAGGTGATTTATGGAGAACTAGAGATGTTAAGTGTGAGTGGACGTGAGTGAGAGAAACAGTGGATTTGTGTGACAGTTTCTGACCAGGGTGTCTCTGTGTTTGCAGGTGTCCAGTGTGAGGTGCAGCTGGTGGAGTCTGGGGGAGGCTTGGTCCAGCCTGGAGGGTCCCTGAGACTCTCCTGTGCAGCCTCTGGATTCACCTTCAGTGACCACTACATGGACTGGGTCCGCCAGGCTCCAGGGAAGGGGCTGGAGTGGGTTGGCCGTACTAGAAACAAAGCTAACAGTTACACCACAGAATACGCCGCGTCTGTGAAAGGCAGATTCACCATCTCAAGAGATGATTCAAAGAACTCACTGTATCTGCAAATGAACAGCCTGAAAACCGAGGACACGGCCGTGTATTACTGTGCTAGAGACACAGCGAGGGGAGGTCAGTGTGAGCCCGGACACAAACCTCCCTGCAGGGGCGCGTGGGGCCACCAGGGGGCGGTCGGGAACCACTGAGGACGGGACAGGTCCCAGGAGCAGGTGCAGGGGGCGGTTTCCTGTCAGCTGCAGGAGGCGGGTTTGTTTTTGCAGGACTCTGGAGCCTTATGAGGTTGCACTATTTTATTATGGTTATTTATCATGTGTTTTTTATTGATATTTGTGTTTTAGTAATTTTTACATTTATATGTAGGGGTATTTTTTAAAAATACATAACTTCAAGAAATAATTCTTCCTAGTAATTTACACCTATTCCTCTAAAGTTTTATTAACACCTGTTGATATCAGCAACTACATAGCTATGCAACATTAATTTACATCTATAAACATATGTGTGAATACATGAAACTATGCATACATGTGTAGTCATTTATATTTAACATTATAATAAAATAATAAATTAAATAAAATAATTGAATTAAATTAAAAGAATTAAACTTAATGATGAACTAAATATAAATTAGAGTAATCCATAATTGATTTCAATCCTTCTCTATGGTTTACATAAATCGATGTCTACTTGTAAGCTTAAGTATAGTGAATTGGTCATTTTAAAATAGCCAAGAACAAATTTCAAATGTTCTTGTCACCAAAAAATGATAAGGATTTGAAGATTTGAGGTGATATATATGTCAATTAGCTCGATTCAATTATTCCACATTGCATTCATAAATCATAACATAGCTTTGTACCCCATCAGTATATGGGGTACAACCAAAATTTCTCAATTTCCAATGAAATTTTAATTATATATTTTTTAATTTGATGCCTCTCTTTGGATCAGGCCACCTCCTCAGGATTACAGTGCTGTTCAGTTTTCTCAACATGCTGTTGTACCAGATAAGCACAAAACATTTAATTTCATTATGCTTTGCTTTAGTTTTTCAAAACAACATAAAGGTAATAATTTTCCCAACAAACATATTACAGCCTATTCTATACTTTTTTATTTTTTGTTTTTATGAGATAAAATTTACATGTAAGAAAAAATTTATAGATCTGAAATGTGTCACTAGAGAGTTTCTGGCAAATGTGAATACCCTTGTCCCGAACACCTAAGGTAGACTAAAGAGCAAGTCCATACCCACAACATGCGTCTTTCTCTGTGCCTGCGGTCAACCCCTACATGGGGAAGTGTTTTGATTTCTGACACCATAGATCCATTTTTTTCTGTTTTGAGCTTTATATAAATGGAATCAAACATTATAGACCTTTTTTTGGTAAGGGACTACTTTGCTATTTTTTAGGTTAATTCATGCTATTTAATGTATGAAATTAGATCATCATAGTGTCATTTACTCAATTAATGGGCTGACTCTGATATGAAACCTCAAAGTATTCATGTATATATGGAGAGAGAGAGAGGGAGGAAGGACAGAGATTTTATATCTGAGACAGTCCATTGAGTAAATATATGACAATATATTGATCTATTTGTTGTCGATGGATTTTACATTTGTTTCCAGTATATGAATATTATAAGCAAAGCTGTTACAAATACATTAGTGTAAGTTTTTCTATCTATGTTGTCTCAATTTTGTTGAGAAAATATGAAGTATGTTTTTCTTTATTGTAAGAGGAAGTTTAATTTTTTTCAGTTTTATTGAGGTAAAAATAAAATATTTTTTAAAATGTATAGGTTTAAGGTGCCCCACTTGACGTTTTGATGTTGTATTAGTCCATTCTCACACTGCTATAAAAAATGCCTGAGACTGAGTAATTTGAAAAAAAATATGTTTAATTGGCTCACGGTTCTGCAGGCTGTACAGGAAGTGCAGTGGCTTCTCCTTCTGGGGAGAGTCAGGAAAGTTAGGATCATGGCAGAAGACAAAGGGGAGCAGGTGTGTCACATGGCCAGAGCGGAAGCCACAGGAAGCGGACCGGGGTGTGGGGGGACTGCACACTGTTAGACAACTAGATCTTGTGAGAACTCAGGCACTGTAGTGAGAACAGCACCAGGAGTCGGTGCTGAACCACTCATGAAAGACCCACCCCACGACCCAGTCATCTCCCACCAGGTCCCACCCCAGGACTGAGGATTATAATATAACATGAGATTTGGTCCAAGACACAGATCCAAACCATATCATATGCACATTGTGAAATGCTCATCATGGTTAAGGTAATTTGTATATTCATCTTCTCACTATTTTTTGTTTGATTTTTGAGACAGAGTTTTGCTCTTGTCGTCCAGGCTGGAGTTCAATGTCACCATCTCAGCTCACTGCAACCTCCAACCCCTGGATTCAAGGGATTCTCCTGCCTCAGCTTCCCGAGTAGCTGGGATTACAGGAGCTCAACACCACACCCCGCTATTTTTTTTTTTTTTTGGTACTTTTAGTAAAGACAGAGTTTCGCCACGTTGGCCAGGCTGGCCTCGAACA
The DNA here is from genome assembly GCF_000001405.40 of Homo sapiens. Lineage (NCBI taxonomy): Eukaryota > Metazoa > Chordata > Mammalia > Primates > Hominidae > Homo > Homo sapiens. The sequence continues at coordinate 1,279,411 of NT_187600.1, read as the reverse complement.
GCTGACCTCAAGAGATCTGTCCGCCTCGGCCTCCCAAAGTGCTGGGATTACAGATGCAAGCCACAGCGCCCAGCCAATTTTATTATTTTAAAAATGTACTGCATGTGAGTGTGTGCGTGTGTGTGTGTTTCATGAGAACACCTAAGATCTACCCTTTTAGCAAAAATCACTTTTACAGTACAGTATTAAATACAGGAAAATTGGCGTAGGTTAGATCTCCAGAACTCATTCACCCTGCACAGCTGAAACTCTGTACCCTCTGACCAACTTCACCCAATTTCCCTCTCCTCCCAGGTCCTGGGACCCACTATTCTACTCTCTGCTTTCAAGAGCTTGAATATTTCAGATCCCACACGTAAATGAGATCATGCAGCATTTGTCTTTCTGCATCTGGCTTATTCCACTCAGCGTCATGTCCTCCAGGCCCATCCATGTTGCAAAAGCCAGAACTTCCTTCTTTTCAAAGCTAAATAAAATTCAGTTTTATGTGTACACATTTTCTTTAAACATTCTTTAATCTATGGTCATTAAACTCTTTCACAAATCTACACTATTATAAATAATCTGGCAGTGAACATGTGTTTAACATAATAATTTTATTTCATTTGAATATATAACAAGAAGTGGGATCACCAGATCGTACGATAACTTTATTTTTCAATTTATTGAGTAACAAGTCCTACCACACCATATCATGATTTCCTTTCCCAACATTCTTGTGAACACTTGTTATATTTTGTCTTGCTGATAATAGTCATTTTAAGTGGTTTGAGGCAATATTTCATCGTGCTTTAGATTTGAATTTCTCTGAAAATTAGTAATGTTGGGAACCTTTTTAGGCTCTGTTTTTCATGAGTGGGTTTTCTGAAAAAAAGTCTATCCAGGTTTTTTCCCTTTTATCAGGTCGTTTGTAATTTGCACATAGTTTTTTTTCCTGTGCTTTTGGTATTAAATTCAAATAAATCATTTCTGAATCAATGACAGGAAGTTTTTCCATGCTGTCTATGAGTTTGTGGTTTCAGGTTTTGCTCATTTTTAGTTGATTTTTGTACATGGTGTGAGAGAAGGTCTAATTTTATTTCTTCTGCATATGGATGTCCAGTTATACATCATTTATTGAGGAGACTGTCTTTCTTCACTGTGTCTTTTTGGCATACAAAATCAGGAAGAGACATAATTAAAAAAGAAAATATTAGATGAATATTCGTGATGAACATAGACCTAAAAGTTCTCAACAAAATATTAGCAAATAGAATCCAGAAGCACTTTAAAATGTAACACATCATGATCAAGTGGGCTTTACCCTGGGATGCAAAGTTCATTCAACATCCACAAATCAATAACTGTGATTCATTGTGTAAGCAGAATAAAAGCAAAAACCATATGTTATCTCAATAGATGCTGAGAAAGCTTTTGATATGCTCCAACACTCACTCATAATAAAAACCCTCAGCAAACTAGGCATCAAAAAACATACCTCAAAATAATAAGAGCCATCTATGACCAACCCACAGTCAACATTATACTGAGTGAGCAAAAGCTCAAACCCCATGAGAATTGGAACAAGACAAGGATGCCCTCTCACCACTCCTATTGAACATAGCACTGAAAATCCTAGTCAGGGCAACCAGGCAATAGCGAAAATAAAACGCAGCCGATATGGTTTGTACTAGTGCCCCATTCAAATTTCATGTCAAATTGTAATTCCCAGGGTTGGGGCTGGGGTCTGGTGAAGGGTGATTCTATCATGAGGATGGGTCTCCGTCTCTTGTGCTGCTCTCGTGATGGTCCTCAGGAGATCTGGTTTCAAAGTATGTGTCATCTCCCTCCTCTCTCTTCCTCCTGCTCCTGCCCTGTAAGACATGATGCTTCCCTTTCTGTCATGATTGTCATGTTCCTGAGGCCCCCCCAAGAGCCATAATTCCTGTACAGCCTGCAGAACCATAAGACAATTAAAAACCTTTATACATTACACAGTCTCAGGTGTTTCTTTAGAGTGTGCGAATGGACTAATACAGAATCAAAATAGGAAAAGAAGTCAATGTATCTGTCCAAATTGATGATATAATTCTATACCTAGAAAATTCTAAAGACTCTGCCAAAATAATTCTAGAATAGATAAACAACTTTGGTAAAGTGTCGGGATACAAAATCAATGTACAAAAATCACTAGCATTTCTGTACCCCAACTACATCCAAGCTGAGAGTGAAATCAAGAACACAATTCTATCCCACTTACAATATCCACAAAGAAAAGGAAATGCCTGGGAACACAGATAACAAATAAGATGGAAGATCCCTGCAAGATGAATGACAAAACACAGCAGAAATAAGTCATAAATGACACAAAAAATGGGAAAACATTTCATGCTCATGATTGGAATAATCAATATTGTAAAAATTGTCATACTGCCAATAGAAATTTACAGATTCAATACTATTCACATAAAACTATCACCATCATTCTTCACAGAATTAGAAAAAAAAGTATATATATTCTAAAAGTTATATGGAACCAAAAAGCCCCTGAGTAGCCAAAGCAATTCTAAGCAGAAAGAACCATGACAGAGGCAACATGATACCTGACTTTAAACTACACCATAAAGTCACAGTAACCAAAACAGCTTGGAAGTGGTACATGAGCAGACATGCAGAAAAATGGAACAAGAGAGAAAACAGAAATAAACCTGCACACATAAACCATCTGATATTTGATAAGGCTGACGAAAACAAGCAATGGGGATAAAACTCTGTATTCACTAAACGGTGCTGGGATAACTGGATTCTGTCAGATATACAGAATGCAAAAGTGAAGGAGGCTGGGCAGCTTCGACTTAGATTTCAGAGGATATGTAGAGGGCCCTGCAGGCCCAGCAGGAGGCCGGCTGCAGCAGTGCAGCCACCACAGACAGCCTCTACTAGGACAGTGCCAAAGATGGGGAAAGAGAGGGTTGGAGCCCCAATTCACAATCCCCACTAGGGCATTTTACACTAAAGCTGTGGGAATGTGGCCACGACCCTCAAGGTCCCTGAATGGTAGAACCAAAGGCAGCTTGCACTCTCAGCCTGGAAAAACTTCTGGTACTCGACTCTAACCTATGAATGCAGGCCAATAAGCTGTGCTCAGCTATAAGGATGAAAAGCCTGAGGTTTCTGGGACTCCTTCAACCCAGGGTGCCCTGGTTGAAGTACATCAAGTGAAGCGAGATTATTTTGTAGCTTTAAGATTTAATATCTGCCCAGACAGGCTTTAGGTGTGTGGGGGGCCTATTGGCCATTCCTTTGGACATTTTTTTCCTTTTGTATTAACAATATTTAACCAATATCTGTGGCAGTCTTGCATGTTGGAAGTAAATAACTCTTTAAAACATTTTGCCAGCTCATAGCTGGAGGGAAATTGCCTTAAGACTCGGATAAGACTTTGGAATTTTCAGTTGGAGGTTGACCAAGTTAAGACTTTTGGAAACTATTAAAAAAAAAGATCATTTTGCAACCTCTGAAGGACGTAAGATCAGGGGGCACAAGAGTGAAATGATATAGTTTAGATGATGGTCCCCTCCAAATCTCATGGCGAAATGTGCTCCACAATATTTGAGGTGGGGCCGACTGGGAGATTTTGGGACATGGGGAAAAATCCTTCAGGAATGGCTCAATAACCACCCTATGGCAGTAGGTGAATTATTCCTGTATTAACTACTGGGAGATCTGATTATTAAAAGGAGTCTGATGACCCTCCTCCCCTCTCACGTCCACCCCTCACCATATGACACCGCCTGCTTCCCCTTTGCCTTCCACCATAACTGTAAGCTTCCTGAGGCCCTCACAAGAAGCAGATGCTGGTGCCATGCTCCTCACACAGCCTGCCGAACTCTAAGCCAAATGAGCCTCTTTTATTTGTAAATTACTTGGCCTCAGGCATTAATTTAGAGCAATGCAAAATAGACTAAAACACACTGCCCAAAGCAATATACAGAGTCAATGCAGTTTCCATCAAATAACCAATATAATTAAGTACATTTTTTTTAAATGTCCTAAAATTTATATGGAAGCAAAAAAGAGCCTTTTGATTCCATATAATAGCAAAAGCCGTCCTAAGACAAGGAAACAAAGCTGAAAGCCCCACATTCCCTGACTTCAAATTATACTACACAGTTATAGGAAGAAAGACAGCACGGTACTGGTACCAAAACAAAACAAAAAATATTAGACCAGGTGTGCCTGTAATCCCAGCACTTTAGGTGGCAGAAGCTGGTGGATCACCTGAGGTCAGGAGCTCAAGACCAGCCTGACCAACATGGTGAACCCCTGTCTCTAGTAAAAATATGAAAAACTAGCCAGGCCTAGTGGCCCATACCTGTAATCTCAGCTACATCGGAAGCTGAGGCAGGAGAATCACTTAAACCCGGGAGGTGGAGGTTTCAGTGAGCTGAGATCTTGCCATTGCACTCCAGCCTGGGTGACAAGAGCAAAACTCCATCTCAAAAAAAAAATTAATGTAACAGAATAGAGAGCCCAGAAAGAAAGCCAAATATCTACAACCAACTATTCTTTGACAAAACTGACAAAAATATACACTGGAGAAATAGTCCTCTATTCAGTAAGTCGTGCTGGGAAAATTGGATGGCCACTCATAGAAGAATAAAACCAGGCTTCTATCTCACCACAGACAAAAAGTAACTGAATATGGATTCAATAATTAAATGTATAAACTGAAACTATAAAAATACTTGAAGAAAATGTAGGGAGAATTCTCGGGACATTGGCCTAGGCAGATAAAATATGACTAAGACTTCAAAAGCAAATGCAACGAAAACAAAAATAGATGAAGAGGACTTAATTGAACTAAAGATCTTCTGCAGAGAAAAAGAAATAATCAACATGGTGAACAAACAGCCTACACAATGGTAGAAGGTATCACTTCATCTCAGTTAAGAGGGCTCTTATCAAAAAAGAAAAAAAACAGCCAGGCGTGGTGGCTCATGCCTGTAATCCCAGCACTTTGCGAGGCCGAGGCAGGTGGATCACTTGAGATCAGGAGTTTAAGACCAACTTGTCCAACATGGCAAAACCCTATCCCTCCTAAAAATGCAAAAATTAGCTGGGCGTGTTGGCCAGCACCTGTAGCCCCAGCTACTCGGTAGGTTAAGGCAAGATAATCGATTGAACCTGGGAGTTGGAGGTTGCAGTGAGGTGAGATCACGCCACTACACTCCAGCCTGGGTGACAGGAGTGAAACTCTGTCTCAAAAAGAAGGAAGGAAGGAAGGAAGGAAGGAAGGAAGGAAGGAAGGAAGGAAGGGAGGGAGGGAGGGAGGGAGGGAGGGAGGGAGGGAGGAAGGGAAAGAAAGAAAGAAAGAACGAAAGAAAGAAAGAAAGAAAAAGAAATTAAGAAAGAAAAAAATTAAGAAAGAAAAGAAAGAAAGAAAAAGAAGGAAAGAGAGAAAAAAGAAAGAGAGAGAGAAAAAAGGAAGGAAGGATGGAAGGACAGAAGGAGGGATAGAAGGAAGAAAAGGAAAGGAGAAAGAAAGAAAAAAGAGAAAGAGATAAAAAGAAATAAAGAGAGAAAGAAAGAAAACTAACAAATGCTGGTAAGGTTGGGGAGAAGGTAAACTAGTACAGTCAGTCACTATGGAGAGCAGCGTGGAGGTACCTCAAAAAACTACAAATACAACTACCAAACGACCCAGCAATTCCACTACTGCAAATGTATCCAAACGCATGAAAATAATTATATCAGAGATTTCTTACTCCCAGTGTATATGGCAGGACCTTTCACAATGGCCAAGATATGAAATCAAACCAGGTGTCAGAGAGCAGATGAATGGTTAAAGATTATGTGGTGCATATACATGATGAGATGCTCATCATCCACAGGAAAGGAAATCCTGTTGTTTTTGGCAATGAAGACGGAACTGGAGGACATTATGTGAAATGAAATAAACCAGGAACTTCAAGTAATACACCTTGTTTTCTCACTCATACGTGGAAGGAAAAAGAAAATTTGTCTCATAGAAATAAATAGTAGAACAGAGGATACTAGAGTCTGGGAAGTGCAGGGGAAGAGATAGGCAGAGATTTGTGAAGGAATACATTAGAGTTAGGTGGGAGGAATAGATTATAATGTTCTTTACCACTGTGGGATAAATGTATTTAACAATTATATGTAGTTTCAAACAGTTAGAAGAAGGATATTGAGTGTTCCCAACAAAAAGAAAATGTTTCAGATGACGGATATATTAATTATCCTTATCTGTCCCCTACACACTGTTTCACAACATCGCTATGTACCTCATGAATATTTACAATCATTATTTGTCTATTAAAATTATATTAGAAAACACAAAATTCACTGGAAGTAACATAAATGGAGGCTCTGGGATAGACCTGGAGATAACGGAGGGTCTGGGATACATTACAGGCCTAGCACTCAATGGTCAGAGGAGCTCCCATTAGCTTTTTGTATTTGTAGCACTGAGTAAATCTAACATTTCTCAAAGCTTCCCTTTGCAATAGAGACGTGAGGCCTAGGGAGATCTTGCAGATAGTCAGATATGCAGAGGGAAGAAGCAGGGGTAGAGGGTTGCTGGCCCATTCAACAATAGTTGGAATGATAATTACGCATGTAGAGAAGCCAACATTGATTTAAATAAGTTGCATCACTGAAAGCCATGAAAAAAAATCCAAAGGAAATCTTTAAATAAAATTGAGAGTGAAACTGTTTTGGGTGAAGAAATGTTCACTGAAGTTAGGTGTGCCAGTAAAGCTGTTAAGAACTACAGTAACCACTGGATTGGATTCAGCTTTGTCTGAATTCAGTGTGATTATTACTGGCTCAGGCAGGGGTCAGAAATCAACATGGATAGGTGGTAGCAACACGAAAAAGCCAGGGACCAGAAAGATTCACAGCCGAATTTTTTCAGATGTATAAAGAAGTGTTGCTACCAATCCTAGTGTAACTATTTCCCAAAAATGAGGATAAAGGTCTCCTCCCTAAATTATTCCATGAAGCCAGCATTATTCTGATAACAAAACCTGGCAGAGACTTAATAAAAAAACATGACTTTAGACCAATATACCTGATGCAAAAATGCTCAATGAAATACTCACAAACTGAATACAGCAGCACATCAAAAAGCCTAACCTACCAACACTTTGTTCCTGGGATGCAAGGTTGGTTCAACATATGCAAATCAGGAAATGTGATTCATCACATAAACAGAACGAAAAACAAAAACCATGTTAACCGGCAGGGCACGGTGACTCATGCCTGTAATCCCAGCACTTTGGGAGGCTGAGGCGGGCGGATCATAAGGTCAGGAGCTCGAGACCATCCTGGTTAACATGGTGAAACCCCGTCTCTACTAAAAATACAAAAAAATTAGCTGGGCATGGTGGCGGGCTCCTGTAGTCCCAGCTACTCGGGAGGTTGAGGCAGGAGAATGGCGTGAGTCCAGGAGGTGGAGCTTGCAGTGAGCCGAGATCACGCCACTGCAGTTCAGCCTGGGCGACAGAGTGAGACTCTGTCTCAAAAAAAAAAAAAAAAAAAGAAAGAAAACGTTAACCATAGACACAGAAAAGGTTTTGAAAAAACTTTAAGATTCTTTCATGTTAAAAACCATCAACCAGGCATGAAGGAATACACCACAAAATAATAAGGGCCATCTATGACAAACTCACAGCCAACATTATACTGACTGAGCAAAACCTGGAAGCATTTTCCCCTGAAAACTAGAACAAGAAAAGGACACCCATTCTAACCACTCCTGTTCATCATTGTCATGGAAGTCCCAGCCAGAGCATGCAGGCAAGAGAAAGAAATAAAAAGCATCAAGTCAGGAAGAGAGGGTGTCAAACTATCCCTGCAGATGAAATGATCACATTCCTGAGTCTGTAGTTTGGTGACTGACATTAATTTAAAATATTGTCAGTCATCATTGTTTAAATATTTCTTCTTAGCCTTTCTCTATTTTTTTCTATTTCCCATTATGTGCATGTTATACCTCTGTCACTGTCTCACCATTCTTGGGTAAGCTGTTCTTCTTTTGTATATATGTGTGTGTGTGTATATATATATATGTATATATGTGTGTATATATGTATATATATATGTATATATATGTGTGTATATATGTATATATGTGTATATATGTATATATGTGTATATATGTGTGTGTGTGTGTCTGTGTGTGTGTATATTTGTATTTGTGTGTTTACTGTTCTAACAATATATTTTTTGTTTTTGCTTTTCAGTTTGGGAAATTTCTATTGAGATAGTTTTAAGTTCAGATTTTTGTCCGCAGCTATGCCCCATCTACATATAAGTCCATTGAAAGCATTACTTAATTCTGTTACAAAATTCTTGATATCTACTTTTTTTTCCTTTTTTGGAATTTGCTTCATTCTACTTGCATGACACAGCTGTTCCAGCATGCTGTCTGCTTAATTCATTACAGACCTTAGCATATTAATCACAGTGGTCTTAAATTCTTTGTTTGGTAATTCCAAACTAAATGGCATGGCTGAATCTCATTTTAATGCTTGTTTTGTCTTGTCACACTATGATATATTTCTTTTAGTATATATCATGATTTTTATAGGGAGAAATTATGTATCAGGTGAAAGAAACTGCTGTAAAGAGGCCTTTAGTGATATCATTGTAAGTTGTGGAGAGAAACCTGTTTCATAATCCTCTGGCCATGGCTTCATCTAGGAAGCTTAAGGCCTTTGAAAATAAATCCTTACATGAACGTGAAAAGATAAGCCACAGATATGGAGAATTTCCTCACAAATCAAATATTTGGAAAAGGACTTTTATCAGGAATAATAAAAATTACCTTACAGTTGAATGACAAAACCACATGATCTAATTTTAAAATAGACAAAGACCTGTATAGAAAGAAGCCTCATCTAAAAATAAATATAAAAAGTGATCAGCATGATTTTTAGGTATATGTATGTTTAATATTCAAAAAATACTATATCCTGTTAGAATGGGTAAAATACACATTTTAGACAGTACCAAATGGTGATGAGGAAGTTGAAAAACAGGAACATTCACTCCTTGTGGGTGGGAAGGGGATGCTGAAGAGGCACATACACAACTACAGTTAGTACTTTATTGTATATTTCAGAATAGCTAGAAGATAAGATTTAGAATGTTCTTAACACAAAGAAGTAATCAGTGATGGAGGTGAGGGATATCCCAGGTATCTGGATTTGATCATTGCAGATAACATGCTTTTATCAAAATATCATGCGTATCCCTTAAAGGTTTTGAACTGTTATGTATCTATATAAATTAAACATTTTTAAAAAAACGGTGCAGGGGAATCCAGCTAATTGCAGATTCCCATTAGATGGGATGTGCTGCATAATCTGTAAACTAATCAGAGTCTGTGGGTTTGTAAAGGACTTTAGAAATCAACTGGACTACTTGTTTCTAAAGATAAGTCTCGCAAGTTTAATTATTTTCTTAATGGGTGGCGATTTTGAACATAGAAGAAATGTTAACAGTTGTTTCTCAAGTTTTCTTCTAGTTTCAGAAGAAAAGGTTTGCAGGGAGGAATCTGGGACCATCTTTCAAGTCTCAACTTCAATGTGATTATCTCAGTAAATATTTTCTGATACCCCTGAGCAGGGTAAGTCTCATATATGTCCTAGAAACTGCAAGTAGAATTCTAGGCACCCCAACTGACTGAAGGGAACTTTTCTCTTCAACGAGGAGTTCCATGGACACTAGAAAACCTAGTTTAGGCCGTGTCAGAAATGGAGGATCAGAAATCCCTCATTATACCCTCCTCCCTTTGGAATTCAAGCACAAGTAACCAGCATTTTCCTTAAAACAGATTTAAGGCTCAGAAAACAGATTCCGTGTAGCAGTAAAACACCAAATTCTAACCTGACTCAAGAATAGCATCACATGACAGAGAAAAGGCCTTGGAAGGAATCAAAGTCTTTTACCCTAAAATATATGTCTTTGACATATTTTTAAATCACCCTGCACAGTTATCTTTTTGCAAGAGAAATTTACATTCTGTAGAGAATCGCTTCCCTTTGAAGGTGTTTGTGTTATACTGAGGTATCGGGGGAAATTCAGCCAGATACTGGGAGAAATTCACCCCCGATATTTCACGTAGATTCTTTTCTATTTTCCTTAAGTGTCAGCCGGTCTGAGAAATAAAGGGACAAAGTACAAAAGAGAGAAATTTTAAAGCTGGGTGTCTGGGGGAGACATCACAGTTCGGCAGGTTCTGTGATGCCCCCTGAGCCGCAAAACCAGCAGGTTTTTATTAGTGATTTTCAAAAGGGGAGGGAGTGTACGAATAGGGTGTGGGTCACAGAGATCACTGCTTCACAAGGTAATAGAATATCACAAGGCCAATGGAGGCAGGGCGAGATCACAGGACCACAGGACCAGGGCGAGATTAAAATTGCTAATGAAGTTTCAGGCACGCATTGTCATCGATAACATCTTATCAGGAGACAGGGTTTGAGAGCAGACAACCGGTCTGACCAAAATTTATTAGGCGGGAATTTCCTCGTCCTAATAAGCCTGGGAGCGCTACGGGAGACTGGGGCTTATTTCATCCCCCCGCTGCGACCGTAAAGGACAGCCGCCCCCCGAAGCGGCCATTTTAGAGGCGTTTAGAGCGTTTCTGTCTTCTCTCCCAGTTTCTACGAGTTCCTCCAGTGCCTGTAACACAGAGCTGTTAGTGGCTTTGCCCCTGCCTGTTAATTCTTTGGTCATGTAATGGTGGTGAGGGAGCTGGGTCTGGATGCATTTCAGCCACAGCTGCTGTTCCACTTCCCCACACAGAACCATCTCGGGAGGAAGAGGTTGGAGATTTTTCTGATGTGTCCTCAATCCTGGCAGAAAAGGTTTCAATAGCAATAGGATTCCCTCAGTTGTATGTCCTCTGATAATTTAAACAATAACTTCTTTATTATACTCAACTCTAAACGGTCTAAAGAGTATGTCTAAGTTAACCCTGCATTCGCTTATATGACATTTGCTCTACCCCAGATAAGGTCATATTCTCTTTCTGTTTGTTCCTGCAAGTCACTGACTTTCACAAGATGTAAGGTCCCTTGTTTGTCCTATAACATCAATAATCTGATGTTTTAAAGAAAATATGCTAATTTGCAGCTCAGTAAGTTTAGTTGTAAAAATAATACATTTTTTTCTGAGATGCCTACATCTCCATGCTGAGTTGGAGCTTTATTTGTAACACTCAGAAACTGGAAATAACAAAAATATTAAGGAGCTTTATAAATAGTACGGGCACACTCATTAACTGGAATTCTGTTCCTCATTACAAGGAACATATTCTTTATACACAACCAAACTACTGACTCACAAGTAATTGTGCTGAGCAAGAAGCCACACAAATGAAATGGAAACTGTAAGGTTTCACTTTAACCAAATTTTGAAAAATAGACCTGAAGTAGCAAACATGAGAGACTGACTCAGTGTAGTGAGCGGAAAATGACTGGGAGGCAGGAATTAGAGGAAACTAGGGAAACCTTGAAGTGTAATTCATTGTTATCTTGATTGTTATTTTGGATGCACAGGTAAGCACATGTGAAACTGCATTTTTTCCTTTGGAGACATGGTCTTGCTTTGTCATCCAGGCTGGAGCTCAGTGGTGAGATCATAGCTCTCTGCAGCCTCAGACCCTGCGTCTCCACCAATCTTCCTCCCTCTGCCATACGTAGCTGGGACTACTGGTATGTAAGACAATACTTGGCTTCAGTGCTTATTAAAATGCACACTTTAATTAAGCAGTATTTGTTATACAGCAATCATGCCTCAATAAGAGTATTGCAAATAAGTGGATAGATAATTTGTTCAATAAAGATTGATGGAAAGATAGATGCTAACATGAGAAAATGCATGACACCCAAGAAAATAACACTGTAGGAAACATGCTTTTCTTTACAATTGTTAGGTAATCACAACAGAGCATACACATCACACCATGTTCTCGTTACAGAGAAAAGGTTCTGCAAACCTCACTAGCTGCAACCCCTGTGTGCTGGGCTTGGTTCAGGGAGAAGTCAGGTCCAGTGGTGAGAAGCACAGGCCCAGATAACCAAGCTCACTCTGACCGAATGTGAGCACTGGGTACATTGTACAACCCATCTGTGCTTCTGCTGGTAATTTTTCATCTGTAACATGGAAATGACATTGATACTATATACCATGTTTCCTCTGCATATGTAAAAATAAAAGGTGATTGGTGCTAACTTTAAATATACACAGTTTATGTACATTGATTGCACCTCAATACAACAGTTTTAAATAGATATTACAACATTATAAGTTTTATAGGTTTAATATTTTATCACAGAACAAACTTTCAATAAGAAACCACAATTTCCAAATGCTATCAATATCACAAATCTCCCCCAGGACACTCTCACATGCTCTGAGCCCCACTCTCTCCTCAGGCGTCCCATCCCAGAGCTTGGCATGTAGTAGGAGACATGCAAATAGAGCCCTCCCTCGGCTTATGAAAACCAGCCCAGCCCTGACCCTGCAGCACTGGAAGAGGAGCCCCAGCCCTGGGATTTTCAGGTGTTTTCATTTGGTGATCAGGACTGAACACAGAGGACTCACCATGGAGTCATGGCTGAGCTGGGTTTTTCTTGCCGCTATTTTAAAAGGTAATTCATTGAGAACTATTGAAATTGAGTGTGAGTGGATAAGAGTGAGAGAAACAGTGGATTTGTGTGGCAGTTTCTGACCAGGGTTTCTTTTTGTTTGCAGGTGTCCAGTGTGAGGTGCAGCTGGTGGAGTCTGGGGGAGGCTTGGTCCAGCCTGGGGGGTCCCTGAGACTCTCCTGTGCAGCCTCTGGATTCACCTTCAGTGACTACTACATGAGCTGGGTCCGCCAGGCTCCCGGGAAGGGGCTGGAGTGGGTAGGTTTCATTAGAAACAAAGCTAATGGTGGGACAACAGAATAGACCACGTCTGTGAAAGGCAGATTCACAATCTCAAGAGATGATTCCAAAAGCATCACCTATCTGCAAATGAACAGCCTGAGAGCCGAGGACATGGCTGTGTATTACTGTGCGAGAGACACAGTGAGGGGAGGTCAGTGTGAGCCCAGACACAAACCTCCCTGCAGGGGTCCCCATGACCACCAGGGGGCGCCCGGGACACTGTGCACGGGGCTGTCTCCAGGGCAGGTGCAGGTGCTGCTGAGGGCTGGCTTCCTGTCGCGGTCTGGGGCGGCCTCATTGTCAAATTTCCCCAGGGAACTTCTCCAGATTTACAATTCTGTACTGACATTTCATGTCTCTAAATGCAAAACTTTTTTGTTCTTTCTGTATTTTTGTTTTTGTAACAGGAGGACACATTCTCGCCTCCACAGAAGCCACAGTGTCACTTTGGGGGCAGATGATCCTTCTGTAGTCAGCAGGATGAAAGTGCAGAGGAATCTCAGTGGAACCTGGGAAGTCTTTTCCAATTAGACTCAGGGCAGAGACCTCCATGGGAATCTCTGATTAGAACAGGCTTTGAGTTCTGATAGGAGCCAAGAGAGAGGCTCACCCAGGGTCAGAGTCCTTAAAACCTGACGGTTTTCACAGCTATCTCACCTCGTCTTGAAAAACTGTGCACATCTGACTCACACTGATTCAGTTGACCCTATTTCTGCTAATCTATTTTCCTTCTCTGCAGACTTGATTCTCACAGTTCCCTTTCTTCTTCTCTTTCCTGAAAACAGAGGATGTGTTTTCTGTAGTCAAAATCCCAGAGATCAGGTCTGCAGGACCTGGGTAGGCTGAGGGGACTTTCTCACTCACCATAGGCTGATGACACTCCTGCTGTATTTTGTGTGTGGAGGTGTTTGGAAAACGAAGTGAACATTAGTCATGAAGGGAATAATACTAGTTTTCTCCAAAGGGATGTGGATGTAGAGCTGATCTTGTGCTTCTCACACTGTCACAGAATTTATGCTCTCCCCTGTGACTTTAGGAGAGCTGAGGATGGACACTCCATTGTGCTGTGAGCTCTGGTAATAGTAATTATAGGGTCTGGCTAGGCAGCCTAAGGTCAATACTGCTGGCCTTCAGGAAAGGCAGGCTGGGATTCCTAGGAAAACCTGCATCTGCCGTCCAGCATGGAGTCCCATCGTCTTCTGTTATGCTCTGATTGAATCAGGCCCACCTAGGTTATCTAGAACACTCTTCGTGACTTGGGAAAAATTAGTGGCAGGCTCTACTAAGACCTGCATTATGCCATGGGAGCAACACCTAGGCTAGTGTGTGATTGAGTAGGTGAGACTATGGTCTAGTCAAGGTGACAGGGAAAATTGTTGCCATTATTATGTTTTATTTTATATTTGGCAATATAGTCATGCTCATATTACAAATATCTTTCTACATTTTTGTGTCAGAAGCTTTTGAACAAGAGCAACTTCATCTTGAATAGAGGCTAGGAAAAATAAGACTGAGACCTGCTGGGCTACATTCCCAGTAAGTTAAGGCGTTCTTAGTCACAGGATGAGATAGGAGGTCTGCACAGGATCCAGGTTATAAAGACCTTGCTGGTAAAGGTTACAGTAAAGAAGCTGGCCACAGCCCACCAAAACCAGGATGGCAAAAAAGTGATCTCTGTTCGTCCTCACTGCTCATTATAATGCCTTAACATGCTGAAAGCCACTCCCCTCAGCGCCATGACGGTTTACACATGCCATGGCAACATCAGGAAGGTTCCCTAGATGGTGTACAAAGGAGGGGAGGACACCTCAGCTTCGGGAATTGCCCAGGGGACTCATGAATAATCCATCCGTTGTGAGAAATACATTCATCCCTTTGAGAGAAAATGCACAGGGGGTGGAATGAGGCTGGGAAGCCGATGGCACATGGTGGAAGCCTGTCCCTGAGTGAAAGAGAGGGGGAAGCTGGATTGGGTGGAAGGTCCCTATATTTCTGTGCTGTGCAAGGGAGGGGCAAAATATAATTGAGTCTCTTGTATGTCAGTGTTTCCTCTCAGGGGATCCCCATGACTCCCAGAAATAATGGCTCTGCTTAGGAATCCCTGCGGAGTCACTCCTTTCATTAGAGTAGACCACAGGACATGGGCCTCAGCACCCGCCATGCCACAGATGTCAGAAAGCAGCTGCTGGGAACCTGACCCACCTGCATTTTGCTGCCTGTAGGAGGAGGGAGGGACGTGCATTCTCAGGGCCAACACACTGTTTTTGGATTTTTATAGAGAACACCTGCTTTTACTTTATTTTTTGGAAAAATATATGAACAAATGTGCACCTATAAACAATTGTAATTTTCACATTTATTTTAATTGCATTTGTTTATAATTGTGCATGAGGTCCTGGTGCAGAGTTGAGTTTTTCATGGGAATTGTTCCAAGAATCAAGAACATCCATTTTCCACTTTCACTGGTTTTTCCCCATGTGCAGAGACCTTGAGTAGAGCACATCTGGCCCTTATCCACACTATCTCTTGTGTCCCCAGGAAAGAGCAGAGATTTGCCTGACTGCAGAATCTAGGGTAGGAGTCTGCACACCTCTGAGCCTGCAGAGAAGCCCAGTGAAGTTTAATGAAGTCAGAGAGCTATCCCATGTGGGGAACCTCTAGCTTCCTCACTCTCAGAGATTGCTGGTCAGCTGTAATTGAGGGGTTAAGAATTAGAGCACCTGGGAGCCTGTCTCATCACAGCTCCATTATGTAACTTACCACCATCAGACTGCAGGTAATAACTCAATCTTGATTTTTCTGACCGCATCTTATTCATTTGTAAGTTTGGTTATAGAAAATGTTACATTTTAGTTTCTGATTCAAACCTCAGAATTTTGTGAATTCATCAGGAATAATTAAAAATGTGTCCAGTTTTTGGGAAATGTAAATTAATGTCCATACTGTTTATGTGTGTGTGCGTGTGTGTGTGGGGGGATATGTCAGTCACTTACACCCCAGTAAAAATGATTCCTTAATTATATAGTCGAACTGCAATTAGATTTGCTGAAAATTGTCTACAGTAATTTCTGTGAAGCTGACCTTGCCACCTTGCTGTGAGGTGTGAGGATGCTCAGTGCACAGGTGAGGTCTCACAGGAGAGATCCAAGGTTCAGCCCCCAGGACTGGCTGAGCTCCTGGCTTGGAGCCAGACATAGGACTGGGCATCTCAGAAGCAGATCCCCTGGCCCTCCTTTATCTGGGCTGTATGGGCAGCAGAGGACAAGCAGAAGAAACTCAGAATTCAGCCAAGACAGAGCCCCATTTAGGAGCAGGTGCATCAAGGAACCAGCCAGAGAACCTCTGACTACAATCTAGGGTTGTCTTCTTTTGCTTCACAGCATCCAACCCTAAGGAGACCACCCACTATATCATCTGTAACTCAGAACTTTCTTGTTACAAAGGAAAACACAAATGAATATAACTCTGCAGTTAACTTCTTGAACCTGGATTGATGAGTTTCCATGGCCTCATGAGCACAGAGACCACATCCAGTGCAGGTGCAGAGCAAGGCTGCAACAGTCAGCCTGCTGCTCCCTCAGGAGTCTTCCAATTCCCTTGTCCAAAGCATCCGCTCATTCATGGGCTGAGAAAAGGGAAGTCATTCATGCAGTCTACTCTCTCCACAGAACTGACGGGGCACAAGGACAACATCGATTTTTCATGGAACATGCCTCTAGGAATGCAGCTGTGTGCACACACACTGCTAAGCACACACTTCTTTACATAATTACTTGTAACTGTATTTTCTTATTTATTCTCTCCAATTTTTTTACACAAATTCATCACTTTTCCCCATAATCAAAGAGGATTTTGATCAGAATGCTTGTGGGGAGCCCCTTGCCCCCCAGATGCCCACCATCATTATTCTTGAAGGGAGGAGGAACGGCAGCTCTCTTGATTTCTACTCTAATCCTCTAGGACTAAAACCAGAAGGTTGCATGTCCGGTGCGGGAGCATCGAAGAAGATCCTGTCTGTAGAAGCAGGAGCGTCAAGACTTGACTGAGAGCCATGGTGCTGAAATGAGATAGATTCCCTGATGGAGAGCACACGTGGACCCCCACACCTGAGGGCTCACTGCTCCTCACCACAGATGCACTCCCCTACTGAGTCCTGAGACCTGAGTGCACCCCATAGAGTAGGGCTCAGATGAGGGGATGCAAATCTCCACCAGCTCCACCCTCCCCTGGGTTCAAAAGACGAGGACAGGGCCTCGCTCAGTGAATCCTGCTCCCCACCATGGACATGCTTTGTTCCATGCTCCTGCTACTGACTGTCCCGTCTTGTGAGCGCTGTGGTCAGGTCGTACTTCAGAAGCAAAAAATCTATTCTCTCCTTTGTGGGCTTCATCTTCTTATGTCTTCTCCACAGGGGTCTTATCCCAGGTCACCTTGAAGGAGTCTGGTCCTGCGCTGGTGAAACCCACACAGACCCTCACGCTGACCTGCACCTTCTCTGGGTTCTCACTCAGCACTACTGGAATGCGTGTGAGCTGGATCCGTCGGCCCCCAGGGAAGGCCCTGGAGTGGCTTGCACGCATTGATTGGGATGATGATAAATACTGCAGCACATCTCTGAAGACCAGGCTCACCATCTCCAAGGACACCTCCAAAAACCAGGTGGTCCTTACAATGACCAACATGGACCCTGTGGACACAGCCACGTATTACTGTGCACGGATACCACAGAGACACAGCCCAGGGCGCCTCCTGTACAAGAACCCAGGCTGCTTCTCAGTGGTGCTCCCTCCCCACCTCTGCAGAACAGGATAGTGTGGCTGAGATGCCATTTCCTGCCAGGGCCTGCGTTTCCCATCCCCATCTGACTCAGAGCCTTGTTTTCCTCCCTCTTCTTTACTAATAAATGGCATGTCCCCTGTTAGTGGTTCGTGCAAGCAGAAGCTGTATCCTGTTTGACAAAGATTCAGCATGAAAGGTCCTGCTACCTAAAAAAAAAATAGACAGATGAGACTTAATTAACCTAAATAATTTTTTTCACAACAACAGAGTGAATACGCAATTTACAGAATGACAGAAAACTTTTGCACACTTTGCCTGTGACAGGGAACTAATATGAAGAATTTGCAAGGAACTCAAACAACTCTACAACAACAACAGCAACAAGAACCAAATAACCCCGTTAAAATGAGCAAAGAACATGAGTAGACATTTTCAAAAGAACACATAGAAATGGATAATAAATATATAAACAATGCTCAACATCACTAACCATCAGGGAAATGCAAATTGAAACCACAATAAGATATCATCTTCCACCAGTCACAATGACTGTTACTAAAAACTCAAATAATATCAGATGTTGCTGAGGATGGGAAATAAAGGCAACTCTTAGACATTGTTGATGAGGATGTAGACGAGTACAACCTCTGTGGAAAATGGTATGGAGATTTCCCAGAAAACTAGAAATAGAACTGCCATTTGGTCCAGCAATCCCACTACTGTGTAACTACCCAAAGGAAAATAAACCATTATTTCAAAAAGATACCCACCTTCTATGCTTACCATAAAACTACTCTCAATAGCACATATGTCAAACTGAGTGTCTGCCAACAGATGATTTTATAAAAGAATATATCATGTATGCACAATTCAATACTAGTCAGCCACAATAAGGAATGAAACTGTGTCTTTTGCAGCAAGATGCATAGAAGTGGGGGACAATACAATTAGTGAACTAACTCACAAACAGAATGTCACATGTCACATGTTATTACTTGTAAGTGGGAGGTAAACAGTGTGTACACAAGGATTTGTAGAGAGAAATTATACACATTGGAGACTTAGAAGGATGGGTGGGCAGAAGGTGGGAGCATGATGAGTCATTACATAACAGGCACAATATAAAATAATTAAGAATTGACCAATGATCTTAAAATTAAAATGTAGAATATGATCAATAAATGAACTTGATATTAGTTGACCTCATTAAATTTAAAAACTTTTTCTACTCAAGTGACTGTAAGAAAATGAATGCCCGGTTACAGATGAGAAACTGTTTGCGAGTCAAATAACCACCAATGTAATTATAATAAGAACCTTCAGAACTCAACTGTGAATAAAAAAGAAACAACTGATGGATAAATTAGGCAAGGATTTCTACAGACATTTCGTCAGAGAAGATGTGCAGATGACACTGAAGCATATAAACAGGCTCTCAACAGGATTTTCCATTAGAGAAATTCAAATCAAGCCCACAAAGAGACACCACTGTACACTTTTCAAAATGGCTGAAATTAAGAAGAAATACAGATAACATCAATGCTGGTGAGCATACCAGGTTGCTAGAGGCTAAAACATTGCTAACGGGAATGCAAAATGAAACAGATACTCAGGAAAATAATTTTTAGTTTTCTCTAAAATCAAACATATCCTTTACACCTGAATATTTGCATCAGAGAAAAACAATCTTACATTCACGCATAACTTCTATTCAAATATTCAAGATATCGTGTGTATGTGTGTTAGAAAGTAAAAATAACATAAATGTCTCAAAATTTGAATAGGTGAAGAACTAGGAAGCATCTATAAATTGAATACCACCATCAATAAAAAAATAACAAGTGACCGATACATAAACTATTACAGGTGAACTCCAGACATTGTGCTAAGTGAGAGAAGCCAGTCTCAAAGATCAAGGGGACACAGCTGTAAGCACCACGGTCATCCTCAGGTGTCAGTGGTTTGGGCTGGACTTTCTGTGTCTCTTTCCTGACCAGACCCAGATATTGAGCTCCACCACTTGCAGATGGAAAATCCTATTTTCAACCATGCAGTGAGGTTTGAACTGCTTCACAGACTGAACGAAACAAACACGGGCTCCTTTGAACAGCGTCCGGCATTTGTTCCAACCACAAGAGAACGTCCCTCAGCTCTCCCCCTCCTCGGTTCTCTCCTGCAAGCCAGCAGCCCTGCAGTTTAGCCTGCATCTCCCGTGCATCCACCCATCTCCCTCCAAGCACCTTCCACCACACCCTCCACTGTTTCTGAGATCACAGGCAGGCTTTGAACTTTTCCGCATTCTGTTGTTATTGAAGTTAGGATGTTTAGGACCAACTTAAGGATCATATTTTATGACTGAATTCCAGTGCCCCTTCTCTCCTGGGACAGAGTGCATAACCAAGTTTCTGCAGGTGGAGACGAAGTTGAGCTTTTTTCTTCCTCAGCCTAGGAGATGAGCGCTAATTGGAGGGTTGGGCAGAAGCTTCCCACCATCCCAGCACTTTGGTTCTGGTGGGGCGGAATCGGTGCCATAGGGCAGAGCTAGAAACCGCGGACTGAATGTTCCCAGTGGCACTGGACCCAGGGCAGAGCCTCCATCCACGAGTGGGGCTCTATGGAAGAAGTGAGTCTCTGGCTCTCAGTAGCTCTCGTCCAGCACTGAACCTCAGCATCATGTGCTGTGTGCAGGGTCAGAGGGCCAACGTACTGGCCCCTGGGGAAGCGTTTCCTCTGGTGGGAGTTGGTAGAAGGTGTCCTGTCTTCTTGGCTGCATCTGTCCGCAGTGGAGTTTACATCATGCTGAGCTGGGATGTGGAAGGAAGGAAGAGCATCTTAGATCAAATATGATGACTGGCCTTACTGAGTTTTCTAGATTTTCCTGAATAAATGTTTCTTCACTCACTGTGTGCTGTTAGAGTCTTTCCAAACCTGTAATTTCCCAAAATAATTTTCACTGGTCTCATGAGGGCATGGATTCATTGAGCCCCTCATGCTGTCAAAGAGAAATAGAACTGTTTTTTTTTTTCACTTCATAGCGAACATCCATGGGTTATCAAATAATGGGCTGGCTTTTCTTCCAACACTTTACAGACACCATCAATTTTCTTCTTGCTTATAAGGTTTTAACCAGAAGAATGCTGTCATGGTCTTTTCTGTTCTTTTGGAAGGAATGCCCCCTCTACTCACCTCCACTTGTCTGCCTGTATTTCTATTTGTCTTTGGTTTTCAACAATTTTAATAAGATTTACCTAAATGTGTGTGTGGGGAGCATGGGGTGTTATTCTGCTGTTCTGTGTTCTCTGAGATGCATGGATTCACCATTTACTCTGTCTCCATTTTTGTGAAAACAATTAGAAAAAAAGTCAGTATGAGCCCAGAAACAAGCCTCCCTGAAGTGGGCACAGGACCACCTGGGGGCGCTCAGGACCCACTGAGCACAAGAGCCAGCCCCAGGGCAGGTGCAGATGGGGGTTAAGTTCTGGTTTCCTGTCAACCCTGTGGCTTCCTCTCCATAAAACAGTTTCCTTTGTGGCATATCTCTGGATTCCTTATCCTGTTCTTCCTGTGAAGTCTCTGAAGAAGAAACATTTGTCGTAACAAGAGAAAAACTTTCTCACATGCACCAAAGGCAGAGTCACCTACAGTCACTTACTCCTGTTTCTCAATGTCAATAAGTTATCAATGCTTCTGAAGTTAATCAGCTAAATCTATAAAAGGTGCTGTGTTTAACTCAGCATTGCAGCCCAGCTCAACAGAACTCCAAAGGTCAGCCAGCAGCAGCCAGGAAAAAGTGCATGCTGGGCATTGGGGCAGAGGGAGTTACCATCCAGTGCAAGTAGCCTTATAATTAGGTGAACTTCTGAATTTAATCTTCAGTTGTGTTAAATAAAAAAAAAAACACAATCTACAATTTAGGAAAGTGAGAGTTTATTTTTATCAAGGCTTACAGCCATTCCGTATGCTGAAAAGCATAGCTCTTGGTAAAGACGAGAGAAAGGCACTCCTACGAAGAAGGGGTTGGGCAGAAGCTTTATGCTGAAGGGTTTGGCTAAACAGACATAATCAACAGGTTACAGGAGGGGCTATAGATGTTCATGGAGGTGGTCCTGACACATGCATACTGAACAAACATGTCTGTAACATATGACCCCTGTTCACTTACCAGTGGAGCCTTAGCATTTAAATTCATTACAGTGAGGCCCTATGTGCAAACAGCACAAGCAGAGACACAAAGGCACTCAGTGTGCAGCTTCTGTAAACGGCCAGAGCCAGGCCATGGTCAGTGGTCTTGGATCAGGAGAAAGTTCCTGATATCACTCTAGTGTTCAATCAAAGCTGGAGTTATGGTTTGCGGAACAGGGGGTCAGTTCATCTGGGGGTGGGCTGCAATTGTCTTCATAGTGCTTGTCTCAGTGCCGGTGCTTACTGAGCCACTAGAGAAAAAGGTTTAATTGAGCTTCTTTAAAATCAACATTTTGAATTATTTATCAGACGTTTCAAATATGTCATGTTGTTTAGATTCTATTGCTGGAGAGTTAAGGTGATATTTGGGGTTTTGTAACTCTGTTTTTTCATACTTCCTGAATTGCTTATCTGTTTGCTTTTCATTAGCTAAACTATCGCTTCTTCTTATTTTTTAATTCATTCTGATTTTGATGAATATTTAATTCCCTTTAGAATGTGAATATAATGTACATTGTGTGGGTATTTTGATTTTGGTTCTTGGTTTACTTAGTGGCAAAGACTCTGTAAGAGTTCCTTGTCTATAGATAGCCATTATTTAGTGGCTTTCTGAAATGGTGGTTTTAGTACCAAAGTACTGGACTTGTGAGTAGGCTCACTGCCCGCTGCAGGTCCTAGATAGTGGAGGCCTCAGGAACTGTTTCTCATTTGGAATGCCTTTGTTTCAGCAGATTTTGTGTTGGGTTGTTAAGTTCACCCTCCACATTAGTAGATGTCCTTACAGATTAGAGCTGACTCTGGTAGAAGCAGTTGAGTACATGCTTGATATCTGTGCACAGGGAGAAGCTCTCTGTTGCCTCAGGCGATGGACTGGTCTATGAAATGCACAGTGACCTGAGTTCCCTGCTCAGCCCCTGAGAGGTGGACCAAGCTGGACACACATGAGCCACCGAGCCTGGCAAGCAAAAGCGCCAGCCTTGATGGAAATGGCGAGCTGAGGGGCATCTACTCAGTGTGGTTTCTTTTGTTATTAAGAGCTTTAGTGTGGTGGCTGTTTCAAATTCCCGTTGTAGTAGTAATATACTGGGTATGTGAGCAGGCCCGTGGTCTTTTGCGGGGTTGGAATCACAGAAGTAATGAGAAGCAAATCTCAATTTCAACTGCTGTACACTGGTGGTATTGAGTTTGTATGAGGTCATGCAGTTTGAACGTCAGGCCAGTAGGTGGTGCTCGCAGGTAAGAGCCGGCTATGGTGGCAGCAGAAGGGTTTATGCTTTACCGGTGGTTAAAGTGGGAAACTTGTCGTGTTCCAGATCTTAGAGAAAAGACTTTTAGTTATTTCTCATTCAACCTGATACTACCTGAAAGTCTCTCGAATGTAACTTTTATTTTGTCGAGATGGGTTCTTTCTATACCCATTTTTTATGGTTTTTTTATGAAAGGATGTTGTTTCATCAAATGCGTTTTCAGCATCAATTGAAAAAAGTTATATGTTGATTAAAGATCAAAATGTAAAACCTAACACTATAAAACCTCTGGATAATAACATAGGAAACAGAATTTAGGAGGTAAGAACTGACAAAGGTTTTATAATGAAAATGCTAGAAGTAGTTGCAACAAAATTGAAAATTGACAAATGGGACCTAAGTAAATTAAAGAGCTTCTGTACAGCAAAAGATACTATCGACAGAGAAAACAGGCAACCTACAGAATGGGAAATAAAATATTTGCAGCCTATACATCTGACAAAGGTCCGATACTTAGTATATACATGGAAATTTAACAAACATTCAAGAAATAAAAAGTGACCAAAGGACATGAAAAGACACTTCAAAAAAGACCTACATGTGGCCAACAAGCATAGGAAAAAGTGCTGAATATCACTATCATTAGAGAAATACATATCAAAACCTCAATGAGGTACCGTCTCACATCAGTCAGGATGGCTAATCTTAAAAAAAAAATAACAGATTTTTAAGGTTACAGAAAAAAGGGGAAATTTATACACTTCTGGCGGGAATATAAATGAGTTCAACCATTGTGGAAAGCAGTGTGGTGATCCCTCCAATAACCTAAAACAGAAGTTTCATTTGACCCAACAATCCTACAACTGGACATATACCTAAAGGAATATAAACATGTAGGTTCACTGCAGCACTATCCACAATAGCATAGACATGGAATTTACCTAAATCCCCATCACTGGCAGAATGATAGAGAAAAATGTGGTACATACAACCATGGAATACTATGCAGCTAAGGAAAGAATGAAACTATGTCCTTTGTAGGAACATGATGGAACTGGTAGTCAATACTCTTAGAAAACTAATTCAGGAACAGAAAACCAGATATTATATATTCTCCCTTATTTGTTGGAGATAAATAAAAGCAAATATTCTTCCAGGGCCTGAGTCTTCCTTATTCAACAAGTCATTCTAAATTAAGTGTTCAGCAAGTTGCTGACACTCATTTAAATATTCTATTTCATCTGGGCCACTTACATCACTCAAAAAGCAATGAGAGCTATATTTATAAGGGGGATTCTAGGATAATAAATACCTGAATAGTGAGAATATGAAGGATATGGAAACTGGGCCACTTATATCACTCAAAAAGCAATGAAAGCTATATTTACAAGGGGGGTTCTAGGATAATAAATATCTGAATAGTGAGAATATGAAGGATATGGATGGTTTTTTTTTAACTCAATGGGCACATAACTGTGGGAGATACTATATTCCTATGAAGAAGGTATTCAGACTTCAGAGATAAGTAATGTTTCCTACATTGTGTTTGTGACTTGGAAGCAGTGGATTGAAGAGTGTGATAGGTGCCCAGACCAAGCAGAACAGAAATCAGCATGTAAAGATGATGATCTATGGATATGATCTAAAACCATGTAAATACTTCAAATAATTCTATTTAATGCAGTTTGAAATAAAACACAAACTTATTCAAAATACAAATTACTTGGTAATTATTTTGGGAGCTATGAGTTCACCAAGAAACTCAAATTCCTATTTCTATTTCAACCCCTGATTCCTACTGTCAATGGGAGGGAAGTCTCAGAACCAATCACACATCAGACGGCAAATCTGTCAACCAAGAGTCTTTCCACTGAAGGACCTGGGAGGTCAGGACCCTCAGGAAAGTGCTGGGGACCCTGTCTTGGGAGTGCCCAGCAGATCTCAGAACTCTCCATGGGCCCTGCTGGACACTCATGTGGGGTAACCAGTGCCAACCTTTTCAGTGTTACCAGTGAGCTCTGAGTGTTCCTAATGGGACCAGGATGGGTCTAGGTGCCTGCTCAATGTCAGAGACAGCAATGGTCCCACAAACAACCCAGGTAATCTTTAGGCCAATAAAATGTGGGTTCACAGTGAGGAGTGCATCCTGGGGTTGGGGTTTGTTCTTCAGCGGGAAGAGTGCTGTGCACAGAAAGCTTAGAAATGGGGCAGGGGATGCGTTTCCTCAGGCAGGATTTAGGGCTTGGTCTCTCAGCATCCCACACTTGTACAGCTGATGTGGCATCTGTGTTTTCTTTCTCATCCTAGATCAGGCTTTGAGCTGTGAAATACCCTGCCTCATGAATATGCAAATAATCTGAGGTCTTCTGAGATAAATATAGATATATTGGTGCCCTGAGAGCATCACATAACAACCAGATTCCTCCTCTAAAGAAGCCCCTGGGAGCACAGCTCATCACCATGGACTGGACCTGGAGGTTCCTCTTTGTGGTGGCAGCAGCTACAGGTAAGGGGCTTCCTAGTCCTAAGGCTGAGGAAGGGATCCTGGTTTAGTTAAAGAGGATTTTATTCACCCCTGTGTCCTGTCCACAGGTGTCCAGTCCCAGGTCCAGCTGGTGCAGTCTGGGGCTGAGGTGAAGAAGCCTGGGTCCTCGGTGAAGGTCTCCTGCAAGGCTTCTGGAGGCACCTTCAGCAGCTATGCTATCAGCTGGGTGCGACAGGCCCCTGGACAAGGGCTTGAGTGGATGGGAGGGATCATCCCTATCTTTGGTACAGCAAACTACGCACAGAAGTTCCAGGGCAGAGTCACGATTACCGCGGACGAATCCACGAGCACAGCCTACATGGAGCTGAGCAGCCTGAGATCTGAGGACACGGCCGTGTATTACTGTGCGAGAGACACAGTGTGAAAACCCACATCCTGAGAGTGTCAGAAACCCTGAGGGAGAAGGCAGCTGTGCCGGGCTGAGGAGATGACAGGGGTTATTAGGTTTAAGGCTGTTTACAAAATGGGTTATATATTTGAGAAAAAAAGAACAGTAGAAACAAGTACATACTCTAATTTTAAGATAAATATTCCATTCAAGAGTCGTAATATAAGCCAAATTCACAGAGTGGAAAAGGCCACACTCTATAACGTTGATACAAACATTCCATGAAGGTGCTACTGTGAACAAGTTTTCAAATTGGATGAATACATGATTTGGAGCAAGGTTATTTGATCATGTGGTGAGACTAAGAATGATTCTTAAAAAGTGCCAAAAGTTTCCTTCAAATGTTTCTGTCACTCCTTATCATAAAGTTTATTTTACAGCAGTTTTAGGATTACAAAGAAATTGCACAGGAGGCGTGAGAATTCCCACGACTCCCTGCCCTACACAGGCACAGCCTCCTCCACTACGACCATCCTGCACCGCAGTCACAAATCAGTTACAATGGAGGAATCTCCAAGGACGCTTGGTTCTTTCTTTTTCTGGTGATCTCCTAATATAACAAGCCTAAGTATCTCAAGATTCCACGGTTTTTCAGTGTTTTCTAGAACTGATATTAGTCAGAGGGAAAGTGGGTAAGGCTATTACTATTTGAACTCTTTCTTCCAAAATCCACAAAATATATATTAATTTAGAGCTTATCTTACTTCTGGTTTACAATGCTCCTTCCCAGAGAGTAAGATTTTTTTAAGCTTTTAGAGGCCAGTTCATGTCTCTAAAAGACCAGAAAGTTCTGGGGAATCCCATAATGAACATCCTTTCATTGGAATTGGAGACCCTGGCAATGAGAGACTCCATGTATAATGCCCTAGAGTTGGATTAGATGCTCTGTAAGCTCTTGGGTGGTGAGTCTGAGTAAGGGGGTTTGTGCAGCAAACGCAAACACATGCATGGGACCCAGGTAGGAACAAAAGCTTCCCTCTACAAAGGGAGTGTGCACCTGAAGCAGCCCTCACAGAGGTGGGCACTGCTCACCCTTGATGAGTGCACATTAGCCAGAGGCATGATCATGATTGGTCTTGCAGACAAAGAGCACCACTGAGGTCATAGGTTATGAAAATGTTTGTCATCCTCCAGCTGAGCAAGTCCATCTGCTTGTTTGTGGGTGTCAACTCCATGGAGGGTGCACTTTGGGAGATGACAAGATGCACACAAACCTCCTCTCACTAATTATCCACTACCACACACTCAAAACAACCCTGTGCTCCAGAAAGGGATACGTGCCTGCCGAAACAAACAGAGCTTAAGGGTTTTATTACCTGGTAAATATACTGCCCAAAACCACACGTTTCAGGAAGATTAGCTCAGAAATGTTCACCAATTGACTGAAGGGCAGTGGCGGGTGAGGTGATGGGACAGCCTCAGGGCTGCACATGAGGAGGGCTCCCTCCCCCATGCAGGCTTTTCTCCAGGAGCTTCACCAGGAACTCAAGGGGGATCAGGGAGAATTCTGAGAACACCCTACTGTGGAGCTGCCTAGAGAGGAAGAATAAATGATGAAAAATAAAACTCTGAGTAACGTATGGGCATTTGTTAATGAAAACTGTTTTTCTGAAAGCTTGTGAAGGTCTTGAAATGCCCCTGAGTAGCTGAGGGCAAATATTTAAACCCTCCTTCCACAGGGAGTTCAAGCAGGCTGGATGTGTCCTTCTATGGATGATCTTCCCCAACCCCTTCCTCTTCCCAGATCATCGCTGGCTCTCTGTGTAAACAGTTCTCATCAGTGGAATGTGGTTGATGAAGTGAGGTCTTCAATTTCCTCATCTTCTTGGTGGTCATGTTATTTTTTTTCATCTGAGGGTTAAAAACTCACCTGCATGCAGCACATGACAGGCTAAAATCTCTTGTGGACAAAACAGTAACAAAGGCACCCACCAGGGTTGAGCATCCGTGTTGCTGACAACGACCACCAAGGGTCAACGTCCTCTTCACAATCCTGTGTCAGAGCATCACTGGAATGATTTCATTAGCAACTTCCCAGGAGAATCAGCTTAAAAAATACTTGTCCCATTTTCCATGCAGATATAACCCATCCCTTTTCCTGAAGAAACAGAGCTCAATACTAAATACACTGAATGTTGTTTTTGCTGGTTTTGTAAGTTTGTGACTTTATCACTTTCTAATTTCTGAGTTAGGTGGACCACTCTACATATTTCTCTCATGGGTGTGACCAGCCTTCTGGATGTCAAATATAACTGACTTTGTTCGTGTAAATGTCAACACAAGCTCTTCATGATTTCGGTGCTCACTGACTACTCTAAACTTACACATGTGTCTCTTTATTAGCTTTGTTTTCTGGTGTCTCTACTTGGCTTATTCATCATGTCCATTTTGTGTTATTTCTACAGGTAATGATTGTTATTTTTAAAATTTACTGTTGCTTACTTTAATTAAATAAGCAGGCAATAGCTTAGAATAGAAAACAAGGTAAAGTAAAAGTACATGCAGTAATATTTAATATAAGTAAGCAGGCAGCTGAAAGCAAGGGAAATCTACTCTGCTGTGTAAAAGGGTATGGAGACCTCATAGTATGATGATCTTCTGCAGTTTAATCCATACTGCTACATAAGTGACAGCATCCACTCTGTTTATATCAGAGCTTTCCCTAATATGTATAATGAAGACTGAGCCCAGGTACCTCCAACCAGACTGACCAGCACCTTTTACCAAGTGCCTGAACTGACAGCGATAGAGATCACGTTTGTCTAAAAAAAAAACTCACACTGTAAGGATACCCACCAGTCATATGGAGACAATTAGAAAAAATTAAAGCCCAAGCCTGATAGGTAGTAATTTATACTTAGAAGAATTCTTTTTAACTTTTATCTGCACATTCTTTTTAATCATAGAGAAACTACTAGAGTCACTGTCCAAGTTACTGAATATCTTATTCCCTAGAATGAGACACTGCACAATGTGTTCTGACACGAGGGAATGTAGCTGTAGTTAAGGGACAGGAGATGTGATCACGGGAACATGAGTCTGCGATCCAGCAGTTCTTGCTCCTTCACATTTGCCCAGAAACAAAGACCCCAGCAGAACAATGGAAGCATTGACTTAGGTCTCCACAGTCTGATGTGAGATAAACAGCAGGTAGTTTATGCATCTGTTTTATAGCAGGAAATTTAATCTCTAAAGAAGGGCCATTTTGAGGATAATACTATTCTCCAGGATGCTTACATGCCCCCAAACAGAGAGCACTACAGTGCCCCCTGGCCAGGAGCTACAACACCTGGGTCTGGAAACCACTGGACAGAAATATGAGTTTCTCTTACCACATGTATGATGGAAATTTGAAAAATGTTTCCTTCCTTCCCCATAATCATAGGCTGTGATGGACTGGAGGTCCCAGTACATAAAAAAACTGTGTCTGCATTGGATACAGAATTAGTCTCATAAAATAATTGTGCTACGGTGGTGCCCACACTGTTGGACCAGTGGACCGAGAAAGTGTTGTAAGAGCTGCAGTGTCTACTGATTCCTATCATATTTGGGGCTACATTCGCATCTATCAAGGGAAAGAGAGATAAGAAAATCTCTCTAGGCCGGGCGCGGTGGCTCACGCCTGTAATCCCAGCACTTTGTGGGGCCAAGGTGGGCGGATCACGAGGTCAGGAGATCGAGACCATCCTGGCCAACACGGTGAAACCCCGTCTCTCCTAAAAATACAAAAAATTAGCTGGGCATGGTGGCGGGCGCCTGTAGTCCCAGCTACTCAGGAGACTGAGGCAGGAGAATGGCATGAACCTGGGAGGCGTAGCTTGCAGTGAGCCGAGATTGTGCCACTTCACTCCAGCCTGGGGGACAGAGCTAGACTCCATAAAAAAAGAAAGAAAGGAAGAAAGAAAGGAAGAAAAAAGAAAGAAAGAAAGAAAGAAAGAGAAAGAGAGAGAGAGAAAGAAAGAAGAAAGAGAAAGAGAGAGAGAGAGAAAGAAAGAAAGAAAGAAAGAAGAAAGAAAGAGAAAGAGAGAGAGAGAGAAAGAAAGAAAGAAAGAAAGAAAGAAAGAAAGAAAGAAAGAAAGAAAGAAGGAAGGAAGGAAAGAACGAAAGAAAGAAAGAAAGAAAGAAGGAAGGAAAGAACGAAAGAAAGAAGAAAGAAAGAAGGAAGGAAGGAAGGAAGAAGGAAGGAAGGAAAGAAAGAAAGAAAAAGAAAAGAAAGAAAGAGAGAGAAAGAAAATCTGGCCTAGATAGAGTCTACATATTTATTTTCATTTCTTCAAATGAGGTAAAAAAATCGCATCAACTAAAATGCGGACGATGATGAAGTGATCAAGGACAACAGCCACTCAGTGTTTCAGGTGTGTTTTAACCCAAAGTCACACAACGTGTGAGAAGCTGAACTCCGGAGCCAGGGGCATCTCTGAGGGGAATGTGGAAGGTGGGCGGGAGGAAACAGTGATTCATGTCTAGGGAAATTTCAGGGCTACCTGCTCTAGGGGAAAGGAAAGCCTGAGCCTCTCCCACAGTGTGCTCTGTTAAAATTGTTGGCTGACTTATTGTATTCTTCGACACAAATATTTTTGTTTAGTCCTCTCTTAAATTTTTTTATCTCTATTAAAATTCTCACTTTGTTCTTGCATGCTGCCACTAGCTTATTAAACATGTTTCTAATATTTACTTCAAATTTTCTGCCAGAACATCAATATGTTTTATATTCATTGATGCCAGATTCTGGACCTCTATGTTGTCTGTCTGTTTGGACCATGTTCCCGTGTTTCTTCATTTTCCTTGACGGTCTTTCTTGCTATCTGTTCATCACAACAAACAGCTCTTTGCTCATCATAACAAAGAGCCACACTCTTCAAAGACTAGGGTCATAGAGACCACCCTCACCAATCACCCCAGTCAATAAGTGTGGATCTCTCAAAAATTCATAATAACTTCATAATATTCAAACTGCTGCCTCTGTTCTTAGTGGCCCCCAGGTTTAGAGAACGTTGGGTTGTGCCAGGACTCCCAAGTAGGAGAGGTAGAAACTATTTACTCAAGCAGCCTCTTGAAAAGGTGTACCATTAGACACAGTTTTATTATTGAGGTATGATTCATCAAAATAATGTTAGTTCAAGTTTCTTTCAACCAGTCATCTAACATTGAAATGTTATAATTTCTTACTTGGATCTCTCTGGAGTTTATCTTTGGGATATTTAGGTAAAATTACAAACTAGTATAAAGCTGCCTACTTGACAAAATTATCTGCTGCAGAATTTTCATCTTCCATGTATCTCTTTTTGCACCTAAATCTAAGTTTTTTATTAGTCATGTATCCAGAATATACAAATATGTCTTAAAGTTCCTTCACTTTTTTTTAAGTTTATGCGGTTTCCAGAAGAGGTGAGAACGTTCTTTATATATAAAATACCTGATTCCACATTGCTGGATAGTTTCTTCTTTAATTTATCTCCTCCTCTCACATTATACTATATTAAGCAAGGAGAAATCAAAACACACCATCCACACTTTGCTTAGAAATCCCCAAAGCTAAATTTTAAGTATCACTTACTAATTCTAATTTTACCCATTGTAACTTAATTAACATGAAATCTATAACAAGGTTACACATACTTTCCCGTTCTAATACCATGTTCGTGACAGAAACAAAGCAGGTGTCTTCTCTGCAATGTGGTCATCTGAGGTCTGAGATGAGGGGTCACACAGGTATTTTATAATATTTAAGGGTTTGGACAACAGTAGTGATAACAATTCTGAACAGCACTGGCTCCTAATTGAAAGGTTATAGGTAAATTTAATGCTGCAATTTTATATTAACACCTTGTCCGAATGAAGCTCAGAGGAAGATGCCACATCCCAGGTCACACAGTGAGGAGGAATGGAGCTGTGCTCTGCTCTCCACACCACCTACAAATCCCAGGCCCCAGCCCAGCTTCCACTGGCGCATGGCACCTAGAGCACAGTTCCCAGGGGATGATCTCAGGGCACCTGCTTCCTCGGGCAGGGCGCTGCCTTCTCTCAATTGTGCACTTGCTCCTCCTGCAGGTTCTGTAGTGAGCACTTGTATTGCCGTGATTTATACATGTTCTCTCCCCTAATATGGAAAAAATATTTATTAAATTTTCAACTCATTTTCTCTGATGCACACTGCATTAGCAGAAAGGAATAAATCACATTTCCTATCCTCCCATAAAGCCAAAGATTCCCTAAGACAGACTGATGTGATGTACTCATAGGTGGATCTCTGTCCCTCAGGGGAGGCCTTGGTCTTCAAGTTTCAGTGATTCTAGGAAGCGAAGGACACCTACATCTCCTGCTCCCTGCTCTGTAGCTCACCTGAGAACAGCTTTCTCATTGGAATGTCTTGTGTTTAAGGAATAAGAGTCCATGTTTCAGGTTCGGGAGCCCAGGTGCACCTACTGGATGCAGCCCAGGATTGGAGACACTTTCCAGAAGACAACATCACCTGAGACATGACCAGTCCCACTGTTTCACTTTCACAATTTCAACTTCCTCAGAAGAAAATTAAAATTGCTGAGACTTGTTCATAAGTGTTGTGCCATGTCCTTACTCTGTTTTCTTGCCTGTTCATTTATGTCATACCAGGTGCCTGTTACATGTAATAAGATCAGAATTCTGCCTCCAGTAACACATCAATGGAGACCTTTGATTGTACTTTTGGTTTATGCACTGACACATAGATTATGATGTTCATCACATTCATTTTTATGTCAAAGGAAATCTGCATAATCTGAATGCCAATACTTTTTGGAATCTACTAAGTAACTGAAATTGAAAAAAAAATACCCACTCAAGAACCTGGATAGACAACCATGTCCAGAATGGCAGTTGACACTTGTTTAACTGGAAGAGAATCTACAGAAGCCACAAGTTGTTGAGGGCACTTACATGATAAGAACTATAGTTGTCTTAAAGGCAGATGTTGACTCAGTAAATGTGACTGTTCCAGAGGGTCTTATACTTCTATGTTTTATGGACTTTCTCACCAGAAACCTCCAGATTCTAAAAAATACTATCCAAATACATTTCCTATTTGTCAGATCGGAGAAGATTAATTACTCAAAAATATTACGGGAGACTTTTTCAAAAGCTTCTACATGGAAGGACTTTTCGAGAACCTTGTCCTATGTAAAGGAAGACAATTCTCCCATTCCAGATTTCTCTCCCATTCTTCCATTATTATAGAAATGAGCAAAGTTAGCCAATAGGGGTAAGATGTAAGTAAATAGTCCAGGGACACTGAAACCACAAAAGGGAGTACTGGCCAAATTAGCTTTTCCCCTGGAGATTCCTGGTCAAAGTCACAGCCCAGAAGAGGAAGCCGATCGCGTCTCTAGGTTTCCATTGTCAAAACAGGCAGTGCTTGCCTGCACTGCACAATCCATTCTAACCAGTGTGATAGCTCTGGATTAAAGATGGAAGTGTGGCAATGCACAGACTCTATGTGAGAAGAACACTGGAAAACTAAAGGACAAAGGCAGAGAGTAGGACAAGGACGACAAAGCAATCTGAAGCCTCTGACATCACCATTTTTAAGATCAAGGACTTGGAAACTCCCTCATTGACCTTTAGATCTCTAGGAGAAAAAAGTCAGATACCTGTGCCTAGTGTCAGTGTAGGAGGAATTTTCTATAGGCTAGGCATTAGGAAGAAGGGAAAATTCTTCCTTATTAGGAAGTTATTGTTATAGTGTTATAATGTTATAGGAATAGTGGATATGGAGTGGGCTTTCATCTCGATCAATCTGCACCTGCTGGTATTTTCCAATGCTACATTCACCTGCAAGAGCCCAATGAAGAAAGAAGGCACTCCCAAATCTTTTGCAAGTTTTTGTATTCACTGTGGGTCCACTGCTTAAGTGCATCTGGAGCTTCAGAGAAGGGGCTCTGTCCTGTGTCATAGAACCCTTGCTTTGAGTCTCACGGCAGAGTTCAATCTGTTTAGTAAAGTTGATCAATTATTTCAAGAAATGGTGTCACCAGCATATGGTGTCACTGAGGGAGTATTCTACACTAGCACACAGCCATTTCACGCTGGGCTAGAGAAGCTGGGGGGAAATGCTTTGTGAGCCCCAACAGGAACCTCCTTGCAAGGCAAGGGCTGGGCTGGAGGGGGCACTCAGGAGCCACTCAGCACGGGTTCCAGCCCTGCAGCTGGTGCACAGGAGGCTGTGGAGAAGGTTTCCTCTCAGGGGCTGGGTCTTCCTTTGGGAGAAAAAAGCTAAAATTCAATAAGTTGCTGGTGTGCCCTTAAATATTCTATCACATCTGAGCTGCTCCCACAATTCAAGGCGATGAGAACTATCTTTTTAAATATTCTATCACATCTGAGCTGCTCCCACAATTCAAGGCGATGAGAACTATCTTTTTAAATATTCTATCACATCTGAGCTGCTCCCACAATTCAAGGCGATGAGAACTATCTTTTTAAATATTCTATCACATCTGAGCTGTTCCCACAATTCAAGACAATGAGAACTATCTTTTTAAATATTCTATCACATCTGAGCTGCTCCCACAATTCAAGGAATGAGAACTATCTTTTTAAATATTCTATCACAAATGAGCTGCTCCCACAATTCAAGGCGATGAGAACTATCTTTTTAAATATTCTATCACATCTGAGCTGCTCCCACAATTCAAGATATGAGAACTATCTTTTTAAATATTCTATCACATCTGAGCTGCTCCCACAATTCAAGACGATGAGAACTATCTTTTTAAATATTCTATCACATCTGAGCTGCTCCCACAATTCAAGACAATGAGAACTATCTTTTTAAATACTCTATCACATCTGAGCTTCTCCCGCAATTCAAGGTGATGAGAACTATCTTTATAAATGGGTTCTCTCTGAGCTGCTCCTACAATTCAAGACAAGGAGAACTATCTTTTAAATATATTCAGGGATGAGAACTATCTCTTTAATATTCTATCACATCTGAGCTGCTCCCACAATTCAAGGCGATGAGAACTATCTTTTTAAATATTCTATCACATCTGAGCTGCTCCCACAATTCAAGGCGATGAGAACTATCTTTTTAAATATTCTATCACATCTGAGCTGCTCCCACAATTCAAGGCGATGAGAACTATCTTTTTAAATATTCCATCACATCTGAGCTGCTCCCACAATTCAAGACAAGGAGAACTATCTTTTTAAATATTCTATCACATCTGAGCTGCTCCCACAATTCAAGGCAATGATAACTATCTTTTTAAATATTCTATCACATCTGAGCTGCTCCCACAATTCAAGGAATGAGAACTATCTTTTTAAGTATTCTATCACATCTGAGCTGTTCCCACAATTCAAGGCGATGAGAACTATCTTTTTAAGTATTCTATCACATCTGAGCTGCTCTCACAATTCAAGACAAGGAGAACTATCTTTTTAAATATTCTATCACATCTGAGCTGCTCCCACAATTCAAGGCGATGAGAACTATCTTTTTAAATATTCTATCACATCTGAGCTGCTCCCACAATTCAAGACAAGGAGAACTATCTTTTTAAAGTCGGCTTCTAAGATTATAAATACCTTAATAGTGAGAATATGAAGAATAGGGATGGTCTTACTAATTCAATGCAGAGAGAATTATGGGAGTCACTATATTTCCATGAATAATAATTTCAGATTTCAGGCTGGGGCTGGTGGCTCATGCCTGTAATCCCAGCACTTTGCGAGGCTGAGGTGAGCGGGTCACGAGGTCAGGAGCTCGAGACCATCCTGGCTAACACCATGAAACCCTGTCTCTATTCAAAATACAAAATTTAGCCAGGTGTTGTGGCATGAACCTGTAGTCCCAGCTACTCGGGAGGCTGAGGCAGGAGATTTAATCCTACAAGACCTACAGCCTCAGACAATGCTGCTGGCAGTGATCGTGGGAAGCAGAGTTTGCAGTGAGCTGACATTGCGCCACTGCACTCCAGCTTGGGCAACAAAGCGAGATTCCATCTCCAAAAAAAAAAAAATTCAGATTTCAGTGTTAAGTAAAGTTGCCTACATTGTGTGAGTGACAGGGCAGTGGTGGATCCGAGAGTGTGGATCTGAGAGTGAGTCAGAAATCAGCATGTAAAGATGAGGATCTATGCACATGAACTGAAAGTATGTAAACAGTTCATGAAATTCTAATAAATCCAGTAGGAAATAAAACCCAAACTTATCCAAACACAAATTCCCTTGAAATTATTATGGGAGCATGAGTTCATAAAGAACTCCTAACTCCTGTTTCAACTTCTGAATCCTAGTGTCCATGACATAAGAAAATCATCTCCAATTATGCATCACAGGGCAAATCTGTAAACTAAGAGTTTTTCTGTTGACGATCCTGGGGAATCAGGACACCAGGAAGGTGCTGGAGAACCTGTCTCAGGAGCGCCCCAGGGATCTCAGAGGAACGTGCTGGCCACTCACGTGGGACATCAGCGTCACTTGCTCAGAGTCATCAGTGAGCTGTGCTGGTGTCTGACGGGTCCAGCATAGGGCCAAGGCACCTGCTCTGTGTCATGGACCGAGATGGTCCCCAGAATGATCCAAGTGGTCTCTGTGCTAATCTAATGTAGTTTCACAGTGAGGGGCCGTTCTGAGGGGGCTTCTTCTTCAGTGAAAGGACCTCTGTCCACAAATATTCCTAAATGGACAGGGGCATGCATTTCCTCAAGCAGGATTAGGGCTTGGACCATCAGCATCTCACTCTTGCAAGGCTGATGTGTCATTTGTCTTCCCTTTCTTATCATGGATCAGGCTTTGAGCTATGAAATGCCCTGTCTCATGAATATGTAAATACCTGAGATCCACTGAGGTAAATATGGTCTGTGCCCTGAGAGCTTCACCCAACAATCACATCCTGCCTCTAGAGAATCCTCCGAGAGCATGGCTCCTCACCATGGACAGGACCTAGAGCTAATCTTCCTGGTGGCAGCAGCTACAGGTAAGGTGCTCCCAAGTCCCAGTGATGAGAAGGGGATTGAGTACAGTCAAGGAGGCTTTCATCCACTCCTGTGTCCCACCCTCCAATGGGTGTCTGCTTCCAGGTGCAGCTGGGGCAGTCTGAGGCTGAGGTGAAGAAGCCTGGGGCCTCAGTGAAGGTCTCCTGCAAGGCTTCCGGATACACCTTCACCTACTGCTCCTTGCACTGGTTGCAACAGGCCCCTGGACAAGGGCTTGAAAGGATGAGATGGATCACACTTTACAATGGTAACACCAACTATGCAAAGAAGTTCCAGGGCAGAGTCACCATTACCAGGGACATGTCCCTGAGGACAGCCTACATAGAGCTGAGCAGCCTGAGATCTGAGGACTCGGCTGTGTATTACTGGGCAAGATACACGGTGCGAGAACCCACATCCTGAGAGAGTCAGGAACCCCAGGGAGGAGGCAGCTGTGCTGGCATGGAGGAGATGACAAAGATTATTAGATTGAAGACTTTCTTAGAAAATAGCATTAAGTCATTTACGAAAAGGAACAATATAAATGTGTATTTGAGAAATTGTAATTATTTGAGAGATTTCTTATGCAACATTTATTCTGTAAGCAAATTCTAGGGATTGGAGAATTAATCAAATTAATAAAGCTGACATAGAAATTCCTCTGAAGGTATCTTTGTAAACATCAATTTCTGAATCAGTGTTGTAAATGTTTTGGAACACAGACACAAGATCACATTTTAACTCTACTTTTGTCTCTATAAAAAATGCCAAAAAGAGTCTCATTTTGACCATGTACCTCTTTGAATTCCCACCATCAATGAATGATTGTTCTTGGGTTTCCACATTATATTACCATTTATCATTATGAGAATTGTGTGTTTTAACCATTATAATAGGTAAGTAATGGTATCTAATTTTTGCTTAAATGCACATGCCCCTAATAAAATTCATATTTAACAATTTTCATATAATTTTTGGTGAGATGCCTCTCCTGATATTTGGTTCATTTTCAATAGCACTGTTTTCTTTTGATTAGTTGTAAGTTTACTTGCATATTGATTATAAAAGTTAATTAACAAATTAAAAGAATTCATTTAACAAATATGTGACTTGGAAGTTGCAGGGGTTTGTCCTGCACACCCTGACACAATGACGAATGAATAAAGTGCACTGACACAAAGATATTCTGCTTTGCCAGCTCGACTGAGCATCTGGGCCACTTAGTCACAGCCACCGCCTCAATCAGTCAGGGAGACTTACATTTATTCAGTAAAGATTAATTGACAAAGGCCGTGAGTAAACACCACTAGAAGGTAATTGACATTGTGGACCTCTTGAGTGGAAAGCAATTAAGCACCCGCGGTAGATCAAAGGTTAGTCTTAGGAACACATGAGTAAACAAGCTAGTTAGATAAGCTCCTCACATTCCTTTGTTTCTACTCTACTTTATGTAACTAAAGGTAAGGGGACTAGGCTGCCTTCAGCCAGATTTATTACCAAAGTTATGCAAACTCACAGGCCTTCCAAGAGGGTTTGTGGCTATTAGAACTAAAATGTTTCCCACCAGCCTGACTGGACCACCACATCTCCCCGTTTTTTGTTTTCTACATCAGGTCTTTTGGATTGGAGCATGCAGATATGCGCAGCAACATGTCTGTCAGGTGTGGCAGTCATTGCTCTTATTCTGGCTTTGCATCCTAGAATTAGCAAATAACATAAAACAATCATGAGTAGAATTAGCAACATTCTTTTCCAGTCAGAGTGACCCCCAGGAGCGGGGTCTAACCAGGAGAGATGATCTCACACACCCTTCCATATGACTGTTTGTTGGGGGTGTAGATCTATTGCGTGAAGAGATTCTAAAATTTTAGTTTGAACTTACTTTACGTCTGCTGTTAAATTGTCATGAAAGGTTCCCCAGAGGTATTGTTTTACCTCATCCTAACTATGTATTGATAGATTCCGTGGTAGAGAAGTGATACAGATATGTTCATGTTCCCAGTCACAGTTTAAATGCTGTCAGAATGCCACTGCATCTTGTCGCTCCCTGACATATTCTAAAGCAGCCTCAAGGGCTAGCAGACGTGTGATAATTTTTTGATCTATACCTTGCTGTAAGAGAAGTTCATTAGACACATTTTTGGCCAGATTATCTAAAAAGGCAGCAGTTTACACTAAGTCAATAATACATGCAACAGCAACACTAGCTGTTGCCAGGATGACTATGGCTGAGACTATAAAGGCCATAAGTGTAACTATGAATCTTTTGTGTCTGACCTGGGACAGGGCACGTTCTAAGGTTGCAAGGGCATAGGAACCTTGCCAATTGCATGCCAGATTGACTGGTAGGAATGCCTCAGATTTTCTCTTTAATACCATGGCGCTAGTAATTTTTAAGTTAGATATACTGTGATTAGTGATACATGAGGCAAACCAAGCCTGTCCCTGCATCCAGGTCACAAACGTGGAGTTTTGAGGTGTAATGGAAATGTTAGTTCCCATAAGGAAATCGTATGGATGGGTAGTGCAAATTATGCACTGATCAGTGTGATTATGAATAAAGCTTATAGCATAGTTGCAACGGGAAATATGGTATGTCCCATGCCAGGTGTTAAGGGAGGTGCTAAGATGTCCCAGACACCATAAAGTACCTTGGGGCGGCATGGACTTTACTTGGGGCCTTGGATATGCCATCCCCCCATTGGCACAAATTATAGGGGAAAAGACATGGCTATGAAACTGATTGATGCTCTGATGGATGAAGGTATTAGTAAGGCTGCCCTGCAATCAGCCGTTGGGACTCCAGTCTAAGATGTTATAATTACCTCACTGGAGGCTATGGGCTCGTCTCCCATGACAGACCTCCCAGCTAAAGTCGAACCGATTACTGTCCCAGCTTTGTTCCTTAGCACAGGAAGGAATGTTTGGGAAAGAAGCAGCGGCATGGATTGCATTGCTCAGTTTGAGGCTATCTGCAGCTAAGAATGTTAAGGCATTTCCTTTGCTATGATGTAACCATACTTGTTTTTGGGCAGGTACACAGTAAGGGTTAGAGTCTTTATAACTTACACACACTGGGAGGATAATAGTGGATTGACATATAGTGTTATCTGCCACCTTAGTCCAATGTGTGCCATTATTGAGGGACCCCACGTGGGGTAAATCTATCCCTCCTAGCCAAGCAGTCACGTTACTATAGGCTGGGAAGGGAGTGTCTTCCCATTTGGCAGGGTGAAAGAAAGGTGTGTCTAAGATATAAGCCCAATAGAGTGTAGCAGGTACAGGTTGCAGACAAAGTGAGAGCATAAAAAGGATTAATACCCTACATGAGTTGCAATGTACAACAGAAAGCATAGCACCAAACACATTATCTGGAGTAAATGGTGTCTGCATTTGGAGCAGGATTCGTTCAGCCTCCTGAGTTGTCTTTTTCAGTATCCCCCAGGTAATGTCTGGGGATTGTGTTGTTCACAGAAGCTGCATCGTCCGGGGCTGTAGGTCTTGTAGGGTTAACTCCTTCATTTCTGGTACTGGGTTGGGTCCTAGCAATGTCCTGGTATGGTTTGATGCGTCGTGCTGGAACCCAAAGAGGACCCGAGGGGGTGTGGATACAAGCATACCCTCTTCCCCACATTAATAATTCACTTGGACCACACCATTCATTACTGTTTACATCTTTCCATAAAACTGCAGGTTTCATGTATTGGGAAATTTTAGCAAAGTGCTTTTCTACAGCGGATTCAAATTTGTCTTCTAAATTAAAAAAAAATAAGGCTTGTGCCAAAAGTGTTGCAGGGTCTGTACCCATACTCCCACGTTTTTGTTTTTTGTGCATATTTTAAGGGTGGAGTTGGCACGTTCCACTATTGCTTGTCCTTGGGGGTTATATGGGATACCTGTGGAATGTCGTATATTCCACATGTGAAAAAATTGTTGAAATTGTGAGCTGGCATTACCTGGACAATTATCGGTTCTAATTTTTGTGGGTTGTTCCATAAATGCAAAAGATAAAAGAAGATGTTTAATGACATATCGAGTAGACTCTCCAGCCAGAGTATGTGCACTAATTAAATGAGTGTTGATATCAAAGGATACATGTACCTATCTAAGTTTTCCAAATTCAGGGATGTGTGTAACATCTGTTTGACACAACAGATTAGGTTCTAGGGTTAATACCTGTTGAAGGAAGAGACGTACCTGTGAGCTGGCGATCTGGGCATTGTAAGATAATTTGTTTAGCCAGTCTCTGTGTAAGTTGGAATTGTTTAGATAAGTTTTTCCAATTTTGGTGGAAAAATTGGTGCAATTGGGTGGCTTGGTCAAGCAGTGATATCATAACTTGAAGGTCGGCTTGATTATTGTCATAACCTAATGGACCACGCAGTGAGCTGTGGGCTGGAATGTGTGTAATAAAAATAGGATGTGTACTTTGATTTAGCAATTGCTGAAATCAGAGAAAAAGAGTCCACAGGGCTGGCTCCAGAGTTGACTTAATTAGGGCTGTAAAAGTTCTCTAGACCCAATATTAAGGACTCAACTTTAGCTTTCTGAGTGCTAGTAAACCCAGATTGAGTGAATGAATTGTGTGGTGTCCACCAGACTGCTGCTTTTCCATGTTTACCAGATCTATCAGTAAACAGTGCTAAAGCATTAAATATGGGGGAGTAAACTATTTTTGTAGGTAACACGTTAACTAGGCCTTTTGGGAATGATGAAAATGGGTAAATTCTAAGGGCTGTTAGTAGAATATTACCCATAAAATGAATACTCTTGTAGCCAGGAAACTTTTTTCTACTAGGGAGCAAAGCTTGCTTTTAATTGCTCCCTAACTAACTTAGGGGCTTTTTGTAATGTCTCTCCCTTTAGAGGTTACTGTTTTACTTAAACTGGATTTGGAGAGAGTCATGTTAGGAATAAGAGAGAGATAACAGTGGTCATTATTAGAAAGAGGTTTCTCAAATCCTTGAATTTTACTTAACTATTAGCATAGAATTATAATCTGGGATGTAGCTTGTGTACAAGGAACATAACAAATTTTGCTTTGGGCCGCCTGCGGAGCCAGAGAGCGGAGCAGGCGGGTCCCAGGGCGGCTGCCGCTTTGTGCTTGCTTAGAAGCCACTTTTCGCCACCGCGTTTCCTCTGTGCCAGCTCCCTCCCCACACTGCTCAGCAGCTGCTGCTGGCAGAGGGGAGCTTCCTGCACTTGCCTCCTGCCCCTAATGCCTTTTCTTAACCCTTTGTGTACCTGATTGCCTTGCTGATCTTGCATTACTGGGCAGTCTAAGAGCTCCCCTTTTAATGCTGCTTGTCGAAGACAGGGACATATAGCTGTAGTGTATTTCCTCTATTTTTTCTATCTATTGAAAGAGGGGGCTCAGGCAAAACCTCCGTTTCCTCTTTGTTATTTTGGGAAGAGCAGGTGGTAAGGCAGGTGACGTTTCTTCCTCCTTCCCCTTTTTGGGTTCTTCTTTGTATAATGGGACTAAAGCCATCTCTACTAAAGCCCATAGTGTTAAAGATGATGCTGGGACCCGTTGCCCTTGTGTGTAATGTTGTTCAAGATTTCTCCCTACTTGTTCCCAGAGCTTTACTTCTAGCTTTCCTTCTTCTGGGACCACAGATTATGTGAGACAACAGTTTTCATTAGGTGCCTTAATTGAGCCTGTGAAACTGATGCTCCCCTAGCCTTAAGCAACTGTTACAATACTTTTATATGCTGTTTGTGTTGAGCTGATAACTGCTGTCCCATGATGAAATCTCAGCCTGAACAATCTCCCCTGAACTTGGAGATCCCAAGTGGGCACCAATGACTTACTGTTTTACTGACTTGACCACGCAGTCTTCCTCAACCTTCGTTTTCATGGGGTCTGTCACGCTCCCTTTGCAGCGATCCTCACATGGGGCACCGGCTGTGGGGGTCTGTCCTGCAGGTCCTGACACAACAACGGGTGAATAAAGTACACTGACACACAGATATTCTGCTTTGCCAGCTTGACTGACCATCCAGGTAGATCAAAGGTGAGTCTTAGGACCACATGAGTGAACAAGCTAGTTAGATAAACTCCCCACATTCTTTTGTTTCTACTCAAATTTACTAAACTAAAGGTAAGGGGACTAGGCTGCCTTCAGCCAGATTTATTACTGAAGTTATGCAATCTCTCAAGCCTTCCAAGAGGATTTGTGGCTATTATAACTAAAATTTTTCCCACGAGCCTGACTGAACCCCACAGGAAGTACTTTCTCCAAGTCTGTGGTTGCCTTTTACTCCCTTATCAGTAGGTATCGCAGAAAAATGTGTGTGTTTGTGTGTGTGTGTTTGTACAAATTTAGATTGAAAACATATATAATTTTATTCATTCATAGATCATGTCTTTGGCATTATATCTGAAGTTTCATTATAAAATAAACTAATAGTCATTATTTTTTCCATATCTCTAATCTCAGGCCACAATCAACTCATGAGTGTTTAAACTTCACCTGCTTGATTGGAGGACCATCAATCTAATGTATTTGGAATACTTCTGTAAGGAGATGTGTTCTTCTTCCTATTATTTTTTAATTGATCATCTATTAATATCAGTATTGGTTGATGGATGTCCATTTTATACTTTGAAAAAGATGCATGCTACATCATTCATTTAATTGTTCAAAGCACCACAGCTTTATTAGGTGCTGGGAGCTCATTTTGTTTGAATCCTGCATCCTTACAGCACACCTCACACCTCATTTTTTTGTTTTTGAAAACTTGCGTATTTCCTGGTATTACCATAAATTCTAAGCTTGTTTTCTTTATTACCTTTTTTTTACATAGAATCAACCATTTTTATAAAGATTGCATGTTTCTGATGTTAAAGAATAGTATTAAAATAAAACATTGTGATACTGGCTCTGTGTGTTGTTAATGTGGTATGAGTACTTCTAGAACCTCTCAAACAACGGTCCCAGTAAACGTGCATGTTTATATGAACCCAAGTTTATGGACTCATTGAAACTATTTATGTATCTAATCTTCTGTAACCCTATTACATTAAAAATGAGAACACACTGGTCTCTCCATCCAACTATGTTAGCACAGAGACCTTTC
Source organism: Homo sapiens (assembly GCF_000001405.40). Classification (NCBI taxonomy): domain Eukaryota; kingdom Metazoa; phylum Chordata; class Mammalia; order Primates; family Hominidae; genus Homo; species Homo sapiens. The sequence continues at coordinate 1,235,285 of NT_187600.1, read as the reverse complement.
TAGTCTTCTTTCCTTGAGTTTCCATAACCACTCACTACAAAGTGAGAAACCCCATTCCACCATATGCAATTTTATTACTTAGCTGCACAGTTTCAGGACACATGCATAGCAGTATCTAAAGTGTAAAGCTGTACCCTTTTTGGAACCATGTTTATCTATTAGAATAGAGTGCTTATGTGCAGATTTTTTACACATTAAACTTATGGAATTTCCTCGTTTTCTGAGTTGCTTAGGTCAGCAACTTCATTTTCCACATTCTTCAATGAAGTCATTTCAATTACATTGTATAATTTCATTTATTTGAAATTCCATAAATGCTTAAACTATAGTCAAGTAAACAGATAGAGGATGTTCCAGGAATTTAGAGAGTGGATATAAAATAAGCAAAAAAAAGTGATGTTTAAGAAAAATAAAACTATTTTTAGTGATATGCAATGGCTGAGATATGACATAACTAATTTGTCTAAGCTAATAATTTTGTGATGGAAAATATAAACTTAAATATATTCAATTTAAAAAAATTCAGCAGTTCATTAACCCCAGGATTAAATGCAGACTGTATAAAATTATCCAATAACTTATTTGGTGAGAGTGGGGATGTTATGAGATACATGCAACAAAGAATGAAGTAATTTTCCTTATTTGCATATACAATGTTTCCATTCACTGAAGACCTTTTATTTTAAAAAAATCAATTTTCTACCTTACCCTTGTTTTTAATTCCCGACAAGCAAATAACCCAAAGGATTTTTTTCTTTCATTGGTTGAGAAAGATTTTCCCCTAACTTCAGCTTAGTTCAGGCATACACTGACCTGAATGGGCATTTACCCTCAGATGGGTACACACCTGTCAATATGTGGACTCTTCTGTCAGACAGACACAGCTTCACTCATGTGGATTCTTCCCTCAAACACAAATGTCCCCACATGGACTATTTCCTCAGACTGCCACATATGTCCTTACATTTACACTTTCCTCAGAAAACAGACATTTCCTCATGTGGACTCTTGTCTCAGATAAGCAAACATGTCTCAATGTGAATGAAGTCTTCACTCAGATAAGTATACATATTTCAACATTGACTGTTTCCTGACACAAGCACATATATCCAATGTTAAACTGTCTTGCGACAAAATGATCTCAAGATAATGATAATTATAAACTCCAACCCTGAAAACCTGTGGATCTGCATTTTGTCCATTGTAACATAACTTCTTCTCATTGTCAGAAACAGTCGTTTGCAGCTATAAATGCACTGATTACAGTCAGATTTCCATTTTCTCTGGAAATGTATTTCTTATGTTCTTACTGGACTAATTTGTTGACAATGTTTGCTCACATGAAGATACCTGAACAGTGTCCACATTAGAGAATAAGAAAGAGCAATGGGCAGATTAACCCTGTGCATCCAGATGCAGGAATCATTTGACTCTGCCTTCCCTGAAATGGAGACACAGAGGATGGATGAGCAACGCTGAGTGGTGCACCTACGACCACAAAGAGAAAGACGTGGAAATATGTCCCATCCCCTCCTCATGAAAGGCAGCTCATCCCCTGTTCCTTCAGGCCCTGGTGAGGAGCCACCCCATATCTGTGTCTTTCTTCAGTGTTCACACTATGGAGTCTGCACTGATCTGGGTTTCCCTTCTCATCACCCTCAATATTAGTGTCCCTTGTAAATCAGGTCCAGCTGTGGCTGCTCATAGGGTTGTTCTCAGTCTATTTCCTCTGTGTTCATAGAAGTCCTGTATGAAGTTCAGTGGTGGAGTCAGAGGGGTAAACGTTGTACAGCCCAGTGATTCACTGAGACTTTCATGCAAAGTGGCTGGATTCACCTTTGCTGGCAACAGCCTGAGGTTGGTCTAGCAGGCTTCACAACAGGGATTGTGGTGGCTGGCAACAGTGAGTCAGCAAGTGGGAGTGCTCAGGGTTACTCTTCATGAGTACAAATAAATTAACTGGTCCAGCGACACCCTTTCACGTGCACTCTACCTTACAATGACTAACCTGAATGCCAAGGACAAGGTTGTGTAATACTGTGAGGTTCACAGGAGAGGGATTATCTGCACGAGCCCAGACACAAAAATCTGCAGAGACAGGAGGGAACTGCATGATAGATGCTGCTCAGAAGCACCAGCGGGCACTCAACACAAGGGGGCCCTCAGGATACAGCTGGGGGCGCTCAGGACACCAGGGGGTCACTCAGGATACAGCGGGGGACGCTCAGAACCACCAGGGGGCTCTTAGGGCACCAGAGGGCATTCAGGACCACCAGGGAGCCCTCAGGGCCACCAGGAGGACCTCAGGACATGTCAGCGTGCTGGAGCCACCAGGGGGCGCTGAGGCAACCAAGGGACGCTCTGAACCGCGAGGGGAAGGAAGCTCAGGACCACGAGGGGACGCTCAGGACACCAGGGGGCGCTCAGAACACCAGTGGGCACTCAGAACAGGAAGAATCTCTTAGAAAGCAGCTCCACATCAGGATCCTGGGAGGCTGTGGAGAAATGGGAACACTCATAAACTGTTGAGCATTTAAATTAGTACAACCGCTATAGAGAACAGCTTAGAGTTTCCTCAAAACCTGACGATAGTTATCATTATAATCTGGCAATCCTGCTGCTGGTATATACCCCTAAAAAGGAAATGTTTTTGCACTACCATGTCTGTAATAGCGCTGTTAAAGCACTGTTCACAACAGTCAAAATTTGAAAGCAACCTATGTGCCGATTAACACATGAATGGATAAATAAAATATGGTACATATAGGATATGGGTTAATATTATGCCATAAAAAAATGAGATTTTATCATTTGCAACAACATGGATGAAACTGGAGTTCATTATATTAATTGAAATGAGCCCAGAAGAGAAAGACGAAATTCACATGTTCCCATTTGTTTGTGAAAGCTAAAAATTAAGACAATTGAACTCGTGGAGATAGAGAGGGAAAAGATGGTCCCCAGAAGCTGGGAAGGTCTATGCTAGATGGGGATTATTGGGGATGGTCAATGGGTAGAAAAGGTGATTAGAAATAATAAATAACACATAATATTTGATAACACAACAGAATAAGTATAGTCCTCAATAACTTAATTATAGATTTTAAAATAAAAGTTTATGAATGGAATGTTGGTAACTCTATTAATGCTTGAGAGGATGTATAAACTATTCTTCATAATGTGATTATTATGCAGTTCATGCTGATTCAGAGTTCTGTACCCCATAAAAATATACATGTACTATTTACCCACAAAGATTCAAAATTTAAGTGTTTATGTGTCTAATATTCTGTAACTATATTACATTAAACCTAAGAACACACTGGCTTTTACACACTACTGTCATCCACATAGACATTCATAGCCTTCTTTCTCTGCTTGTCCATAATCCCACACTCCAAAATGAGAAAACCTCTCCTACCATATGACATTAATTTACTTAGTGCACAATTTCAAAATACACAAATCGTCTTTAGGATTGTTAAACTGACCCTTGTTGAAAATATGTTTATCAACTAGAATACAGTGCTTATGTGGAGCTTATTTATATTTTACAATCGCAACATCAAATTCTTTCCAAGTTTCTTGTGTCCAATATTTATGCCCCACCTTCTTCAGGGTAATTAGTTCAAACCTTCTGATTGTTGTTAGATATTTTTATACAGCTGTCTTTTTTTGTGTTTCATGACCTGCTAAATACTTTCGAAGTTGTATGCATTTAGGTTAACACTTTGTCTCAAAAAATATGAGTTTTCAGAAATTCTTTATGCCATGTGTCCATCATTGAATATCATAAAAATAGTTTCATTGGCCGGGCATGGTGGCTCACACCTGTAATCCCAGCACTTTGGGAGGCCAAGGTGGGCGGGTCACGAGGTCAGGAGATCGAGACCATCCTGGCTAACACAATGAAACCCCATCTCTACTAAAAATACAAAAATTAGCCAGGCGTGGTGGCAGGCACCTGTAGTCCCAAATACTCAGGAGGCTGAGGCAGGAGAATGGCACGAACCCAGGAGGTGGAGGTTGCTGTGAGCACAGATCGCACCACCACACTCCAGCCTGGGTGGCAGAGTGAGACTCTGTCTCAAAAAAAAAAGATAGCTTCATTGTGATTAAAAAATGTGTTTCACCTAATCCACACACCTTCTCCCCACCTTCCTGGGAAACCTCAAATGTTTACTGGATCTATATTTTTATCTTTGGCAAAACAGCCTGGCTGTTTTCTTAGCCTCTTCTGCAAAGCATCAAGATTCACCTTCACTGACTACAGCATGAATTGAGTCCAGATGGCTGGGGGACAGAGGCTGGAGAGGGTGGTAACAGTGATTGATTCAAGTGGAAGTTCTCAGTGATATTCTGCATCAGCACAATAAAGATTCACAATTCCCAGGGACACCAATTACCAGCACAGTCTCCCTTAAAATAATCTACTTGGAAGCTGAGGGGGCTCTCACAGGGGTAGGCAGTGTATTACTGTGAGAGATACAGCGAGGGACATTTCTGTGAGTCCAGACGGAAACCTCCCTGCAGGGAGACAAGAGAGGACTTTGTGATAAATGGTGCTTAGGACACCAGGGGGCACTCAGGACAGCAGAGGGTGCTCAGCAGAGCAGGGTGCGCTCAGGACATGGTGTGTGTTGTAGGGGGCATTGCTCAGGATCACCAGGGGGCTCTCAGAACCACCAAGGGTCACTCAGGAAACCAGGGGGCGCTCTGGACACCAGGGGGAGCTCAGAACCACCAGGTGGTACTCAGGACACCAGGGGGCGCTCATGACCAGCAGGGCATGCTCAGGGCAACAGGGGGCTTGCAGAACCCCAGTTCCAACGCCAGTGTTGGAAGCACTTTTCATTGGCAAGACACTAGGAAGGAGAGCAAATTGGAGGCTTGTTACTGTGCAAATATGCCACCGTGAGTGTGTGTGGGGGGGGTAGGTGGGGGGTGGACCTTGAAACATAAGGTGTGTGCGTAAAGTGATAATCTGATGTAAACTTCGACCACAGAATCCTAAAGAAAAAAAAAAAAGAGGCTGCCCCAAAGTCCCCATCAGTTCCTGGACTCGCCATGTGTCTGGACCATATCAGTGCATCTGGAGCTCCAGGGAAGGGGCTCCCTGGTGGATTTAGTGATTCCTTGCTTCCTGTGCCAAGGTCTCCCTGTGGGATATGTTAGGTTTCCTAAGGTCTATTTTCTAGTGTAAGAAGTGATGTGAGAAGTAGTTGCTGTCACTGAAGGAGCATTCTTAGCCAGGGCACAGCCAGGTCATACTGGGCTTGAGATGCTGGGAGAAAAATGCTCTGTGAGCCCAGAAAAGAACTTCCCTGCAGGGCAGGAGCTGAGCTGCAGGGGGCGCTCAGGATGCACCCAGCACAGGATCCAGCTCTGGAGCAGGTGCACAGGAGGCTGTGGAGGGGTTTTCTCTCAGGGATTGAATATTCCTTATTTCAAAGCCATAATGACATAAAATTTAAATAAGAATTTAGCAAGTACTGATGTGTCTTTAGTATTCTCTTGCATACACAGAGGCTACCAAACCCAATAACTTAACGCAAAACACATTTAAAAGGAGAAATGTCTAGGCCTTTCAAATGTATTTATAGTTAGGAATTGAGGGGTGGTTTTATTAATTCAATGGGTGTTACTCTCCGGAGACACACTCATCCCAGAAGTTAGATGTGCAGAGGGCAAGGCCCAGGAAAAGTTCAGATTGTCAGTGAGCCATAGGAACAAGAAATCACAGTGAGGACAATGCCCTGTGAGATTCTGGGTTTCTGTAAGAGGAGTTCTGTCTTCATGGACTTCTAAGTGTGTCAGAGGACAAATATCATTAAACAAAGTTCAGGGCAGGGAGCTCAGTGTCCCACTGTGGCATGGTCCGTGTGTCACCTATCTTCTTCCCCAGGGTGGGGTGGCCTAAGCTATGAAATACCTGCCTCATGAATATGCAAATGCAGTGGTGTCTACCGAGGTAAATACAGATCTGTCCTTGCCCAGAGAGCATCACACAACAGCCACATCCCTCCCCTACAGAAGCCCCCAGAGAGCAGCACCTCACCATGGACTGCACCTGGAGGATCCTCCTCTTGGTGGCAGCAGCTACAGGTAAGAGAATCCTTAGTTCCAGGGCTGATGAGGGGACTGGGTCCAGTTAAGTGGTGTCTCATCCACTCCTTTCTCTTCTCCACAGGCACCCACGCCGAGGTCCAGCTGGTACAGTCTGGGGCTGAGGTGAAGAAGCCTGGGGCTACAGTGAAAATCTCCTGCAAGGTTTCTGGATACACCTTCACCGACTACTACATGCACTGGGTGCAACAGGCCCCTGGAAAAGGGCTTGAGTGGATGGGACTTGTTGATCCTGAAGATGGTGAAACAATATACGCAGAGAAGTTCCAGGGCAGAGTCACCATAACCGCGGACACGTCTACAGACACAGCCTACATGGAGCTGAGCAGCCTGAGATCTGAGGACACGGCCGTGTATTACTGTGCAACAGACACAGTGTGAAAACCCACATGCTGAGAGTGTCAGAAACCCTGAGGAAGGAGGCAGCTGTGCTGGGGCTGAAAAGATGACAGCATTTATGAGGTTTAAAGTGTTTAGAAGATGGGTTAAGTCACAGAGTAAAAGTAGAAATAGAAAGATGTATACATTCCAATTATATAGGAAATAATCTTTTCAACTTTCACCCTGTAAGTAACATTCACAGAGTGGGAAAGGCAGCAATCAATGGAGTGGATGCAAACATTCCTTTGTGAGGACATAAATTTTAAAATCGAATGGATAAATCATTTGGAGCAGGATTGCTTGATCACATGGTAAGACTAAATATAATTTCTAAAAAGTGACCAACATTTCTAACAAAATGTCTTTGCCACTCCTTTTACATTAATTTTATTTTAAAACATTTTTAGGATTGCAGCAAATTTGAGTAGAATAAACAGCATTCCCATGTACTCCTGCCCAAGACATGCACAGACTTCTCCATGATCAACACCCTGCGCTGAAGTAATAAATAACTTGCAACAGATGAACCCACATGGACACCTTGATTGTTTCCTTTCCTGGTGGCCCCTGGTATAACAAGCCTAAATTACCTTGAAGCACCCCAGGTTCTTCTAGTGGGTTACAGGAAATGATGCCAGGTAGAGGGAAAGTGAGTGGGGATGATCCTCTTTGCACTGTTTCCTCAAGAATCCATAAAATGTACATTGATTTAGAGCTCAACTAACTCCTGGTTTTCTATGCCCCTTTCCAGAAGGTAAGGTCTCCAAGAATTTACAGCAGGGGATCTCCTCAAGAGTCCATAAAATGTACAGCGGTTTAGAGCTCGTCTGACTCCTGGTTTTATATGCCCCTACCAAGAGGATAAGGTCTCCAAGCACTTACGGCAGGGGTCTCCAACCCCTAGGCAGTGAACCCGTACTGGTCAGCAGCCTGATAGAAAGCAGGCTGCACAGCAGGAGATGAACAGGGGGTGAGCATCACTGCCTGAGCTCCGCCTCCTGTCAGATCAGCTGCGCATTAGATTTTCCTAGGAGCCAAATTCTATTGTGAACTGTGCATGCAAGGGATCTAGGGCGACCGCTCCCTATGAGAATCTAATGCCTGATGATTGCAGGTGGAACAGGTTCATCCCATAACCACCTGCCTCCCTCATCCATGGAAAAATTGTCATCCATGAAACTGTTCCCTGGTGGCAAAAAGGTTGGGGACCACTGGTGTAGAGGCAGGTCTGTGCAACTAAAAGGCCAGTGGCTTCTGCTGAATCCTATAATTAATGTCCTTTAATGAGAAGTGGAGACTTTGGTCATGAGGGCTTTCGTGAATAATGCCCTTCAGTCGGATTCAAAACACTGTAAGATCTTGTGGGTGTTTCTGGATAAAGCACTTTGGGCAGAAAATGCAAACACATGCATGAGATCCAGGCAGGAAAAACAAAGCTTCCTTTACAAAGTGGTTTGGCACGTGGAAGGAGCTCTCAGGGTTGGGCACTGTACCCTTTGCTGACTACACTTTAGCCAGAGGCCTGAGCCTGATTGGGTCACAGGTTACAAAAACGTCTGTCATCCTTCAGCTGAGCAAGCATATCTGCGTGCTTGTCAGTGTCCACCCCATGAGGGGTGCACTCTGGAAGATGACAAGATGTACACAAACCTTCTCCCACTGATTATCCACTAGCACACACTCAACTGCAACCCATGCTCCAGAAAGGGACAGGGGCCTGCAGGGATAAACAGAATGGAAGTATTTTATTACCTGGGAAAGACACTGCCAAATATCACGTTTCAGGAAGGTTAACTCATAAGTGTTCAGGAAGTGACTGAAGGGCAGTGGTGGGTGAGCTGACGGGACTGCCTCAGGGCTGCACATGAGGAGGGCTCCCTCCCACACAGCCTTTTCCTCCAGGAGCTACACCAGAAACTCATAGAAGATCAGGAAGGATTCTGAGAACATTCTTCTGTGGTGCTGCCTAGAGGGGGAAAATAAATTATAAAAAATAAATCAATTCTAAACAAAGTATGACATTTGTTATTAGAACCATTTCTGAAACCTGTGGGAATCCTGACATAAGCCACCATTCTCTGTGAATAAACATATAAACACTCCTTCCATGGGGAAGTCAACGAAGTTGGATCGGTTCTTTCATGGATAACATCCCCCAAAGTCCTCTCCATTCCCTGAGCATCCCCGGGTCTCTCAGTGACAAGTTCTCCTCAGTGGAATGTGGTTGATGTAGTGAGATCTTCAATTTTCCCGTGTTCTGTGTTCTCATGTTCTCCCCTTATCTGAGATTAAGAAACTCGCCTGCATGTGGTACATCACAGTCTAATGTCTCTCATGGACAAAATAGTGGCCACAGCAACCACCGGCGGCCACCATCCCCTCCACAGCCTGTGTTGGAACATCACCTGAGAGATTGTATTAGCAACTTTCCTTCAGAATCATCTTAAAAACTATGTGTCCCATTTCACATGGAGATGTCATCTATCCATTTTCTCTTCATAGACAAATAGAAGGAGATGAATACCCAATACACTTCATATCTCCGGATTATTCAAATACGATTGTCACTTTATCACCTTCTGATTTCTGGCCTTCGCAGAACACTCTATAAATTTTTCTCACTGGTATTATACCAAAACTTACAAAGTGCTGGATACAGGGATTATTTTAACCAACATTATTCTAATGATTCTAAGAATGTAGAATTACAATTATCCTCTTTTCATATATGGATAAACTAACCTATGCCTTTGAAAATAAACCCTTACATAAGAGTGAAAAGGTAAGCTATAGATTTGGAGAATTTCCTTGCAAATCCGTTATTTGGAAAAGGGATTTTATCACAAATATACAAATTAACTTACAATTGAACAACAATAAAACCACAACATTTAATTTTAAAATGGGCAAAGACCTGAATAGAAACCACATCTAAAAATATATATAAAAAGAGATCAACTTGATTTTCATGAAGTACATGTTTGTTTAATATTTTTAAAAATTCTGCTAATCTATGAGAATGGGTAAAATACACAATGTAGACAATATCAAACGGTGATGAGGAAGTTGAAAAACAGGAACTTTCACTCCTTGCTGCTGGGAATGCTAAAGCGACACATAGACAACTCCAGTTAATAATTTACTGTATGTTTCAAAATAGCTAGAAGATAAGATTTAGAGTGCACATAACACAAAAAGTAATCAATGATTGAGATAAAGGCTATCCCAGTTATCCAGATTTGATCATTGAACATAAAATGCTATTATCAAAATATCAATTGTACCCCCTAAAGATTTTGAACTATTATGTATCTATATAAATTAAACATTAAAAAAACACCAATGCCAAGGAATCCAGCTAATTGCAGATTCCCATTTATTGTGGGATCTGGCCAGCAGCCTGCAATGCAATGGGGCTCTCTCTTTGTTCCCAGGAGGATCAGCAGGTTGAGAAATAATAGACACACACAAGATAGTGTACACTGAGTCCAGGGGAGTCACCGCCTTCTGGTCCCATGGTGCCAACAATGCACTGGATATACCAGCATTTATTATTAAGTTTAGTAAGGGTGGGGGTAGGTTAGTGAGGGATTTAGGATCATTTGATTATGAGGTGAGATGGTCACATCAGGATGAAGTAATTCTTTAACATAACATCTGTATGCAGAAGTACAGTACATTTGTATGTAGAGGTTACAGAGATAAGAATTTACAATATAGTGTGTGCATCCATAATTTCTAACAGAGCCTTAAAACAGAAACACAGTCTTTCCATAACCTGTGATTAGCAAGATATTAATCAGCAGTAACAGTTGCAGCAAAAGCTGGTTACAAACAATCCATGAAACAGGACGTGAAGCTAGACAACGGGTTAGACCGGAATTTCTCAAAAGGGAGTATGCCTTAACCCTAAAGAGGCTTAGAAGAGCCGTGGCAAGATGGGGGCGTTTATAGCCCTATCTTATCCATATGGACAGGTGCCCCCCATGCGTCCGTTTATAGGCTCTCCACAAGGGTCGCATTCCATTCCCAGAGCTATGAACATCTGCTTTTCTGGGACAGGAATCTTGGTGATGTGAAACCTCCCTGACTGCACGTCCATTCACAGGCTCTCTGCAGGGGGAAGCACATCACGCGCTGTTGGCTTGTTCTGGCAGTCCAACCTGGCATTGTCTTTACACAATCCTGCGTGCAATTTTATATTTACAATAATCAGGAGGATTTCATCTTTTATTCCATAGCAATAGTTTCAGGGGGTCTCCCTACACCCGTTAGATGGGATGTGCTGCATAATCTGTAAACTAATCAGAGTCTGTGGGTTTGTAAAGGACTTTAGAAATCAACTGGACTACTTGTTTCTAAAGATAAGTCTCCCAAGTTTAACTGTTTTCTTAATGGATGGCTATTTTGAACATAGAAGAAATGTTAACATTTGTTTCTGGTAAGTTTTCTTCTTCTAGTCTCAGGAGAAAAAGTTTGCAGGGAAGAATCTGGGACCATCTTTCAAGTCTCAACTTCAATGTGATTATCTCGTAAATATTTTCTGGTACCCCTAAGATAAATCTCATATCTGTCCTAGAAACTAAAATTATGATTCTAAGCATCCAACTGACTGGATGGACCCTTCCTCTTCACCAAGGAGTTCCAGAGACTTGAAAACCTAGCTCACGCCATGTTAGAAATAGAGGATCAGAAATGCCTCATTATACCCTCCCCCCTTTGGAATTCAAGCACAACTAACCAGCATTTTTATAAAAACAGATCTTAAGCCTCAGAAAACAGATTCTTTGTAGCAGCAAAATGCCAAATTCTAACTTGACTCAAGAATAGCATCACATGACAGAGAGCAGACTTTGAAAGGAATCAAAGGCTAGAATATTCCTTCGACATATTTTAAAATCGCCCTGCAAAGTTATCTTTTGTGAGAGAAATTTATATTCTGTAGAGAATCTCCTTCCCTTTCCAGGTGTTTTTGTTATACTGAGATTAGCTGAGAGTCTAGTATCTTTTAAAGGTCTTAATAGAAAACATTTCCCATCCACTGCCTCTAAAAGTGGTCACAGGACACAGGAAGGGGAACATCACACACCGGGGCCTGTTGTGGGGGTTGGGGGAGGGGGGAGGGATAGCATTGGGAGATATACTTAATGTAAATGATGAGTTAATGGGTGCAGCACACCAACATGGCACATGTACACATATGTAACAAACCTGCACGTTGTGCACATGTACCCTAGAACTTAAAGTATAATAAAAAAATATATATATATGAAAAAAGAGACTTCATATACATAATAAGAATCTTGTTCTCCAAAACCCGTTATCTTAACCTAGAAACGTTTTTCTACTGCTTTCAGGTCTTTAGAAAAAAACTTAAGTCTTTCAACCAATTGCCAATCAGAAAATCTTTGAGTTCACCTGTAAGGTGTAATCCCCTGCCCATACTGACTCACTTCTAGCAGTTTTTCTTTATGGACCAAATCAACACGTTTCTCTCATGTATTGGTTGAAGTCTGTCTCTCTAAGACATTAAATTTAAGCTGCCATCAAGCCACTTTGGGAACATGTTCTCAAGATCTTCTGGGGTTGTGTCACAGGGCATGGTCCCCACATTTGGCTCAGAATAAATCTCTCCAAATATTTTGCAAAGTTGGCTTTTTCATCGATAGTTCTAACAGAACCTACTCTGTGGTCTTTGTTACAAGCATGATATTAATATAGTATTAGTTATATTAGTATTAGTTATAGCACATGTTGGCAATTTCTTATGAAGTTATGCATAGACTAACAATGGGATCAAGTGTAAATGTTTCAAAGCATTTATGCAGTTATTTCAAAATCTACATTCCACAGATTCTTCTATCAGGTTCATTATATCAGCTAATTATTTGTTTTATGATTTTTTTGCAATTTTTGCAGACAGATTCTTTCTTTTCTTGGCCTTTATTGTAGAAAATTGTGTGAAACTAGTCAGGGCTGCATTTGAAAGTCATTGTCACAGTGGCTCCCAGAATCTAAGTGCATTTCCTCTTCAGCCACCAGACACTCAGATTACTCTAATGACACCTTAATTTTGTTTTCTGCTTGGCATTGGGCCTTAAATTGTGTGTTCCAGAGAGACTCTGTCTTTCATCTCACCCAGGTCATCCCAGAGCCACATGGACCTGATAATTGTCAATGTGGTGGGAAGGGTCGCACAGAACGGGCACTCTCTGTCCTTCTGAGGGAGCCACACTCCAGGCAGACATCACAGTCCTGGCTGAGGACGTGTCCTTCCAAGTATCCCTGCCCCTCCTGCAGGTGTGATGCTGATCCATGCATCTTCCTCCCATTCCTGGGTAGAGGGTCTCGTTGTTTTTTCCCAGATCTTCTTCCAGCAGCCACTATGTCTTCCACTGATGTCTTCAGCTTCCTCTTTTCTGCCCTTCCCAGCAGGATGAGGCTATTTTTCCTGAGGGAAGAGAGAGGAGGTGGGAGATGAGGCTGTTATTCCTGAGAGAATGGACAGAGCTTTGGAGCTTTTCTTTCTTCCTTCCCAGATTCTATGAGTTCCTCCAGTGCCTGTAACACAGAGGTGTTAGTGGCTTTGCCCCTGCATGTTAATTCTTTGGTCATGTAGTGGTGGTGAGGGAGGTGGGTCTGGATGCATTTCAGCCACAGCTGCTGTTCCGTTTCCCACACAGAACCATCTCGGGAGGGAGAGGTTGGAGATTTTTCTGATGTGTCCTCAATCCTGGCAGAAAAGGTTTCAATAGCAATAGGATTCCCTCAGTCGTATGTCCTCTGAGAATAAACAATAACTTCTTTATTATACTCAATTTTAAACAATCCAATGAATATGTCTAATTTAATTTTGCATTAGATTATATGACATTTGCAGGCCTCTGCCCCAGATAAGGTCATATTCTCTTCTGTTTGTTCCTGCAAGTCACTGATTTTCTCAAGATGTAAGGTCTCTTGATTGTCCTATAACATCAATAATCTGATTTATTAAAGAAAATGTGTTAATTTGCATGTCAGTAAAGTTAATTGTTGTTGTAAAAATAATATATTTTATGGGATGCCTACATCTCCCAGCTGAGTAGAAGCTTTATTTGTAATACTCAGAAACTGGAAATTATGCAAATATTAAGGAGATTTCTAAATAAATACTATGGTTGCTGTCTTAAACTGGAATGCTCTTCCTCATCAGAATCAACACATTCTTTATACACAACCAAATTACTGACTCACAAGTAATTATGCTGTGCAAGAAGCCACACAAATGAAATTGAAAATGTAAGATTTCACTTTAACAAAATCTCGAAAAATAGATCTGAATTAACAAAGATGAGAGGTTGACTCAGTATGGTGAGAGGGAAATGACTGGGAGGCAGGAATGAGAGGAACACAAGGAAGCTTTTAAGTGTAATTCATCGTTGTTTTTATTGTATTTTGGATGCACAGGTGAGCACATGAGAAATTACATTTTTTTTTTCCCTTTGGAGACATGGTCTTGCTTTGTCATCCAGGCTGGAGCTCAGTGGTGAGATCACAGCTCTCTGCAGCCTCAGACCCTGGGTCTCCAGCAATCCTCCTCCCTCTGCCCTATGTATGCACCACCATGCTCAGCTTCAGTGCTTACTACACTGCACACTTTAATTATGCAATATTTATTATACAGCAATAATGCCTCAATAAGGGTATCAGAAATAAGTGAATAGATAATTTGTTAGATAAAGATTGATGGAAAGACAGACACTGACATGAGAAATGTATGACACTCAAGAAAATAAAACTGTAGGAAACGTGCTTTTCTTCACATTTGTTAGGTAATCACAACAGTGCGTACACATCACACCATATTCTTGTTACAGAGAAAAGGTTCTGCAAACCTCAGTAGGTGCGACGCCCTGTGTGCTGTGCTTAGTTCAGGGAGCAGTCAGGCTCGGTGGTGAGAAGCACAGGCCCAGATACCCAGGTCACCCTGACCAAATGTGAACTCTAGGGAGATTGAACAACCGATCTGTGATTTTGCTGGTAATTTTTCATCTGTTACATGGAAATAACATTGATACTACATACCATGGTTTCACTGCATATGAAAAAATAAAAGATGATTTGTTCTAACTTTAAACATATGCACTTTCTGTTGATCTACTGTACCTCAATAGAACTGTTTTAAAATAAAAATTACAAAATTATAAGATTTATAGGTTTTAAGGTTTTATCACAGAGCAGATTTACCATAAGAAACCACAATTTCCCAAATGCTATCAATATCACAAATCTCCCCAGGACACTGTCACGTGCTCTGAGCCCCACTCTCTCCAAAGGCCTCTAACCAGAGAGCTTACTATATAGTAGGAGACATGGAAATAGAGCCCTCCCTCTGCTTATGAAAACCAGCCCAGCCCTGACCCTGCAGCTCTGGGACAGGAGCCCCAGCCCTGGGATTTTCAGGTGTTTTCATTTGGTGATCAGGACTGAACACAGAGGACCACCAAGGAGTCATGGCTGAGCTGGCTTTTTCTTGTGGCTATTTTAAAAGGTAATTCATGGAGAAATAGAAAAATTGAGTGTGAGTGGATAAGAGTGAGATAAACAGTGGATTTGTGTGGAAGTTTCTGACCAGGTTGTCTCTTTGTTTGCAGGTGTCCAGTGTGAGGTGCAGCTGGTGGAGTCTGGGGGAGGCTTGGTAAAGCCTGGGGGGTCCCTGAGACTCTCCTGTGCAGCCTCTGGATTCACCTTCAGTGACTACTACATGAACTGGGTCCGCCAGGCTCCAGGGAAGGGGCTGGAGTGGGTCTCATCCATTAGTAGTAGTAGTACCATATACTACGCAGACTCTGTGAAGGGCCGATTCACCATCTCCAGAGACAACGCCAAGAACTCACTGTATCTGCAAATGAACAGCCTGAGAGCCGAGGACACGGCTGTGTATTACTGTGCGAGAGACACAGTGAGGGGAAGTCAGTGTGAGCCCAGACACAAACCTCCCTGCAGGGGTCCCCAGGACCACCAGGGGGCGCCCGGGACACTGTGCACGGGGCTGTCTCCAGGGCAGGTGCAGGTGCTGCTGAGGCCTGGCTTCCCTGTCATGGCCTGGGCGGCCTCGTTGTCAAATTTCTCCAGGGAACTTCTCCAGATTTACAATTCTGTACTGACATTTCATGTCTCTAAATGCAAAACTTTTTTGTTCTTTTTGTATTTTTGTTTTTGTAACAGGAGGACACACCCTCACCTCCACAGAAGCCACAGTGTCACTTTGGGGGCAGATGATCCTTCTGTGGTCAGCAGGATGAAAGTTCCGAGGAATCTCAGGGGAACCCGAAGAGTGTTTGCCAGTTAGACTCAGGGCAGCGACCTCCACAGGAATCTCTGATTAGAACAGGCTTTGAGTTCTGATAGGAGCCAAGAGAGACGCTCACCCAGGGTCAGAGTCCTTAAAACCTTGTGGTTTTCACAGCAATCCCCCCTGGTCTTGTAAAACTGTGTACATATGACTCAGACTGATTCACTTGACCCCCTTTCTGCTAATCCATTTTCCTTCTCTGCATACTTGATTCTCACAGTTCCCTTTCTTCTTCTCTTTCCTGAAAACAGAGGATGTGTTTTCTGTAGTCAAAATCCCAGAGATCAGGTCTGCAGGACCTGGGTAGGCTGAGGGGACTTTCTCACTCACCATAGGCTGATGACACTCCTGCTGTATTTTGTGTGTGGAGGTGTTTGGAAAACGAAATGAACATTAGTCATGAAGGGAATAATACTAGTTTTCTCCAAAGGGATGTGGATGTAGAGCTGATCTTGTGCTTCTCACACTGTCACAGAATTTATGCTCTCCCCTGTGACTTTAGGAGAGCTGAGGATGGACACTCCATTGTGCTGTGAGCTCTGGTAATAGTAATTATAGGGTCTGGCTAGGCAGCCTAAGGTCAATACTGCTGGCCTTCGGGAAAGGCAGGCTGGGATTCCTAGGAAAACCTGCATCTGCCGTCCAGCATGGAGTCCCATCGTCTTCTGTTATGCTCTGATTGAATCAGGCCCACCTAGGTTATCTAGAACACTCTTCGTGACTTGGGCAAAATTAGTGGCAGGCTCTACTAAGACCTGCATTATGCCATGGGAGCAACACCTAGGCTAGTGTGTGATTGAGTAGGTGAGACTGTGGTCTAGTCAAGGTGGCAGGGAAAATTGTTGCCATTATTATGTTTTATTTTATATTTGGCAATACAGTCATGCTCATATTACAAATACCTTTCTACATTTTTCGTGTCAGAAGCTTTTGAACAAGAGCAACTTCATCTTGAATAAGGGCTAGAAAAAATAAGACTGAGACCTGCTGGGCTACATTTCCAGTAAGCTAAGGCATCCTTAGTCACAGGATGAGATAGGAGGTCTGCACACGATCCAGGTTATAAAGACCTTGCTGGTAAAGGTTACAGTAAAGAAGCTGGGCAAAGCCCACCAAAACCAAGATGGCAACAAAAGTGATTTCTGTTCATCCTCACTGCTCATTATAATGCCTTAACATGCTGAAAGCCACTCCCTTCAGCGCCATGATGGTTTACACATGCCATGGCAACATCAGGCAGGTTCCCTAGATGGTGTACAAAGGAGGGAGGAAACCTCAGCTTCGGGAATTGCCCAGGGGACTCATGAATAATCCATCCGTTGTGAGAAATACATTCATCCCTTTGAGAGAAAATGCACAGGGGGTGGAATGAGGCTGGGAAGCTGATGGCACATGGTGGAAGCCTGTCCCTGAGTGAAAGAGAGAGGGAAGCTGGATTGGGTGGAAGGTCCCTATATTTCTGTGCTGTGCAAGGAAGGTGCAAAATATAATTGAGTCTTGTGCAAGTCAGTGCTGCCTCTCAGGGGATCCCCATGACTCCCAGAAATAATGGCTCTGCTTAGGAATCCCTGCAGAGTCACTCCTTTCATTAGAGTAGACCACAGGACATGGGCCTCAGCACCTGCCATGCCACAGATGTCAGAAAGCAGCTGCTGGGAACCTGACCCACCTGCATTTTGCTGCCTGTAGGAGGAGGGAGGGACGTGCATTCTCAGGGCCAACACGCTGTTTTTGGATTTTTATAGAGAACACCTGCTTTTACTTTACTTTTTGGAAAAATATATGAACAAATGTGCACCTGCAAACAATTGTAATTTTCACATTTATTTTAATTACATTTGTTTATAATTGTGCATGAGGTCCTGGTGCAGAGTTGAGTTTTTCATGGGAATTGTTCCAAGAATCAAGAACATCCATTTTCCACTTTCACTGGTTTTTCCCCATGTGCAGAGACCTTGAGTAGAGCACATCTGGCCCTTATCCACACTATCTCTTGTGTCCCCGGGAAAGAGCAGGGATTTGCCTGACTGCAGAATCTGGGGTAGGAGTCTGCACACCTCTGAGCCTGCAGAGAAGCCCAGAGAAGTTTTATGGAGTCAGAGAGCTTTCCCGTGTGGGGAACCTCTAGCTTCCTCACTCTCAGAGATTGCTGGTCAGCTGTAATTGAGGGGTTAAGAATTAGAGCACCTGGAAGCCTGTCTCATCACAGCTCCATTATGTAACTTACCACCATTAGACTGCAGGTAATAACTCAATCTTGATTTTTCTGACCCCATCTTATTCATTTGTAAGTTTGGTTATAGAAAATGTTACATTTTAGTTTCTGATTCAAACCTCAGAATTTTGTGAATTCATCAGGAATAATTAAAAATGTGTCCAGTTTTTGGGAAATGTAAATTAATGTCCATACTGTTTATGTGTGTGTGCGTGTGTGTGTGGGGGGGGACATGTCAGTCACTTACACCCCAGTAAAAATGATTCCTTAATTATATAGTCGAACTGCAATTAGATTTGCTGAAAATTGTCTACAGTAATTTCTGTGAAGCTGACCTTGCCACCTTGCTGTGAGGTGTGAGGATGCTCAGTGCACAGGTGAGGTCTCACAGGAGAGATCCAAGGTTCAGCCCCCAGGACTGGCTGAGCTCCTGGCTTGGAGCCAGACATAGGACTGGGCATCTCAGAAGCAGATCCCCTGGCCCTCCTTTATCTGGGCTGTATGGGCAGCAGAGGACAAGCAGAAGAAACTCAGAACTCAGCCAAGACAGAGCCCCATTTAGGAGCAGGTGCATCAAGGAACCAGCCAGAGAACCTCTGACTACAATCTAGGGTTGTCTTCTTTTGCTTCACAGCATCCAACCCTAAGGAGACCACCCACTATATCATCTGTAACTCAGAACTTTCTTGTTACAAAGGAAAACACAAATGAATATAACTCTGCAGTTAACTTCTTGAACCTGGATTGATGAGTTTCCATGGCCTCATGAGCACAGAGACCACATCCAGTGCAGGTGCAGAGCAAGGCTGCAACAGTCAGCCTGCTGCTCCCTCAGGAGTCTTCCAATTCCCTTGTCCAAAGCATCCGCTCATTCATGGGCTGAGAAAAGGGAAGTCATTCATGCAGTCTACTCTCTCCACAGAACTGACGGGGCACAAGGACAACATCGATTTTTCATGGAACATGCCTCTAGGAATGCAGCTGTGTGCACACACACTGCTAAGCACACACTTCTTTACATAATTACTTGTAACTGTATTTTCTTATTTATTCTCTCCAATTTTTTTACACAAATTCATCACTTTTCCCCATAATCAAAGAGGATTTTGATCAGAATGCTTGTGGGGAGCCCCTTGCCTGCCAGATGCCCAACATCACTACTCTTGAAGGGAGGAGGAACGGCAGCTCTCTTGATTTCTACTCTAATCCTCTAGGACTAAAACCAGAAGGTTGCATGTCCAGTGCGGGAGCATCGAAGAAGATCCTGTCTGTAGAAGCAGGAGCGTCAAGACTTGACTGAGAGCCATGGTGCTGAAATGAGATAGATTCCCTGATGGAGAGCACACGTGGACCCCCACACCTGAGGGCTCACTGCTCCTCACCACAGATGCACTCCCCTACTGAGTCCTGAGACCTGAGTGCACCCCATAGAGTAGGGCTCAGATGAGGGGATGCAAATCTCCACCAGCTCCACCCTCCCCTGGGTTCAAAAGACGAGGACAGGGCCTCGCTCAGTGAATCCTGCTCTCCACCATGGACATACTTTGTTCCACGCTCCTGCTACTGACTGTCCCGTCCTGTGAGTGCTGTGGTCAGGTAGTACTTCAGAAGCAAAAAATCTATTCTCTCCTTTGTGGGCTTCATCTTCTTATGTCTTCTCCACAGGGGTCTTATCCCAGGTCACCTTGAAGGAGTCTGGTCCTGCGCTGGTGAAACCCACACAGACCCTCACACTGACCTGCACCTTCTCTGGGTTCTCACTCAGCACTAGTGGAATGCGTGTGAGCTGGATCCGTCAGCCCCCAGGGAAGGCCCTGGAGTGGCTTGCACGCATTGATTGGGATGATGATAAATTCTACAGCACATCTCTGAAGACCAGGCTCACCATCTCCAAGGACACCTCCAAAAACCAGGTGGTCCTTACAATGACCAACATGGACCCTGTGGACACAGCCACGTATTACTGTGCACGGATACCACAGAGACACAGCCCAGGGCGCCTCCTGTACAAGAACCCAGGCTGCTTCTCAGTGGTGCTCCCTCCCCACCTCTGCAGAACAGGATAGTGTGGCTGAGATGCCATTTCCTGCCAGGGCCTGCGTTTCCCATCCCCATCTGACTCAGAGCCTTGTTTTCCTCCCTCTTCTTTACTAATAAATGGCATGTCCCCTGTTAGTGGTTCGTGCAAGCAGAAGCTGTATCCTGTTTGACAAAGATTCAGCATGAAAGGTTCCTGTTACCTAAAAAAAAATAGACAGATGAGACTTAATTAACCTAAATAATTTTTTTCACAACAACAGAGTGAATACACAATTTGCAGAATGACAGAAAACTTTTGCACACTTTGTCTGTGACAGGGAACTAATATGAAGAATTTGCAAGGAACTCAAACAACTCTACAACAACAACAGCAACGAGAACCAAATAACCCCATTAAAATGAGCAAAGAACATGAGTAGACATTTTCAAAAGAACACATAGAAATGGATAATAAATATATAAACAATGCTCAACATCACTAACCATCAGGGAAATGCAAATTAAAACCACAATAAGATATCATCTTCCACCAGTCACAATGACTGTTACTAAAAACTCAAATAATATCAGATGTTGCTGAGGATGGGAAATAAAGGCAACTCTTAGACATTGTTGATGAGGATGTAGACGAGTACAACCTCTGTGGAAAATGGTATGGAGATTTCCCAGAAAACTAGAAATAGAACTGCCATTTGGTCCAGCAATCCCACTACTGGGTAACTACCCAAAGGAAAATAAACTATTATTTCAAAAAGATACCCACCTTCTATGCTTACCATAAAACTACTCTCAATAGCACATATGTCAAACTGAGTGTCTGCCAACAAATGATTTTATAAAAGAATATAGCACGTATGCACAATTCAATACTAGTCAGTCACAATAAGGAATGAAACTGTGTCTTTTGCAGCAAGATGCATAGAAGTGGGGGACAATACAATTAGTGAACTAACTCACAAACAGAATGTCACATGTCACATGTTATTACTTGTAAGTGGGAGGTAAACAGTGTGTACACAAGGATTTGTAGAGAGAAATTATACACATTGGAGACTTAGAAGGATGGGTGGGCAGAAGGTGGGAGCATGATGAGTCATTACATAACAGGCACAATATAAAATAATTAAGAATTGACCAATGATCTTAAAATTAAAATGTAGAATATGATCAATAAATGAACTTGATATTAGTTGACCTCATTAAATTTAAAAACTTTTTCTACTCAAGTGACTGTAAGAAAATGAATGCCCGGTTACAGATGAGAAACTGTTTGCGAGTCATATAACCACCAATGTAATTATAATAAGAACCTTCAGAACTCAACTGTGAATAAAAAAGAAACAACTGATGGATAAATTAGGCAAGGGTTTCTACAGACATTTCGTCAGAGAAGATGTGCAGATGACACTGAAGCATATAAACAGGCTCTCAACAGGATTTTCCATTAGAGAAATTCAAATCAAGCCCACAAAGAGACACCACTGTACACTTTTCAAAATGGCTGAAATTAAGAAGAAATACAGATAACATCAATGCTGGTGAGCATACCAGGTTGCTAGAGGCTAAAACATTGCTAACGGGAATGCAAAATGAAACAGATACTCAGGAAAATAATTTTTAGTTTTCTCTAAAATCAAACATACCCTTAACACCTGAATATTTGCATCAGAGAAAAACAATCTTACATTCACGCATAACTTCTATTCAAATATTCAAGATATCGTGTGTATGTGTGTTAGAAAGTAAAAATAACATAAATGTCTCAAAATTTGAATAGGTGAAGAACTAGGAAGCATCTATAAATTGAATACCACCAGCAATAAAAAAAAAAACAAGTGACCAATACATAAACCATTGCAGGTGAACTCCAGACATTGTGCTAAGTGAGAGAAGCCAGTCTCAAAGATCAAAGGGACACAGCTGTAAGCACCACGGTCATCCTCAGGTGTCAGTGGTTTGGGCTGGACTTTCTGTGTCTCTTTCCTGACCAGACCCAGATGTTGAGCTCCACCACTTGCAGATGGAAAATCCTATTTTCAACCATGCAGTGAGGTTTCAACTACTTCACAGACTGAACGACACAAACACGGGCTCCTTTGAACAGCGTCCGGCATTTGTTCCAACCACAAGAGAACGTCCCTCAGCTCTCCCCCCTCCTCGGTTCTCTCCTGCAAGCCAGCAGCCCTGCAGTTTAGTCTGCATCTCCCATGCATCCACCCATCTCCCTCCAAGCACCTTCCCCCACACCCTCCACTGTTTCTGAGATCACAGGCAGGCTTTGAACTTTTCCGCATTCTGTTGTTATTGAAGTTAGGATGTTTAGGACCAACTTAAGGATCATATTTTATGACTGAATTCCAGTGCCCCTTCTCTCCTGGGACAGAGTGCATAACCAAGTTTCTGCAGGTGGAGACGAAGTTGAGCTTTTTTCTTCCTCAGCCTAGGAGATGAGCGCTAATTGGAGGGTTGGGCAGAAGCTTCCCACCATCCCAGCACTTTGGTTCTGGTGGGGCGGAATCGGTGCCATAGGGCAGAGCTAGAAACCGCGGACTGAATGTTCCCAGTGGCACTGGACCCAGGGCAGAGCCTCCATCCACGAGTGGGGCTCTATGGAAGAAGTGAGTCTCTGGCTCTCAGTAGCTCTCGTCCAGCACTGAACCTCAGCATCATGTGCTGTGTGCAGGGTCAGAGGGCCAACGTACTGGCCCCTGGGAAAGCGTTTCCTCTGGTGGGAGTTGGTAGAAGGTGTCCTGTCTTCTTGGCTGCATCTGTCCGCAGTGGAGTTTACATCATGCTGAGCTGGGATGTGGAAGGAAGGAAGAGCATCTTAGATCAAATATGATGACTGGCCTTACTGAGTTTTCTAGATTTTCCTGAATAAATGTTTCTTCACTCACTGTGTGCTGTTAGAGTCTTTCCAAACCTGTAATTTCCCAAAATAATTTTCACTGGTCTCATGAGGGCATGGATTCATTGAGCCCCTCATGCTGTCAAAGAGAAATAGAACTGTTTTTTTTTTCACTTCATAGCGAACATCCATGGGTTATCAAATAATGGGCTGGCTTTTCTTCCAACACTTTACAGACACCATCAATTTTCTTCTTGCTTATAAGGTTTTAACCAGAAGAATGCTGTCATGGTCTTTTCTGTTCTTTTGGAAGGAATGCCCCCTCTACTCACCTCCACTTGTCTGCCTGTATTTCTATTTGTCTTTGGTTTTCAACAATTTTAATAAGATTTACCTAAATGTGTGTGGGGGGAGCATGGGGTGTTATTCTGCTGTTCTGTGTTCTCTGAGATGCATGGATTCACCATTTACTCTGTCTCCATTTTTGTGAAAACAATTAGAAAAAATGTCAGTGTGAGCCTAGAAACAAGCCTCCCTGAAGTGGGCACAGGACCACTTGGGGGCGCACAGGACCCACTGAGCACAAGAGCCAACCTCAGGGCAGGTGCAGATGGGGTTTAAGGTCTGGTTTCCTGTCAGCCCTGTGGCTTCCTCTCCATGAAACAGTTTCCTTTGTGGCATATCTCTGGATTCCTTATCCTGTTCTTCCTGTGAAGTCTCTGAAGAAGAAACATTTGTCGTAACAAGAGAAAAACTTTCTCACATGCACCAAAGGCAGAGTCACCTACAGTCACTTACTCCTGTTTCTCAATGTCAATAAGTTATCAATGCTTCTGAAGTTAATCAGCTAAATCTATAAAGGTGCAGTGTTTAACTCAGCATTGCAGCCCAGCTCAACAGAACTCCAAAGGCCAGCCAGCAGCAGCCAGGATAATGAGCATGCTGGGCATTGGGGCAGAAGGAGTTAGCATCCAGTGCAAGAGAAGAAAGCCCCCGTGGTGGTCATTGTCAGGACTCCAATCCCACAGTTCCAATTGTAGGTGATGCCAGGCAAAGGAAGAGAGACCCCACCAATGGTTAGTGTGGATGTCGAGTTTGATGTTTCCACACTCACACTCCAGGTGAATATGAAAAGATTTATTAGCTCTATTTCTGAGGTGTCTGCTGAGAGCAGCACAGTCCTCTCAAGAAATTACAGATTGGAATTTCCTCAGTAGAGCAGGAAAGGAGGCTGGCTCAGGGCTTTATAATGATTTGGTGGTGGGGTCGGCGGGGGGGGGGGGGGCGTTTCTACTCAGGAGAAGGAGCTTGTGTGATTTAAACCTCACACTGACATCACATGAGGGAGCTTCCATGATTTCTTACTAGATTTCCCATGTGTGGGGGACAAGGATGAGGGAGAATAAACCTTAATTCATCAGCATCAAGGCACCAAAAATAGGACCTGACACTTTATTCTCCCTAGCAGCTTAAGAAAATGAGTGAAAAAGAGAGATAAGAGTCCACCCATGTGCTGAAAAGCATAGCTCTTGGTAAAGACGAGAAAAAGGCACTCCTACGAAGAAGGGGTTGGGCAGAAGCTTTATGCTGAAGGGTTTGGCTAAAGAGACATAATCAACAGGTTACAGGAGGGGCTACTGATGTTCATGGAGGTGGTCCTCACACATGCATACTGAACAAACATGTCTGTAACGTATGACCCCTGTTCACTTACCAGTGGAGACTTAGCATTTAAATTCATTCCAGTCAGGCCCTATGTGCAAACAGCAGAAGCAGAGACACAAAGGTACTCAGGGTGCAGCCTCTGTGAACGGCCAGAGCCAGGCCATGGTCAGCGGTCTCGGATTAGGAGAAAGTTCCTGATATCACTGTAGTGTTCAATCAAAGCTGGGGTTATGGTTTGTGGAACAGGGGTCAGTTCATCAGGGGGTGGGCTGCAATTGTCTTCATAGTGCTTGTCTCAGTGCCGGTGCTTACTGAGCCACTAGAGAAAAAGGTTTAATTGAGCTTCTTTAAAATCAACATTTTGAATTATTTATCAGACGTTTCAAATATGTCATGTTGTTTAGATTCTATTGCTGGAGAGTTAAGGTGATATTTGGGGTTTTGTAACTCTGTTTTTTCATACTTCCTGAATTGCTTATCTGTTTGCTTTTCATTAGCTAAACTATCGCTTCTTCTTATTTTTTAATTCATTCTGATTTTGATGAATATTTAATTCCCTTTAGAATGTGAATATAATGTACATTGTGTGGGTATTTTGATTTTGGTTCTTGGTTTACTTAGTGGCAAAGACTCTGTAAGAGTTCCTTGTCTATAGATAGCCATTATTTAGTGGCTTTCTGAAATGGTGGTTTTAGTACCAAAGTACTGGACTTGTGAGTAGGCTCACTGCCCCCTGCAGGTCCTAGATAGTGGAGGCCTCAGGAACTGTTTCTCATTTGGAATGCCTTTGTTTCAGCAGATTTTGTGTTGGGTTGTTAAGTTCACCCTCCACATTAGTAGATGTCCTTACAGATTAGAGCTGACTCTGGTAGAAGCAGTTGAGTGCATGCTTGATATCTGTGCACAGGGAGAAGCTCTCTGTTGCCTCAGGCGATGGACTGGTCTATGAAATGCACAGTGACCTGAGTTCCCTGCTCAGCCCCTGAGAGGTGGACCAAGCTGGACACACATGAGCCACCGAGCCTGGCAAGCAAAAGCGCCAGCCTTGATGGAAATGGCGAGCTGAGCGGCATCTACTCAGTGTGGTTTCTTTTGTTATTAAGAGCTTTAGTGTGGTGGCTGTTTCAAATTCCCGTTGTAGTAGTAATATACTGGGTATGTGAGCAGGCCCGTGGTCTTTTGCGGGGTTGGAATCACCGAAGTAATGAGAAGCTAATCTCATTTTCAACTGCTGTACACTGGTGGTATTGAGTTTGTATGAGGTCATGCAGTTTGAACGTCAGGCCAGTAGGTGGTGCTCGCAGGTAAGAGCCGGCTATGGTGGCAGCAGAAGGGTTTATGCTTTACTGGTGATTAAAGTGGGAAACTTGGCGTGTTCCAGATCTTAGAGAAAAGATTTTTAGTTATTTCTCATTCAACCTGATACTACCTGAAAGTCTCTCGAATGTAACTTTTATTTTGTCGAGATGGGTTCTTTCTATACCCATTTTTTATGTTTTTTTTGTGAAAGGATGTTGTTTCATCAAATGCGTTTTCAGCATCAATTGAAAAAAGTTATATGTGGATTAAAGATCAAAATGTAAAACCTAACACTATAAAACCTCTGGATAATAACATAGGAAACAGAATTTAGGAGGTAAGAACTGACAAAGGTTTTATAATGAAAATGCTAGAAGTAGTTGCAACAAAATTGAAAATTGACAAATGGGACCTAAGTAAATTAAAGAACTTCTGTACAGCAAAAGACACTATCGACAGAGTAAACAGGCAACCTACAGAATGGGAAATAAAATATTTGCAGCCTATACATCTGACAAAGGTCCGACACTTAGTATATACATGGAAATTTAACAAACATACAAGAAATAAAAAGTGACCAAAGGACATGAAAAGACACTTCAAAAAAGACCTACATGTGGCCAACAAGCATAGGAAAAAATGCTGAATATCACTATCATTAGAGAAATACATATCAAAACCTCAATGAGGTACCGTCTCACATCAGTCAGGATGGCTAATCTTAAAAAAAAAATAACAGATTTTTAAGGTTACAGAAAAAAGGGGAAATTTATACACTTTTGGCGGGAATATAAATGAGTTCAACCATTGTGGAAAGCAGTGTGGTGATCCCTCCAATAACCTAAAACAGAAGTTTCATTTGACCCAACAATCCTACAACTGGACATATACCTAAAGGAATATAAACATGTAGGTTCACTGCAGCACTATCCACAATAGCATAGACATGGAATTTACCTAAATCCCCATCACTGGCAGAATGATAGAGAAAAATGTGGTACATACAACCATGGAATACTATGCAGCTAAGGAAAGAATGAAACTATGTCCTTTGTAGGAACATGATGGAACTGGCAGTCAATACTCTTAGAAAACTAATTCAGGAACAGAAAACCAGATATTATATATTCTCCCTTATTTGTTGGAGATAAATAAAAGCAAATATTCTTCCAGGGCCTGAGTCTTCCTTATTCAACAAGTCATTCTAAATTAAGTGTTCAGCAAGTTGCTGATACTCATCTAAATATTCTATTTCATCTGGGCCACTTACATCACTCAAAAAGCAATGAGAGCTATATTTCTAAGGGGGGTTCTAGGATAATAAATACCTGAATAGTGAGAATATGAAGGATATGGAAACTGGGCCACTTATATCACTCAAAAAGGAATGAGAGCTATATTTATAAGGGGGGTTCTAGGATAATAAATACCTGAATAGTGAGAATATGAAGGATATGGAAACTGGGCCACTTATATCACTCAAAAAGCAATGAAAGCTATATTTACAAGGGGGGTTCTAGGATAATAAATATCTGAATAGTGAGAATATGAAGGATATGGATGGTTTTTTTTTAACTCAATGGGCACATAACTGTGGGAGATACTATATTCCTATGAAGAAGGTATTCAGACTTCAGAGATAAGTAATGTTTCCTACATTGTGCTTGTGACTTGGAAGCAGTGGATTGAAGAGTGTGATAAGTGCCCAGACCAAGCAGAACAGAAATCAGCATGTAAAGATGATGATCTATGGATATGATCTAAAACCATGTAAATACTTCAAATAATTCTATTTAATGCAGTTTGAAATAAAACACAAACTTATTCAAAATACAAATTACTTGGTAATTATTTTGGGAGCTATGAGTTCACCAAGAAACTCAAATTCCTATTTCTATTTCAACCCCTGATTCCTACTGTCAATGGGAGGGAAGTCTCAGAACCAATCACACATCAGACGGCAAATCTGTCAACCAAGAGTCTTTCCACTGAAGGACCTGGGAGGTCAGGACCCTCAGGAAAGTGCTGGGGACCCTGTCTTGGGAGTGCCCAGCAGATCTCAGAACTCTCCATGGGTCCTGCTGGACACTCATGTAGGGTAACGAGTGGCCACCTTTTCAGTGTTACCAGTGAGCTCTGAGTGTTCCTAATGGGACCAGGATGGGTCTAGGTGCCTGCTCAATGTCAGAGACAGCAATGGTCCCACAAAAAACCCAGGTAATCTTTAGGCCAATAAAATGTGGGTTCACAGTGAGGAGTGCATCCTGGGGTTGGGGTTTGTTCTGCAGCGGGAAGAGCGCTGTGCACAGAAAGCTTAGAAATGGGGCAAGAGATGCTTTTCCTCAGGCAGGATTTAGGGCTTGGTCTCTCAGCATCCCACACTTGTACAGCTGATGTGGCATCTGTGTTTTCTTTCTCATCCTAGATCAGGCTTTGAGCTGTGAAATACCCTGCCTCATGCATATGCAAATAACCTGAGGTCTTCTGAGATAAATATAGATATATTGGTGCCCTGAGAGCATCACATAACAACCACATTCCTCCTCTGAAGAAGCCCCTGGGAGCACAGCTCATCACCATGGACTGGACCTGGAGGTTCCTCTTTGTGGTGGCAGCAGCTACAGGTAAGGGGCTTCCTAGTCCTAAGGCTGAGGAAGGGATCCTGGTTTAGTTAAAGAGGATTTTATTCACCCCTGTGTCCTCTCCACAGGTGTCCAGTCCCAGGTGCAGCTGGTGCAGTCTGGGGCTGAGGTGAAGAAGCCTGGGTCCTCGGTGAAGGTCTCCTGCAAGGCTTCTGGAGGCACCTTCAGCAGCTATGCTATCAGCTGGGTGCGACAGGCCCCTGGACAAGGGCTTGAGTGGATGGGAGGGATCATCCCTATCTTTGGTACAGCAAACTACGCACAGAAGTTCCAGGGCAGAGTCACGATTACCGCGGACAAATCCACGAGCACAGCCTACATGGAGCTGAGCAGCCTGAGATCTGAGGACACGGCCGTGTATTACTGTGCGAGAGACACAGTGTGAAAACCCACATCCTGAGAGTGTCAGAAACCCTGAGGGAGAAGGCAGCTGTGCCGGGCTGAGGAGATGACAGGGGTTATTAGGTTTAAGGCTGTTTACAAAATGGGTTATATATTTGAGAAAAAAAGAACAGTAGAAACAAGTACATACTCTAATTTTAAGATAAATATTCCATTCAAGAGTCGTAATATAAGCCAAATTCACAGAGTGGAAAAGGCCACACTCTATAACGTTGATACAAACATTCCATGAAGGTGCTACTGTGAACAAGTTTTCAAATTGGATGAATACATGATTTGGAGCAAGGTTATTTGATCATGTGGTGAGACTAAGAATGATTCTTAAAAAGTGCCAAAAGTTTCCTTCAAATGTTTCTGTCACTCCTTATCATAAAGTTTATTTTACAGCAGTTTTAGGATTACAAAGAAATTGCACAGGAGGCGTGAGAATTCCCATGACTCCCTGCCCTACACAGGCACAGCCTCCTCCACTACGACCATCCTGCACCGCAGTCACAAATCAGTTACAATGGAGGAATCTCCAAGGACGCTTGGTTCTTTCTTTTTCTGGTGATCTCCTAATATAACAAGCCTAAGTATCTCAAGATTCCACGGTTTTTTCAGTGTTTTCTAGAACTGATATTAGTCAGAGGGAAAGTGGGTAAGGCTATTACTATTTGAACTCTTTCTTCCAAAATCCACAAAATATATATTAATTTAGAGCTTATCTTACTTCTGGTTTACAATGCTCCTTCCCAGAGAGTAAGATTTTTAAGCTTTTAGAGGCCAGTTCATGTCTCTAAAAGACCAGAAAGTTCTGGGGAATCCCATAATGAACATCCTTTCATTGGAATTGGAGACCCTGGCAATGAGAGATTCCATGTATAATGCCCTAGAGTTGGATTAGGTGCACTGTGAGCTCTTGGGTGGTGAGTCTGAGTAAGGTGGTTTGTGCAGCAAATGCAAACACATTCATGGGACCCAGGTAGGAACAAAAGCTTCCCTCTGCAAAGGGAGTGTGCACCTGAAGCAGCCCTCACAGAGGTGGGCACTGCTTGCCCTTGATGAGTGCACATTAGCCAGAGGCATGATCATGATTGGTCTTGCAGATAAAGAGCACCACTGAGGTCATAGGTTATGAAAATGTTTGTCATCCTCCAGCTGAGCAAGTCCATCTGCTTGTTTGTGGGTGTCAACTCCATAGAGGGTGCACTTTGGGAGATGACAAGATGCGCACAAACCTGCTCTCACTAATTATCCACTACCACACACTCAAGACCAACCTGTGCTCCGGAAAGGAATACGTGCCTGTGGAAATAGACAGAGCTTAAGTATTTTGTAACCTGGTGAACATACTGCCCAAAGCCACACGTTTCAGGAAGATTAGCTCAGAAATGTTCACCAATTGACTGAAGGGCAGTGGTGGGTGAGGTGATGGGACAGCCTCAGGGCTGCACATGAGGAGGGCTCCCTCCCCCATGCAGGCTTTTCCTCCAGGAGCTGCATCAGGACCTCAAGGAAGATCAGGGAGAATTCTGAGAACACCCTTCTGTGGAGCTGCCTAGAGAAGAAGAATAAATATGAAAAAATACAACTCTGAGTAATGCATGGATATTTGTTCATGAAAACTCTCTCTGAAAGCTTGTGAAGGTCTCGAAATACCCCTGATTAGCTGAAGACAAACATTTAAACCCTCCTTCCACAGGGAGTTCAAGCAGGCTGGATGTGTCCTTCTATGGATGATCTTCCCCAACCCCTTCCTCTTCCCAGCTCATCCCTGGCTCTCTGTGTAAACAGTTCTCATCAGTGGAATGTGGTTGATGAAGTGACGTCTTCAATTTCCTCATCTTCTTGGTGGTCATGTTATTTTTTTTCATCTGAGGGTTAAAAACTCACCTGCATGCAGCACATGACAGGCTAAAATCTCTTGTGGACAAAACGGTAACAAAGGCACCCACCAGGGTTGAGCATCCGTGTTGCTGACAACGACCACCAGGGGTCAACGTCCTCTTCACAATCCTGTGTCAGAGCATCACTGGAATGATTTCATTAGCAACTTCCCAGGAGAATCAGCTTAAAAAATACTTGTCCCATTTTCCATGCAGATATAACCCATCCCTTTTCCTGAAGAAACAGAGCTCAATACTAAATACACTGAATGTTGTTTTTGCTGGTTTTGTAAGTTTGTGACTTTATCACTTTCTAATTTCTGAGTTAGGTGGACCACTCTACATATTTCTCTCATGGGTGTGACCAGCCTTCTGGATGTCAAATATAACTGACTTTGTTCGTGTAAATGTCAACACAAGCTCTTCATGGTTTCGGTGCTCACTGACTACTCTAAACTTACACAATGTGTTTCTTTATTAGCTTTGTTTTCTGGTATCTCTACGTGGCTTATTCATCACGCCCATTTTATGTTACTTGTACAGGTAATTGATTGTTATTTTTAAAATTTACTATTGCTTACTTTAATTAAATAAGTAGGCAATAGCTTAGAATAGAAAATAAGGTAAAGTAAAAGTACATGCAGTAATATTTAATATAAGTAAGCAGGCAGCTGAAAGCAAGGGAAATCTACTCTGCTGTGTAAAAGGGTATGGAGACCTCACAGTATGATGATCTTCTGCAGTTTAATCCATACTGCTACATAAGTGACAACGTCCACTCTGTTTATATCAGAGCTTCCCCTAATATGTACAATGAAGACTGAGCCCAGGTACCTCCAACCAGAATGGCCAGCACCTTTTACCAAGTGCCTGAACTGACAGCAATAGAGATCACGTTTGTCTAAAAAAAAACTCACACTGTAAGGATACCCACCAGTCATATGGAGACAATTAGAAAAAATTAAAGCCCAAGCCTGATAGGTAGTAATTTGTACTTAGAAGAATTAACTTTTATCTCCACATGTTTTTTTTTTAATCATAGAGAAACTACTAGTGGTAGTTCCACTGTCCAAGTTACTGAATATCTTATTCCTAGAATGAGACACTGCACAATGTGTTCTGACACGACAGAACGTAGCTGTAGTTAAGGGACAGGAGATGTGATCACGGGAACACGAGTCTGCGATCCAGCAGTTCTTGCTCCTTCACATTTGCCCAGAAACAAAGACCCCAGCAGAACAATGGAAGCATTGACTTAGGTCTCCACAGTCTGATGTGAGATAAACAGCAGGTAGTTTATGCCTCTGTTTTATAGCAGGAAATTTAATCTCTAAAGAAGGGCCATTTTGGAGATAATACTATTCTCCAGGATGCTTAAATGCCCCCAAACAGAGAGCACTGCAGAGCCCCGTGGCCAGGAGCTACAACACCTGGGTCTGGAAACCACTGGACAGAAATATGAGATTCTCTTACCACATGTATGATGGAACCTTGAAGAATGTT
Source organism: Homo sapiens (assembly GCF_000001405.40). Taxonomy (NCBI): domain Eukaryota; kingdom Metazoa; phylum Chordata; class Mammalia; order Primates; family Hominidae; genus Homo; species Homo sapiens. The sequence goes on along the minus strand of NT_187600.1, from coordinate 1,202,962 downwards.
TCCTTCCTTCTCCATAATCACAGCCTGCGATGAACTGGAGGTCCCAGTACATAAAAAAACATGTGTCTGCATTGGATACAGAATTAGTCCCATAAAATAATTGTGCTACTGTGGTGCTCACACTGTTGGACCAGCTGACCAAGAAAGTGTTGTAAGAGCTGCAGTGTCTACTGATTCCTACCATATTTGGGGCTACATTCACATCTATCAAGGGAAAGAGAGATAAGAAAATCTCTCTAGGCCGGGCGCGGTGGCTCACGCCTGTAATCCCAGCACTTTGCGGGGCCAAGGTGGGCGGATCACGAGGTCAGGAGATCCGGACCATCCTGGCCAACATGGTGAAACCTCCATCTCTCCTAAAAATACAAAAAATTAGCTGGGCGTGGTGGTGGGCGCCTGTAGTCCCAGCTACTCGGGAGGCTGAGGCAGGAGAATGGCATGAACCTGGGAGGCGTAGCTTGCAGTGAGCCGAGATTGTGCCACTTCAACTCCAGCCTGGGGGACAGAGCTAGACTCCATAAAAGAAAGAAAGAAGAAAGAAAGAAAGAGAGAGAGAGAGAAAGAAAAATAAAGAAAGAAAGAAAGAAAGAAGAAAGAAAGAAAGAGAAAGAAAGAAAGAAAGAAAGAAAGAAAGAAAGAAAGAAAGAAAGAAAGAAAGAAAGAAAGAAAGAAAGGAAGAAAGAAAGAGAAAGAAAGAAAGAAAAAGGAAATCTGGCCTAGTCTATTGATTTATTTTCATTTCTTCAAAATGAGGTAAAAAAATCGCATCAACTAAAATGCGGACGATGATGAAGTGATCAAAGACAACAGCCACTCAGTGTTTCAGGTGTGTTTTAACCCAAAGTCACACAACATGTGAGAAGCTGAACTCCGGAGCCAGGGGCATCTCTGAGGAGAATGTGGAAGGTGGGCGGGAGGAAACAGTGATTCATGTCTAGGGAAATTTCAGGGCTGCCTGCTCTAGGGGAAAGGAAAGCCTGAGCCTCTCCCACAGTGTGCTCTGTTAAAAATTTTGGCTGACTTATTGTATTCTTCGACACAAATATTTTTGTTTCGTCCTCTTTTAAATTTTTTTATCTCTATTAAAATTCTCACTTTGTTCTTGCATGCTGCCACTAGCTTATTAAACATGTTTCTAATATTTACTTCAAATTTTCTGCCAGGACATCCATATGTTTTTTTATTCATTGATGCCAGATTCTGGACCTCTATGTTGTCTGTCTGTTTGGACCATGTTCCCGTGTTTCTTCATTTTCCTTGACGGTCTTTCTTGCTATCCGTTCATCATAACAAACAGCTCTTTGCTCATCATAACAAAGAGCCACACTCTTCCAAGCCTAGGCTCATAGAGACAACCCTCACCAATCACTCCATCAGTGATTGCGGATCTCTCAAAACTTCATAATGACTTCATAATATTCCAACTTCTGTCTCTGTTCTTAGTGGCCCCCAGGTTTAGAGAACGTTGGGTTGTGCCAGGACTCCCAAATAGGAGAGGTAGAAACTATATACTCAAGTAGCCTCTTGAACAGTGTACCATTAGACACAGTTTTATTATTGAGGTATGATTCATCAAAATAATGTTAGTTCAAGCGCCTCTCAACCAGTCATCTAACATTGAAATGTTATAATTTCTTATTTGGATCTCTCTGGAGTTTATCTTTTGAATATTTAGGTAAAATTACAAACTAGTATAAAGCTATTTGGCAAAATTATCTGCTGCAGAAGTTTCATCTTCTGTGTATCTCTTTTTGCACTTAAATATGTTTTTATTAGTCATGTATCCAGAATATAGAAATATGTCTTAAAGTTCCTTCATTTTTTTAAGGTTATGGGGTTTTCAGAAGAGGTGAGAACCTTCTTTATTTATAAAATACCTGATTCCACATTGCTGGATAGTTTCTTCTTTAATTTGTCTCCTCCTCTCACATTATACTATATTAAGCAAGGAGAAATCAAAACACACCATCCACACTTTGCTTAGAAATCCCCAAAGCTAAATTTTAAGTATCACTTACTAATTCTAATTTTACCCATTGTAACTTAATTAACATGAAATCTATAACAAGGTTACACATACTTTCCCGTTCTAATACCATGTTCGTGACAGAAACAAAGCAGGTGTCTTCTCTGCAATGTGGTCATCTGAGGTCTGAGATGAGGGGTCACACAGGTATTTTATAATATTTAAGGGTTTGGACAACAGTAGTGATAACAATTCTGAACAGCACTGGCTCCTAATTGAAAGGTTATAGGTAAATTTAATGCTGCAATTTTATATTAACACCTTGTCCGAATGAAGCTCAGAGGAAGATGCCACATCCCAGGTCACACAGTGAGGAGGAATGGAGCTGTGCTCTGCTCTCCACACCACCTACAAATCCCAGGCCCCAGCCCAGGTTCCACTGGCGCACGGCACCTAGAGCACAGTTCCCAGGGGATGATCTCAGGGCACCTGCTTCCTCGGGCAGGGCGCTGCCTTCTCTCAGTTGTGCACTTGCTCCTCCTGCAGGTTCTGTAGTGAGCACTTGCATTGCCGTGATTTATACATGTTCTCTCCCCTAATATGGAAAAAATATTTATTAAATTTTCAACTCATTTTCTCTGATGCACACTGCATTAGCAGAAAGGAATAAATCACATTCCTTATCCTCCCATAAAGCCAAAGATTCCCGAAGACAGAGCTGATGTGATGTACTCATAGGTGGATCTCTGCCCCTCAAGGGAGGCCTTGGTCTTCAAGTTTCAGTAATTCTAGGAAGCGAAGGACACCTACATCTCCTGCTCCCTGCTCTGTAGCTCACCTGAGAACAGCTTTCTCATTGGAATGTCTTGTGTTTAAGGAATAAGAGTCCATGTTTCAGGTTCGGGAGCCCAGGTGCACCTACTGGATGCAGCCCAGGATTGGAGACACTTTCCAGAAGACAACATCACCTGAGACATGACCAGTCCCACTGTTTCACTTTCACAATTTCAACTTCCTCAGAAGAAAATTAAAATTGCTGAGACTTGTTCATAAGTGTTGTGCCATGTCCTTACTCTGTTTTCTTGCCTGTTCATTTATGTCATACCAGGTGTCTGTTATATGTAATAAGATCAAAATTCTGCCTCCAGTAACACATCAATGGAGACCTTTGATTGTACTTTTGGTTTATGCACTGACACATAGATTATGATGTTCATCACATTCATTTTTATGTCAAAGGAAATCTGCATAATCTGAATGCCAATACTTTTTGGAATCTGCTAAGTAACTGAAATTGAAAAAAAAATACCCACTCAAGAACCTGGATAGACAGCCATGTCCAGAATGGCAGTTGACACTTGTTTAACTGGAAGAGAATCTACAGAAGCCACAAGTTGTTGAGGGCACTTACATGATAAGCACTATAGTTGTCTTAAAGACAGATGTGGACTCAGTAAATGTGACTGTTCCAGAGGGTCTTATATTTCTATGTTTTATGGACTTTCTCACCAGAAACCTCCAGATTCTAAAAAATACTATCCAAATACGTTTCTTATTTGTCAGATTGGAGAAGATTAATTACTGAAAAATATTACGGGAGACTTTTTCAAAAGCTTCTACATGGAAGGACTTTTCGAGAACCTTGTCCTATGTAAAGGAAGACAAATCTCCCATTCCAGATTTCTCTCCCATTCTTCCATTATTATAGAAATGAGCAAAGTTAGCCAATAGGGGTAAGATGTAAGTAAATAGTCCAGGGACACTGAAACCACAAAAGGGAGTAATGGCCAAAGTAGCTTTTCCCCTGGAGATTCCTGGTCAAAGTCACAGCCCAGAAGAGGAAGCCGATCGCATCTCTAGGTTTCCATTGTCAAAACAGGCAGTGCTTGCCTGCACTGCACAATCCATTCTAACCAGTGTGATAGCTCTGGATTAAAGATGGAAGTGTGGCAATGCACAGACTCTATGTGAGAAGAACACTGGAAAACTAAAGGACAAAGGCAGAGAGTAGGACAAGGACGACAAAGCAATCTGAAGCCTCTGACATCACCATTTTTAAGATCAAGGTCTTGGAAACTCCCTCATTGACCTTTAGATCTCTAGGAGAAAAAAGTCAGATACCTGGGCCTAGTGTCAGTGTAGGAGGAATTTTCTATAGGCTAGGCATTAGGAAGAAGGGAAAATTCTTCCTTATTAGGAAGTTATTGTTATAGTGTTATAGTGTTATTGGAATAGTGGATATGGAGTGGGCTTTCATCTCGATCAATCTGCACCTGCTGGTATTTTCCAATGCTACATTCACCTGCAAGAGCCCAATGAAGAAAGAAGGCACTCCCAAATCTTTTGCAAGTTTTTGTATTCACTGTGGGTCCACTGCTTAAGTGCATCTGGAGCTTCAGAGAAGGGGCTCTGTCCTGTGTCATAGAACCCTTGCTTTGAGTCTCACGGCAGAGTTCAATCTGTTTAGTAAAGTTGATCAATTATTTCAAGAGATGGTGTCACCAGCATATGGTGTCACTGAGGGAGTATTCTACACTAGCACACAGCCATTTCACGCTGGGCTAGAGAAGCTGGGGGGAAATGCTTTGTGAGCCCCAACAGGAACCTCCTTGCAAGGCAAGGGCTGGGCGGGAGGGGGCACTCAGGAGCCACTCAGCACGGGTTCCAGCCCTGCAGCTGGTGCACAGGAGGCTGCTGAGAAGGTTTCCTCTCAGGGGCTGGGTCTTCCTTTGGGAGAAAAAAGCTAAAATTCAATAAGTTGCTGGTGTGCCCTTAAATATTCTATCACATCTGAGCTGCTCCCACAATTCAAGAGAAGGAGAACTATCTTTATAAATATTCTATCACATCTGAGCTGCTCCCACAATTCAAGGCGATGAGAACTGTCTTTATAAATATTCTATCACATCTGAGCTGCTCCCACAATTCAAGGCGATGAGAACTATCTTTTCAAATATTCTATCACATCTGAGCTGCTCCCACAATTCAAGGCGATGAGAACTATCTTTTTAAATATTCTATCACATCTGAGCTGCTCCAACAATTCAAGGTGATGAGAACTATCTTTTCAAATATTCTATCACATCTGAGCTGCTCCCACAGTTCAAGGAATGAGAACTATCTTTTTAAATATTCTATCACATCTGAGCTGCTCCCGCAATTCAAGACAATGAGAACTATCTTTTTAAATATTCTATCACATCTGAGCTGCTCCAACAATTCAAGGCAATGAGAACTATCTTTTTAAATATTCTATCACATCTGAGCTGCTCCCACAATTCAAGGCGATGAGAACTATCTTTTTAAATATTCTATCTCATCTGAGCTGCTCCCACAATTCAAGACAAGGAGAACTATCTTTTTAAATATTCTATCACATCTGAGCTGCTCCCACAATTCAAGACAAGGAGAACTATCTTTTTAAATATTCTATCACATCTGAGCTGTTCCCACAATTCAAGGCGATGAGAACTATCTTTTTAAATATACTATCACATCTGAGCTGCTCCCACAATTCAAGGAATGAGAACTATCTTTTTAAATATTCTATCACATCTGAGCTGCTCCCACAATTCAAGGCAATGATAACTATCTTTTTAAATATTCTATCACATCTGAGCTGCTCCCACAATTCAAGACAAGGAGAACTATCTTTTTAAAGTCGGCTTCTAAGATTATAAATACCTTAATAGTGAGAATATGAAGAATAGGGATGGTCTTACTAATTCAATGCAGAGAGAATTATGGGAGTCACTATATTTCCATGAATAATAATTTCAGATTTCAGGCTGGGGCTGGTGGCTCATGCCTGTAATCCCAGCACTTTGCGAGGCTGAGGTGAGCGGGTCACGAGGTCAGGAGCTGGAGACCATCCTGGCTAACACCATGAAACCCTGTCTCTATTCAAAATACAAAAAATTAGCCAGGTGGGGTGGCATGAACCTGTAGTCCCAGCTACTCGGGAGGCTGAGGCAGGAGATTTAATCCTACAAGACCTACAGCCTCAGACAATGCTGCTGTCAGTGATCGTGGGAAGCAGAGTTTGCAGTGAGCTGAGATTGTGCCACTGCACTCCAGCTTGGGCAACAAAGCGAGATTCCATCTCCAAAAAAAAAATTCAGATTTCAGTGTTAAGTAAAGTTGCCTACATTGTGTGAGTGACAGGGCAGTGGTGGATCCGAGAGTGTGGATCTGAGAGTGAGTCAGAAATCAGCATGTAAAGATGAGGATCTATGCACATGAACTGAAAGTATGTAAACAGTTCATGAAATTCTAATAAATCCAGTAGGAAATAAAACCCAAACTTATCCAAAACACAAATTCCCTTGAAATTATTATGGGAGCATGAGTTCATAAAGAACTCCTAACTCCTGTTTCAACTTCTGAATCCTAGTGTCCATGACATAAGAAAATCATCTCCAATTATGCATCACAGGGCAAATCTGTAAACTAAGAGTTTTTCTGTTGACGATCCTGGGGAATCAGGACACCAGGAAGGTGCTGGAGAAACTGTCTCAGGAGCGCCCCAGGGATCTCAGAGGAACGTGCTGGCCACTCACGTGGGACATCAGCGTCACTTGCTCAGAGTCATCAGTGAGCTGTGCTGGTGTCTGACGGGTCCAGCATAGGGCCAAGGCACCTGCTCTGTGTCATGGACCGAGATGGTCCCCAGAATGATCCAAGTGGTCTCTGTGCTAATCTAATGTAGTTTCACAGTGAGAGGCCGTTCTGAGGGGGCTTCTTCTTCAGTGAAAGGACCTCTGTCCACAAATATTCCTAAATGGACAGGGGCATGCATTTCCTCAAGCAGGATTAGGGCTTGGACCATCAGCATCTCACTCTTGCAAGGCTGATGTGTCATTTGTCTTCCCTTTCTTATCATGGATCAGGCTTTGAGCTATGAAATGCCCTGTCTCATGAATATGTAAATACCTGAGATCCACTGAGGTAAATATGGTCTGTGCCCTGAGAGCTTCACCCAACAATCACATCCCGCCTCTAGAGAATCCCCCGAGAGCATGGCTCCTCACCATGGACAGGACCTAGAGCTAATCTTCCTGGTGGCAGCAGCTACAGGTAAGGTGCTCCCAAGTCCCAGTGATGAGAAGGGGATTGAGTACAGTCAAGGAGGCTTTCATCCACTCCTGTGTCCCACCCTCCAATGGGTGTCTGCTCCCAGGTGCAGCTGGGGCAGTCTGAGGCTGAGGTAAAGAAGCCTGGGGCCTCAGTGAAGGTCTCCTGCAAGGCTTCCGGATACACCTTCACTTGCTGCTCCTTGCACTGGTTGCAACAGGCCCCTGGACAAGGGCTTGAAAGGATGAGATGGATCACACTTTACAATGGTAACACCAACTATGCAAAGAAGTTCCAGGGCAGAGTCACCATTACCAGGGACATGTCCCTGAGGACAGCCTACATAGAGCTGAGCAGCCTGAGATCTGAGGACTCGGCTGTGTATTACTGGGCAAGATACACGGTGCGAGAACCCACATCCTGAGAGAGTCAGGAACCCCAGGGAGGAGGCAGCTGTGCTGGCATGGAGGAGATGACAAAGATTATTAGATTGAAGACTTTCTTAGAAAATAGCATTAAGTCATTTACGAAAAGGAACAATATAAATGTGTATTTGAGAAATTGTAATTATTTGAGAGATTTCTTATGCAACATTTATTCTGTAAGCAAATTCTAGGGATTGGAGAATTAATCAAATTAATAAAGCTGACATAGAAATTCCTCTGAAGGTATCTTTGTAAACATCAATTTCTGAATCAGTGTTGTAAATGTTTTGGAACACAGACACAAGATCACATTTTAACTCTACTTTTGTCTCTATAAAAAATGCCAAAAAGAGTCTCATTTTGACCATGTACCTCTTTGAATTCCCACCATCAATGAATGATTGTTCTTGGGTTTCCACATTATATTACCATTTATCATTATGAGAATTGTGTGTTTTAACCATTATAATAGGTGAGTAATGGTATCTAATTTTTGCTTAAATGCACATGCCCCTAATAAAATTCATATTTAACAATTTTCATATAATTTTTGGTGAGATGCCTCTCCTGATATTTGGTTCATTTTCAATAGCACTGTTTTCTTTTGATTAGTTGTAAGTTTACTTGCATATTGATTATAAAAGTTAATTAACAAATTAAAAGAATTCATTTAACAAATATGTGACTTGGAAGTTGCAGGGGTTTGTCCTGCACACCCTGACACAATGACGAATGAATAAAGTGCACTGACACAAAGATATTCTGCTTTGCCAGCTCGACTGAGCATCTGGGCCACTTAGTCACAGCCACCGCCTCGATCAGTCAGGGAGACTTACATTTATTCAGTAAAGATTAATTGACAAAGGCCGTGAGTAAACACCACTAGAAGGTAATTGACATTGTGGACCTCTTGAGTGGAAAGCAATTAAGCACCCGCGGTAGATCAAAGGTTAGTCTTAGGAACACATGAGTAAACAAGCTAGTTAGATAAGCTCCTCACATTCCTTTGTTTCTACTCTACTTTATGTAACTAAAGGTAAGGGGACTAGGCTGCCTTCAGCCAGATTTATTACCAAAGTTATGCAAACTCACAGGCCTTCCAAGAGGGTTTGTGGCTATTAGAACTAAAATGTTTCCCACCAGCCTGACTGGACCACCACATCTCCCCATTTTTTGTTTTCTACATCAGGTCTTTTGGATTGGAGCGTGCAGATATGCGCAGCAACATGTCTGTCAGGTGTGGCAGTCATTGCTCTTATTCTGGCTTTGCATCCTAGAATTAGCAAATAACATAAAACAATCATGAGTAGAATTAGCAACATTCTTTTCCAGTCAGAGTGACCCCCAGGAGCGGGGTCTAACCAGGAGAGATGATCTCACACACCCTTCCATATGACTGTTTGTTGGGGGTGTAGATCTATTGCGTGAAGAGATTCTAAAATTTTAGTTTGAACTTACTTTACGTCTGCTGTTAAATTGTCATGAAAGGTTCCCCAGAGGTATTGTTTTACCTCATCCTAACTATGTATTGATAGATTCCGTGGTAGAGAAGTGATACAGATATGTTCATGTTCCCAGTCACAGTTTAAATGCTGTCAGAATGCCACTGCATCTTGTCGCTCCCTGACATATTCTAAAGCAGCCTCAAGGGCTAGCAGACGTGTGATAATTTTTTGATCTATACCTTGCTGTAAGAGAAGTTCATTAGACACATTTTTGGCCAGATTATCTAAAAAGGCAGCAGTTTACACTAAGTCAATAATACATGCAACAGCAACACTAGCTGTTGCCAGGATGACTATGGCTGAGACTATAAAGGCCATAAGTGTAACTATGAATCTTTTGTGTCTGACCTGGGACAGGGCACGTTCTAAGGTTGCAAGGGCATAGGAACCTTGCCAATTGCATGCCAGATTGACTGGTAAGAATGCCTCAGATTTTCTCTTTAATACCATGGCGCTAGTAATTTTTAAGTTAGATATACTGTGATTAGTGATACATGAGGCAAACCAAGCCTGTCCCTGCATCCAGGTCACAAACGTGGAGTTTTGAGGTGTAATGGAAATGTTAGTTCCCATAAGGAAATCGTATGGATGGGTAGTGCAAATTAGGCACTGATCAGTGTGATTATGAATAAAGCTTATAGCATAGTTGCAACGGGAAATATGGTATGTCCCATGCCAGGTGTTAAGGGAGGTGCTAAGATGTCCCAGACACCATAAAGTACCTTGGGGCGGCATGGACTTTACTTGGGGCCTTGGATATGCCATCCCCCCTTGGCACAAATTATAGGGGAAAAGACATGGCTATGAAACTGATTGATGCTCTGATGGATGAAGGTATTAGTAAGGCTGCCCTGCAATCAGCCGCTGGGACTCCAGTCTAAGATGTTATAATTACCTAACTGGAGGCTATGGGCTCGTCTCCCATGACAGACCTCCCAGCTAAAGTCGAACCGATTACTGTCCCAGCTTTGTTCCTTAGCACAGGAAGGAATGTTTGGGAAAGAAGCAGCGGCATGGATTGCATTGCTCAGTTTGAGGCTATCTGCAGCTAAGAATGTTAAGGCATTTCCTTTGCTATGATGTAACCATACTTGTTTTTGGGCAGGTACACAGTAAGGGTTAGAGTCTTTATAACTTACACACACTGGGAGGATAATAGTGGATTGACATATAGTGTTATCTGCCACCTTAGTCCATTGTGTGCCATTATTGAGGGACCCCACGTGGGGTAAATCTATCCCTCCTAGCCAAGCAGTCACGTTACTATAGGCTGGGAAGGGAGTGTCTTCCCATTTGGCAGGGTGAAAGAAAGGTGTGTCTAAGATAGAGGCCCAATAGAGTGTAGCAGGTACAGGTTGCAGACAAAGTGAGAGCATAAAAAGGATTAATACCCTACATGAGTTGCAATGTACAACAGAAATCATAGCACCAAACACATTATCTGGAGTAAATGGTGTCTGCATTTGGAGCAGGATTCGTTCAGCCTCCTGAGTTGTCCTTTTCAGTACCCCCCAGGTAATGTCTGGGGATTGTGTTGTTCACAGAAGCTGCATCGTCCGGGGCTGTAGGTCTTGTAGGGTTAACTCCTTCATTTCTGGTACTGGGTTGGGTCCTAGCAATGTCCTGGTATGGTTTGATGCGTCGTGCTGGAACCCAAAGACGACCCGAGGGGGTGTGGATACAAGCGTACCCTCTTCCCCACATTAATAATTCACTTGGACCACACCATTCATTACTGTTTACATCTTTCCATAAAACTGCAGGTTTCATGTATTGGGAAATTTTAGCAAAGTGCTTTTCTACAGCGGATTCAAATTTGTCTTCTAAATTAAAAAAATAAGGTTTGTGCCAAAAGTGTTGCAGGGTCTGTACCCATACTCCCCTGTTTTTGTTTTTTGTGCATATTTTAAGGGTGGAGTTGGCAAGTTCTACTATTGCTTGTCCTTGGGGTTTATATGGGATACCTGAGGAATGTCGGATATTCCACGTGTGACAAAATTGTTGAAATTGTGAGCTGGCCTAACCTGGACAATTATCAGTCTTAATTTTTGCGGGTTGTTCCATAAATGCAAAAGATAAAAGAAGATGTTTAATGACATATCGAGTAAACTCTCCAGGCGGAGTATGTGCACTACTTAAATGAGTGTTGATATCAAAGGATACATGTACCTATCTAAGTTTTCCAAATTCAGGGATGTGTGTAACATCTGTTTGCCACAACAGATTAGGTTCTAGGGTTAATACCTGTTGAAGGAGGAGACGTGCCTGTGAGCTGGCGATCTCAGAGACTGTTTAGCCAGTCTCTGTATAAGTTGAGCTGGCGATCTCAGAGACTGTTTAGCCAGTCTCTATATAAGTTGGAATTGTTTAGATAAGTTTTTCCAATTTTGGTGGAAAAATTGGTGCAATTGGGTGGCTTGGTCAAGCAGCGATATCATAACTTGAAGGTTGGCTTGATTATTGTCATAAGCTAATGGACCAGGCAGTGAGCTGTGGGCTGGAATGTGTGTAATAAAATAGGATGTGTACTTTGATTTAGCAATTGCTGAAATCAGAGAAAAAGAGTCCACAGGGCTGGCTCCAGAGTTGACTTAATTAGGGCTGTAAAAGTTCTCTAGACCCAATATTAAGGACTCAACTTTAGCTTTCTGAGTGCTAGTAAACCCAGATTGAGTGAATGAATTGTGTGGTGTCCACCAGACTGCTGCTTTTCCATATTTACCAGATCTATCAGTAAACAGTGCTAAAGCATTAAATATGGGGGAGTAAACTATTTTTGTAGGTAACACATTAACTAGGCCTTTTGGGAATGATGAAAATGGGTAAATTCTAAGGGCTGTTAGTAGAATATTACCCATAAAATGAATAATCTTGTAGCCAGGAAACTTTTTCCTACTAGGGAGCAAAGCTTGCTTTTAATTGCTCCCTAACTAACTTAGGGGCTTTTTGTAATGTCTCTCCCTTTAGAGGTTACTGTTTTACTTAAACTGGATTTGGAGTCATGTTAGGAATAAGAGAGAGATAACAGTGGCCATTATTAGAAAGAGGTTTCTCAAATTCTTAAATTTTACTTAACTCTTATCATAGAATTATAATCTGGGATGTCGCTTGTATACAAAGAACATAACAAATTTTGCTTTGGGCCGCCTGCGGAGCCAGAGAGCGGAGCAGGTGGGTCCCAGGGCGGCTGCGGCTTTGTGCTTGCTTAGAAGCCACTTTTCGCCACCGCGTTTCCTCTGTGCCAGCTCCCTCCCCACACTGCTCAGCAGCTGCTGCCGGCAGAGGGGAGCTTCCTGCACTTGCTCCTGCCCCTAATGCCTTTTCTTAACCCTTCGTGTACCTGATTGCCTTGCTGATCTTGCATTACTGGGCAGTCTAAGAGCTCCCCTTTTAATGCTGCTTGTCGAAGACAGGGACATATAGCTGTAGTGTATTTCCTCTATTTTTTCTATCTATTGAAAGAGGGGGCTCAGGCAAAACCTCCGTTTCCTCTTTGTTATTTTGGGAAGAGCAGGTGGTAAGGCAAGTGACGTTTCTTCCTCCTTCCCCTTTTTGGGTTCTTCTTTGTATAATGGGACTAAAGCCATCCCTACTAAAGCCCATAGTGTTAAAGATGATGCTGGGACCCGTTGCGCTTGTGTGTAATGCTGTTCAAGATTTCTCCCTACTTGTTCCCAGAGCTTTACTTCTAGCTTTCCTTCTTCTGGGACCACAGATTATGTGAGACAACAGTTTTCATTAGGTGCCTTAATTGAGCCTGCGAAACTGATGCTCCCCTAGCCTTAAGCAACTGTTACAATACTTTCATATGCTGTTTGTGTTGAGCTGATAACTGCTGTCCCATGATGAAATCTCAGCCTGAACAATCTCCCCTGAACTTGGAGATCCCAAGTGGGCACCAATGACTTACTGTTTTACTGACTTGACCACGCAGTCTTCCTCAACCTTCGTTTTCATGGGGTCTGTCACGCTCCCTTTGCAGCGATCCTCACATGGGGCACCGGCTGTGGGGGTCTGTCCTGCAGGTCCTGACACAACAACGGGTGAATAAAGTACACTGACACACAGATATTCTGCTTTGCCAGCTTGACTGACCATCCAGGTAGATCAAAGGTGAGTCTTAGGACCACATGAGTGAACAAGCTAGTTAGATAAACTCCCCACATTCTTTTGTTTCTACTCAAATTTACTAAACTAAAGGTAAGGGGACTAGGCTGCCTTCAGCCAGATTTATTACTGAAGTTATGCAATCTCTCAAGCCTTCCACGAGGACTTGTGGCTATTATAACTAAAATTTTTCCCACGAGCCTGACTGAACCCCACAGGAAGTATTTTCTCCAAGTCTGTGGTTGCCTTTTACTCCCTTATCAGTAGGTATCGCAGAAAAATGTGTGTGTTTGTGTGTGTGTGTGTTTGTACAAATTTAGATTGAAAACATATATAATTTTATTCATTCATAGATCATGCCTTTGGCATTATATCTGAAGTTTCATTATAAAATAAACTAATAGTCATTATTTTTTCCATATCTCTAATCTCAGGCCACAATCAACTCATGAGTGTTTAAACTTCACCTGCTTGATTGGAGGACCATCAATCTAATGTATTTGGAATACTTCTGTAAGGAGATGTGTTCTTCTTCCTATTATTTTTTAATTAATCATCTATTAATATCAGTATTGGTTGATGGATGTCCATTTTATACTTTGAAAAAGATCCATGCTACATCATTCATTTAATTGTTCAAAGCACCACAGCTTTATTAGGTGCTGGGAGCTCATTTTGTTTGAATCCTGCATCCTTACAGCACACCTCATATTTTTGTTTTTGAACACTTGCGTATTTCCTGGTATTACCATAAATTCTAAGCTTGTTTTCTTTATTACCTTTTTTTACATAGAATCAACCACTTTTATAAAGATTGCATGTTTCTGATGTTAAAGAATAGTATTAAAATAAAACATTGTGATACTGGCTCTGTGTGTTGTTAATGTGGTATGAGTACTTCTAGAACCTCTCAAACAATGGTCCCAGTAAACGTGCATGTTTATGTGAACCCAAGTTTATGGACTCATTGAAACTATTTATGTATCTAATCTTCTGTAACCATATCACATTAAAAATGAGAACACACTGGTCTCTCCACCCAACTATGTTAGCACATGAACCTTTCTAGTCTTCTTTCTTTGCGTTTCCATAACCACCCACTGCAAAGTGAGAAACCCCATTCCACCATATGTAATTTTATTACTTAGCTGCACAGTTTCAGGACACATGCATAGCAGTATCAAAAGTGTAAAGCTGTGCCCTTGATGGAACCATGTTTATCTACTAGAATAGAGTGCTTATGTGCAGATTTTTTACACATTAAACTTATAGAATTTCTTCGTTTTCTGAGTTGCTTAGGTCAGCAACTTCATTTTCCACATTCTTCAATGAAGTCATTTCAATTACATTGTATAATTTCATTTATTTGAAATTCCATAAATGCTTAGACTATAGTCAAGTAAACAGACAGAGGATGTTCCAGGAATTTAGAGAGTGGGTATAAAATAAGCAAAAAAAAAAATGTGGTGTTTAGGAAAAATAAAACTATTTTTAGTGATATGCAATGGTTGAGATATGATATAACTAATTTGTCTAAGCTAATAATTTTGTGATAGAAAATATAAACTTAAACATATTCAATTAAAAAAATTCAGCAGTTCATTAACCCCAGGATTAAATGCAGACTGTATAAAATTATCCAATAACTTATTTGGTGAGAGTGGGGATGTTATGAGATACATGCAACAAAGAATGAAGTAATTTTCCCCATTTGCATATACAATGTTTCCATTCACTGAAGACCTTTTATTTTAAAAAAATCAATTTTCTACCTTACCCTTGTTTTTAATTCCCGACAAGCAAATAACCCAAAGGATTCTTTTCTTTCATTGGTTGAGAAAGATTTTCCCCTAACTTCAGCTTAGTTCAGGCATACGCTGACCTGAATGGGCATTTACCCTCAGATGGGTACACACCTGTCAATATGTGGACTCTTCTGTCAGACAGACACAGCTTCACTCATGTGGATTCTTCCCTCAAACACAAATGTCCCCACATGGACTATTTCCTCAGACTACCACATATGTCCTTACATTTACACTTTCCTCAGAAAACAGACATTTCCTCATGTGGACTCTTGTCTCAGATAAGCAAACATGTCTCAGTGTGAATGAAGTCTTCACTCAGATAAGTACACATATTTCAACACTGACTGTTTCCTGACACAAGCACATATGTCCAATGTTAAACTGTCTTGCGACAAAATGATCTCAAGATAATGATAATTATAAACTCCAACCCTGAAAATCTGTAGATCTGCATTTTGTCTATTGTAACATAACTTCATCTCATTGTCAGAAACAGTCGTTTGCAGCTATAAATGCACTGATTACAGTCAGATTTCCATTTTCTCTGGAAATGTATTTCTTATGTTCTTACTGGACTAATTTGTTGATAATGTTTGCTCACATGAAGATACCTGAACAGTGTCCACATTAGAGAATAAAAAAGAGCAATGGGCAGATTAACCCTGTGCATCCAGACGCAGGAACCATTTGACTCTGCCTTCCCTGAAATGGAGACACAGAGGATGGATGAGCAACGCTGAGTGGTGCACCTACGACCACAAAGAGAAAGACCTGGAAATATGTCCCATCCCCTCCTCATGAAAGGCAGCTCATCCCCTGTTCCTTCAGGCCCTGGTGAGGAGCCACCCCATATCTGTGTCTTTCTTCAGTGTTCACACTATGGAGTCTGCACTGATCTGGGTTTCCCTTCTCATCACCCTCCATATTAGTGTCCCTTGTAAATCAGGTCCAGCTGTGGCTGCTCATAGGGTTGTTCTCAGTCTATTTCCTCTGTGTTCATAGAAGTCCTGTATGAAGTTCAGTGGTGGAGTCAGAGGGGTAAACGTAGTACAGCCCAGTGGTTCACTGAGACTTTCTTGCAAAGCGTCTGGATTCACCTTTTCTGGCAACAGCCTGAGGTTGGTCCAGCAGGCTTCACAACAGGGATTGTGGTGGCTGGCAACAGTGAGTCAACAAGTGGGAGTGCTCAGGTTTACTCTTCATGAGTACAAATAAATTAACTGGTCCAGCGACACCCTTTCACGTGCACTCTACCTTACAATGACTAACCTGAAAGCCAAGGACAAGGTTGTGTAATACTGTGAGCTTCACAGGAGAGAGATTATCTGCACAAGCCCAGACACAAAAATCTGCAGGGAGACAGGAGGGAACTGCATGGTAGATGCTGCTCAGAAGCACCAGGGGGCACTCAACACAAGGGGGCGCTCAGGACACCAGGCGGCACTCAGGATACAGCTGGGGGCGCTCAGGACACCAGGGGGCCACTCAGGATACAGCGGGGGGTGCTCGGATCCACCAGGGGGCTCTTAGGGCACCAGGGGGCATTCAGGACCACTAGGGAGCCCTCAGGGCCACCAGGAGGACCTCAGGACACGTCAGCGTGCTGGAGCCACCGGGGGGGGGGGGGGGGGGGGGCGCTGAGGAAACCAAGAGACGCTCTGAACCGCGAGGGGAAGGAAGCTCAGGACCACGAGGGGACGCTCAGGACACCAGGGGGCGCTCAGAACACCAGTGGGCACTCAGAACAGGAAGAATCTCTTAGAAAGCAGCTCCACATCAGGATCCTGGGAGGCTGTGGAGAAATGGGAACACTCATAAACTGTTGAGCATTTAAATTAGTACAACCACTATAGAGAACAGCTTAGAGTTTCCTCAAAACCTGACGATAGAGTTATCATATAATCTGGCAATCCTGCTGCTGGTATATACCCCTAAAAAGGAAATGTTTTTGCACTACCATGTCTGTAATAGCACTGTTAAAGCACTGTTCACAACAGTCAAAATTTGAAAGCAACCTATGTGCCGATTAACACATGAATGGATAAATAAAATATGGTACATATAGGATATGGGTTAATATCATGCCATAAAAAAATGAGATTTTGTCATTTGCAGCAACATGGATGAAACTGGAGTTCACTATATTAATTGAAATGAGCCCAGAACAGAAAGACAAAATTCACATGTTCCCATTTATTTGTGAAAGCTAAAAATTAAGACAATTGAACTCGTGGAGATAGAGAGGGAAAAGATGGTCACCAGAAGCTGGGAAGGTCTATGGTAGATGGGGATTATTGGGGATGGTCAATGGGTAGAAAAAGTGATTAGAAATAATAAATAACACATAATATTTTATAACACAACAGAATAAATATAGTCCTCAATAACTTAATTATAGATTTTAAAATAAAAGTTTATGAATGGAATGTTGGTAACTCTATTAATGCTTGAGAGGATGTATAAAATATTCTTCATGATGTGATTATTATGCAGTTCATGCTGATTCAGAGTCCTGTACCCCATAAATATATACGTGTACTATTTACCCACAAAGATTCAAAATTAAAGTGTTTATGTGTCTAATATTCTGTAACTATATTACATTAAACCTAAGAACACACTGGCTTTTACACACTACTGTCATCCACATAGACATTCATAGCCTTCTTTCTCTGCTTGTCCATAATCCCACACTCCAAAATGAGAAAACCTCTCCTAAGATATGACATTAATTTACTTAGTGCACAATTTCAAAATACACAAATCGTCTTTAGGATTGTTAAACTGACCCTTGTTGAAAATATGTTTATCAACTAGAATACAGTGCTTATGTGGAGCTTATTTATGTTTTACAATCGCAACATCAAATTCTTTCCAAGTCTCTTGTGTCCAATATTTATGCCCCACCTTCTTCAGTGTAATTAGTTCAAACCTTCTGATTGTTGTTAGATATTTTTATACAGCTGTCTTTTTTTGTGTTTCATGACCTGCTAAATACTTTCGAAGTTGTATGCATTTAGGTTAACACTTTGTCTCAAAAAATATGAGTTTTCAGAAATTCTTTATGCCATGTGTCCATCATTGAATATCATAAAAATAGTTTCATTGGCCGGGCGTGTTGGCTCACGCCTGTAATCCCAGCACTTTGGGAGGCCGAGGTGGGCGGATCACGAGGTCAGGAGATCGAGACCATCCTGGCTAACACAATGAAACCCCATCTCTACTAAAAATACAAAAATTAGCCGGGAGTGGTGGTGGGCACCTGTAGTCCCAACTACTCGGGAGGCTGAGGCAGGAGAATGGCGCGAACCCGGGAGGCAGAGCTTGCTATGAGCAGAGATCGCGCCACTGCACTCCAGCCTGGGTGACAGAGCAAGACTCCCTCTCAAAAAAAAAAAATAGTTTCATTGGGATTAAAAAGTGTGTGTTTCACCTAATCCACACACCTTCTCCCCACCTTCCTGGGAAACCTCAAATGTTTACTGGATCTATATTTTTATCTTTGGCAAAACAGCCTGGCTGTTCTCTTAGCCTCTTTTGCAAAGCATCAAGATTCACCTTCACTGACTACAGCATAAATTGAGCCCAGATGGCTGGGGGACAGAGGCTGGAGTGGGTGGTAACAGTGATTGATTCAAGTGGAAGTTCTCAGTGATATTCTGCATCAGCATAATGAAGATTCACAATTCCCAGGGACACCAATTACCAGCACAGTCTCCCTTAAAATAATCTACTTGGAAGCTGAGGGGGCTCTCACAGGGGTAGGCAGTGTATTACTGTGAGAGACACAGCGAGGGACATTTCTGTGAGTCCAGACAGAAACCTCCCTGCAGGGAGACAAGAGAGGACTTTGTGATAAATGGTGCTTAGGACACCAGGGGGCACTCAGGACAGCAGAGGGTGCTCAGCAGAGCAGGGTGCGCTCAGGACATGGTGTGTGTTGTAGGGGGCATTGCTCAGGATCACCAGGGGGCTCTCAGAACCACCAAGGGTCACTCAGGAAACCAGGGGGCGCTCTGGACACCAGGGGGAGCTCAGAACCACCAGGTGGTACTCAGGACACCAGGGGGCGCTCATGACCAGCAGGGCATGCTTGGGACTCTATGAGGCATGCAGGAGAAGCAGGCCGTGCTCAGGGCAACAGGGGGCTCACAGAACCACCTGGGGGTGCTCAGAACCACTAGGGGTCACTCAGGACAGCAGCAGGCATTCGGGACACCATGGGGCCCTCAGGACCTGCAGGGGGCGCTCAGAACACCAGGGGAAGGTCAGAAAGACCTGGGGGCACTTGGAACCACCAGGGGGCACTCAGGACAGCAGGGGGCGCTCAGGACCACTAGGGGGCGCTCAGGACCAGCAGGGGGTGCTCAGGACACCATGGGGCATGCAGGAGCAGCAGGCTGTTCTCAGGGTAACAGGGGGCTCTCAGAACAACCTGGGGGTGCTCAGAACCACCAGGGGGCACCCAGGACATCATGCGGCCCTCAGAACCTGCAGGGGGCGCTCAGGACACCAGGGGAAGCTCAGAATGACCTGGGGGCACTCAGAACCACCAGGTGGCACTCAGGACAGCAGGGGGCGCTCAGTACCACGGGGTGCACTCAGGACAGCAGGGGGCGCTCAAGACACAGTGGGATGCTCAGGACCAGCAAGAGGCACTCAGGACCACCAGGGGGCACTCGGGGGAGCAGGAGGCACTCAGGACACCAGAAGAGGATCAGAACCACTCGGGGGCACTCAGAACCACCAGGGGGCGCTCAGGACACTGGGGGCATTCAGAACCACCAGCAGGTTCTCAGGACACCCAGGGACACTCAGGACAGCAGGGGCGCTCAGGACACCAGGGAGGGTGCTCAGGACACCAGGGGGCTCTCAGAAACACCTGGGGGTGACCAGGACTAGCAGGGGCATGCAGGACACCAGGGAAGGGGCTCAGGACACCAGGGGGTGCTCAGGACAGCAGGGGGCACAGAATCACGAGGGTGCATTCCAGACCACCAAGAAATACTCAGGACCAGGGGTAACAGAAACACCTAAAGACACACAAGACCACCAGGAGGCACTCACGACTGCTCAGAGTGCTGAGGACACCAGAGCTTCAGGACGAACAGGGGGTGCTCAGGCCACCATGGGGGGCTCAGGAACCACCAGGGTATCACTCAGACAACAGGGTTCTCTTAGGAGGCAGCTCCACATCAGGTGCCTGGGGAGGGTCAGATTTGCTTTTAGACCTTGCTGATCCCTGATCTGGTCAAGCGAAAACCTTCCCAGGATCTCTCACCATTTCTTCCTTGTAACCCATGGTTTCTTTCACGTACAAATCATTAACTTAGAACAGGAATTCAATTCAACTTTTAACCCTCCATATTTTTAGAATAACACTAGCAGTAATTGAATGTTTTGATAATAAGAAATTGCGTATGCCTAATTCAAGCTCTGGTTCCATGCATGGGTTTTTGTTTTCTTTGCTGTGTCAGTCACACTATAGTCAATGCTTTTCTACCAATAACTCAGCATAGGCATAGTGTTAAGTTTCTTTTTCTTTCATCTGCCTTTTGTGGAGATGAAACACCACTTTCAGGGCTCAGTTCCCCCACCTTGGTTGGGTTCTGGTGTTCTGCTCCTCACACTATTTCTCCACCTTCCCTTCTTCTGTCCAAGCCTTTTGTCTTCCTCAGTCTCCTAGCAAGGAAGCAACAAGTCCCTTTATTTTGCCTCTTCCATGTCTGGTGAATCTGTTCACTTCTCTTCATGATCATTGAAGTCAACCAAGTTTAGGAGGATAACAGTTCTCCTTAGAATATGCTCATCTACCTGCAGACTCTCTGCCTTCCTCACCCCTTTCTAGGGTCCTGCAGACGTCACCTCCACCACATCCACTCCTTTACCTAAGTACCACAGAATAGTCTCTGCAGCTCCTGCTGCTCTCTGTGTGCTCAGCACTAAGGCTCACTAGTGCTTTGATGATGAAGTTCAAATCCCTAATGTGTTAGCAATTCTCAGACAACCCTGCCATTGTGAGTGAATTTTGGGGATCCTGGGCTGTTTTCAGTTCCATATTACTGGATGTTCTCTAGCATCCAGGAGTACTGGCAAATTAACATCTAGAATTTGTATTGCAAATTTATACAAAATCAATTGTAGAAAAAAATCCTAATTTCTAAATAAGAACATTTATCCTGACTTTTATAAAAATACAATGTGAATTTAACCAATAATATAATACAATTTTAAAAGTGATGTTTATCTTATATGTTATTAAGTTTATTAATAATTGGCTGGTATTTTAAAAGTATACTGATAGCAAAACTGACAAATAAACCAACACAGATTCTATACATAAATACCATTGTCCATTTAATTAATGTGTTTGGCCAGAATGGCATTTACATTCAGTTCTACCGAGGCATGTCTTTAAATGTATTTGTTTATTGGCATTAGGATAGAGAAACACTCACACAGAAAAGCATTATTTGGGACTACTACATTATACTATAAAAGAGAGTAAATTCAATTCAATTAAATAAATAAAATAAATTGAATAAATTCATGTTTTGGTTTGGTATTTGGATAGGTGTTCATTTTTCTATTTTCACATGTATATTTCAGTACTGGGCATATGTGTGTATGTGTATGCATGATTATGAACTTCTAAAATACATTACTCCCCTATATAGTTATATAAATTGAAGTTTTGCATGTTAAGAGACAGTAGAAACCACAAAAGGGGAAAAGTTATAGAAAGCATTTGGAATACCTAGGGCCTACAGAGGAGTCATATTAAAATGAAAAATAATAGCTGAATATTTTGGAAATGACACATGCAGTAAGAAATGTCTATATGAAATTAACAGGATATTGGCACAAAATTTAGAAAAAAATAACATGATTATGCCCACTATTGGTCTATGATATGCCTATAATAATAACACATTTTATTTATCATAGAAAATAAAATAATTATACAAATAGCACTCTCATTGCTTGATTTTAGTATTAGGTA
This sequence comes from Homo sapiens, assembly GCF_000001405.40. Classification (NCBI taxonomy): domain Eukaryota; kingdom Metazoa; phylum Chordata; class Mammalia; order Primates; family Hominidae; genus Homo; species Homo sapiens. The sequence goes on along the minus strand of NT_187600.1, from coordinate 1,181,075 downwards.
CTTCACTTGTTTTTTGATAGAAATGAACATTTATCATTTTTTGATGATAATTTCTATATTATCTTCTAAAATTAATGTCCATAATTATGATTGACATGTTATAATTTCCAGAAACCTATTTTATCAATTGTGACTTGTATTTTTATGATAGTATTTTTACATTCATATACATTTGATTCAGAATAATTGTAGATTAACAAAATAATCATAAAGTTAATACAGTGTGTTCCCATCTCTAAGTATCTCCTAAGATGAACATCCTCCACAATCATAAAACATGGTGTTAACACATTTACGTTGATAACTTTAAATATATTCAATACCAGGCCTTATTTGAGATTTACCATTTTTCCAATAATTTCTTTTGTAAACCAAAAATAAAATTCTAAGCTTCCTCATCCAACTAAATGAACTCAACTATCAGCCAAAGATATTTTAAAGTAAACTTTAAAACTTGTTCCAGCAATAATGGGAAAATGAGAGGTCAGATATGCCTCATTATGTCCTCCTGTCTTTGGAATTAAGGCACCTGTGGCCAGCATTAACACTAAAACAAAGACCCTTAGACTGACAAAACTATATTTTTTCTATAAACACTCTTCATAGTGAAAAGATACCAAATTACAATATGATTCTAGTATAGCATCACATGACAAACAGCAACGCCTAAAAATCTATTCTCTATGAAGTCTGCTACCTGGAGGTTTCATCTACATAATAACAATTATGAGCTCCACAATCTCGTATCTTAATCCAGATACTCATTTGTAATGAGTGTGTAACATTTCAACCAATTGCCAATCAGAAAATGTTTGAATTCACGTATGTCCTGGAAGCACTTGAGTAAGCTTATTCTGCCTTTCTGGACTGTGTAAATGGTATAGCTCACATGTGTTGATTCATATCTGTCTATACCTTCTGTACCACTAAAATGTATAAAATCAAGCTGTAACCAAACCATTTTGGATACGTGTACTCAGGAACTCCTGGAGTTGTGTCATGGGCCTTGGCCACTCATATATATCTCAGAATAAACTGTCTTAAATAATTCACGGTTTGTCTCTTTTAGTGGATACTGTCTTTTTCTTTTTTCTTTCTTTTTTTTTTTTTGTTTTTTGAGACAGGATCTCTCCTTGCTGTTGTTTTTGTATATTTGTTTGTTCCCAGATTCCAACAAGGTCATCACTTTGAATTGAGTTGTCATGTTCCTTTATTCTCTTCTGGCAAATCACAGTTTGTGTTTCTGAAGTTTTCTAGTTTAATATTTTATAGATAAAAATTTATCAAGTAGATTGATAGTCCTATTTAGGACACTTATATCTTTACTTATTTGAACACTGCTTGTCAATCACAATGAGTGTTGATTTCTCCGTCTTCTATACATGTTATTATATTTTCTGTTCCAAATCCATTCATTAAGTATTTTTAAATGTATTTTGGAAAGTTGATCCTATTACTTTATGTAATATTTCTCTTGAGTCCCAAAGGTCTTCTTTTTATGATTATTTTGTCTTAAATTAACATAGCTATTTAAGTTTTCTTTTGGTTTATATTTTCATGATATATATTTTTCCATCTTTATTTTTTCTATTTCTGAATATGTAAAGAAATTTTCTTGGAGATAAATAATAGTTGGGTGTTTTTTTTTAGTCAACTATGAAGAATTATTTTTTAATGATGTTACTCTTTTGTCCAATTATTCTTGTTTTAATTTGTATTTTTACAATAAAGTTTATTGTTTCTATTAACTTATTATTTAATCATTCTGTGACTAACATTTTATGGGTTACCATAAGGATAACAATAAAAAGTTTCTATAATTGAATTCTAATTCAAAAATTTAATTCCCATTCATATATACTACAGAGATATTATAACTCTATATATCTAATTCCTCTTTCCTATCCCATGTTTTTTATTTTCTGTTTGTATCTATACATGCTATAAAATGTAATATTGGCATTTTTATAATTGCTTTCCACACTTACATAATGAACAAAATACAAATGCAAAAACTGTATTTCAACCTCATTTTTCCATTGTTGACCATCTTCTTTGTGCATATTTTCAGGTGTTGGATCTATGTCACATGGCTATTCATCTAGAGACTCTGCTAAAATGTCTACGGAAAGATTCATGTGCTGGAAATAGGTTTTCTCAGGTTTTATTGGTCCGACAGAATATTTATTTGTCTTTGATTTATTGTCTCCAGAGACAATGTCAAGAATATGCTATATCTGCAAATGGGCGATCTGTAAACCAAGAACACATCAGTATATCACTGTGCAAGAGGAGCACATGAGGGAAAGCCAGTGTGTGCCCAGACATAAACCTCCAGGGACACATGGGCGAATTAGCTGCAGGGGGAGCTTGGGACCCACTGATGAGAGTCGACCCCAGAGGGAGGTGCACAGAAAGGTTAAGAACTGCTTTCCTGCCAGTATATTTTTAAAAAAACAAAACTTCCATCTGACAGTTTCTCCAGAGAACTTCCCTAATTTTAGCATTCTGTGCCTACCAATGCCATCACTAAATAGGTTTTTAAAAAATATTGTAATATGAGGACATATTCTCATATGGACAAAACGCAAATTGACATTTACAGAAATGAAAAGTCCTCAACCGTGGTCGCTAGAATTGGAGACCTGTAGCAGCTCAGTGGGACCTGTTGAGTCTTCTCCAATCACACTCAGAACAGAGACCTTAGTGCATCTCCCTGACTAGAATACCCTTTAGGTATCGAGATAACAGCCTAAAGATGGTAAATCATGAGAGTCTCAGATGTCCAGATGACAGACATGGGTCTATGGGAATAGTACTGTAACTGACAGTAACTAATTTTCCATACCGCCAGATGTCCTATTCAGGAGCAGCTACAGCAGTCATGCCTAGGTGTGAAGATCACACACTGACCTCACCCATGCTGTCTCTGGCCACTTCATCACAACCAATGCTTAATATTGGACGTGGATCTGCCAGTCCCCGGGGAATGGGTTGAATGGATAAAATGCATGGCTAGTGCTGCTGGAAACCCATTCCTACTGTGGCAAATGGCAGCATCTCTTTTAAAAGGCTAAATAATATTCTATTCTGTATACATACCACATTGCCATTATCCTTTTTGTTTGTTTGTTTGTTTGTTTGTTTGAGATGGAGATTCACTCACTCTGTCACCCAGGCTGGAGTGCAGTGGCGTGATTTCAGGTCACTGTAATCCCTGCCTTCTGGGCTCAAACAATTCTCCTGCTTCAGCCTCCGGAGTATCTGGGATTACAGGCATGCACCACCACTCCCGGTTAATTTTTGTATTTTTTGTAGAGATGGTGTTTCAACATGTTTGTCAGGCTGGTCTCAAACTGTGACCTCAAAAAATCAACCCACCTCAGTCTTTGAAAGTGCTCAGATTGCAGGCGTGAGCCATAGCATCCAGCCACTTTTCTGCATTTTTTTTTCATTGACACTTAGATTATTTCAATATCTTGGCTCTTGTGAATAGCGCTGCAGTAAACATAGGAGTGCAGATATCTCCACAAGGTGGTGATTTTTTCTATCTTGGGTATATTCCCAGAAGGGAGGTTGCTGGTCATACAGTAGTTCTAGTTCTAATTGATTTAAGATCATCTTACTGCTTTCCATAGTGGTGGAGATTCAGATTAGTGTAGCTATTATGAAAAACAGTTTCAATGTTGGGGAGTGACTGAAAAACAAATAATGCTTGATTATGGTTCTCCATGAGAGTCTCTAATAAACCTAATGGAAGTTCAGAAAGTTTCCTCACCTTGTTAAGAAAACATTTGTTTTGCTCATAATTCTCTTTCAGCCCAGAGTTGGCAGTATGTAGAATGGAGGCTGTTGGCTCGTTTAAGGATTCTGAAGCAAAGAACAGTAATGAGAGATGACAATAGAGAAAAAGAGAGAGAAGGAGATGCTGAATCATCATGGACTCATTCCACCTGCAAGCCTTTCACTGTAAAGCTCTATTGCTAAGGATCCTGAGGATTCTATACTCCCATGAATGCATAATCAGGATCCCTCAATTCAAATTTTATTGGCAGAGACACACTGGGACCCCTCTAGGATATGTGCCCTACATTACTGGCTCAACATGCCGCACTGAGAATCCTGCATTAACTGGCTTTATTTGTAGTGGTGAGTAAAGTTCACAGTTTTCAGTCATCCATGAAGGGGAGATTTTTTTTTTGGTTCATATAATTTTTGCAGAAATTCAGGTATTAGTGAAAACCAATAAGATTGAGGATTTCTGGATATTTTAGCAACACTAGGGATGATGGCCATTTTGTAGAAAAATTTACATTTTTCAAACTGACCTACATGTTAGGCTGACATAAAAAAATCCAACTACACAGCAATATTATGGCAACACTTCAATACACTTGGTGGTGAAATACCTCAGAAATGAAATGTTACACAGATTAATTGAGTTAATGAAACTGTTCTGAACTATGATAAACATTTGTTTGCACCCAGATTTGCTTGAATTCAATTTGATTATTATATTCAGCTGCTGCCCTAACTTATTTGAATGAGTAAGTTACTATTTAAATGACCCTGTCTGTTTGATTTGTTATATATACATCTGAATTAAAGAACTTAAAGGACAGGTTTGTGCTATTATTAGAAAGAGATATTCTGGGGGGCCCTTGTTTGCTCCAGGAACCTCCACATTTTTAACTTAGAATTAATATAAATTCCTTGTGAATTGGGTCAGTCTTCAAGAGACCTAATCTCTAAAACATATACCCAGAACCTTCTCCAGACAGACCATCCAGAGGAAGAATCTTTCCAGTAATTTATCTCCATGGTGGAAGGTCCTTCATTGTCATGCAGAACCCTCTGCCCAGGCTTCCTTTATTATGCAAATAATTAATATTAGCCAGTAGGGTAAGATTAAACAAAAATAGACCGGAGATGCTGCAGACAGGGAAGGAAGTAATAGACCAAAATCAGCTTTATTAATGGAGACTGCTTTTAAAGGTCACAGCCAAGAAATGGAAGAGGATAAAATCAATGAGATGAAATTGTAAGAAACTTTGTCCAGTTCAATCAAGCCATCAGCAACCAGATAGCTTCAGTGGACATTATGTGTATTACAACATGGCTAAAGATTCTAGATTACACAAGGATTTTCTCTATAGTTTGCATATTGACAAAGTGGAAGATGGCATGGGAGATCTGGTGGCAAACACTTAAGGTGCAATAATAGCTATTTTTCCTATATCATGACAATACATGGCATGCCTCTATATTCATTTCATTCCAAAGAAGTCCTTCAGAAGGTCAAGTAAATGGAGAATCTTACATGCATGGCCCAATGCAGTCTCCAAGAAGTGATTTTGAATGTACAGCTACACCAGTTACTGCAATGCTGTGTCTGACCTTCCCAGCATCTAAGATATTCATGAGTATCAAGGGGGAGATGGGTCTAGGTGAAAGAAAAGGAAGTAGTCATTCTTGAGAAGAATGGTATGGCCAAGATAAGCCTGAACTCTCTATCTTCTTCCATTTGCTGCAGCTTCTTATTGCCCGATTGAGGTCACTCGCCCATGGTGGTAATGACATCAGCAATGCAGTACATTCTCTGGTGGCTTTGTATCTGGTTTATAATGTGGGAGATGTTTCCTCAAGAGTGGTGACGCCAGTATGGCTTCTGCTCTCTGGTGGTGATGGCATCTGCATTAGCCTAGGGGTTTGGAGAAAGAGAGTTATTCAGACCATGGGGAAGAATCTGACACTGTCACACCGCCTGGTGCCTTCAGTACTGGACTGGCTCCTGCCCTCATTGGTGATTGCATCAAATATTGGCCTCCTCATCAGTACAACACATTGTAACAGTCTTCTTTGTACCTGGCTTTAATCCAAGAAAGTTGTTGACTTATGGCTCTTTCATTATATTGTATGGCCTGGTTTGTCACAATCTTTATTTCTGGAATTATCAGTGCTGCCATCTTGGCTGACTTCAAGTATGTCATCCTCACAGTTTGAAGCTGCTTGACATTAACATTTTTGTCAATGTTTGGGACTACCTTACATATTCCGGCTCTCTGAAAGAATGATTAGCGTTAGGGAAGGCTGACACTAAATTTGGGAGCCAGAGAAGGAAAGTGTTACTGTGCTACAGTTGTTTTGTGATAAATATGGTTAGGTTAAAAATGAGCTATGTAATGTAGCCAGGTTTCCACTGAGTTCCACTTTGCTTCTTGGCTGTCTATTCCTGTGCAAGTTTCTATATATTTTGTATCAGGCTTCAATTCCATTATGTTTTAAATGTTGTCTCTAAAGATAAACAAAGATTTTTTAAAACTACCAAACATGCAGCCATTTGACAGAGTGTGCGCTGCATTTTTAGTCTCACCATCTTCTGCCCTAACAAGCACCGAATCTAACAACACAAATATCATGGAAGCTTTCCTTGGAGTAGCTCCTGTAATTAGAATCATTGGTATTCTGCCCTCCTGTCAGTGGTGGAACGTTCTATTGGCACATGTGGAAACCTCTTAGAGGGATGAGTTTCTTTGAACACAATAAAATTTTAAGTTAGGAATAACTTATTTGAAAGCAATTCATTGAAGGTTATTGCTAAGAAGAAGTTAGAAGCAGTCTTTTGGCAGTCATTTCTTCAAGATGTATGGCAGCGTAGGATGGATATATGAAGTGGAATAGGAACTTGGGCTAGTTAAATGGAATAGCCTCCAATGTTAATCTGTTTACCTTTTAACTGAATGAAAAAGCCTATAGTTGTAAGAAAAGAAAAAACAATACAGTGCTCCCCTGTCCCACACATTACCTTCTCATCAGTATAATTAATCTACATTGAAGATGAGTGTGGTAATGCAGAGACTCTATTTAGGGAGGAGAACATAGGGAAATGCAAAGACAATGGGAGAAAAAAGTCAAGGACAGTAGAGCAATTCGAAGCCTCTGATACCAATAGCTTGAGGACCAAGGTCATGACTCAACTTTTGGTGGACACAGAGTCACTTCTCTTAGGGAAACTGCAGTATTCTAAGGTGACAATATGCAAACATGATGAATGTACACTTGCTACATCTCCAATTGTGTACTGTTTTCCTTACTTCTGTTTGAAGAAGGGAGTCGTATACTCAGGTCTAGTATCAGTGTAGGGGGTGCTCCCTATTTGCAAGATACTAGAAAAAAATGGTAAGTTAGAGGCCCATTGTTATAAAAATCTACTAGCTCCGTGTCAGTGTGTGTGTGTGTGTCTGTGTGAATGTGTGTGTTATTGAAACAGAAGACATGGAGTGGGCATTGATCCACAAGCATAGATACCTACAGGCACTCTTAGATGTAATATTTAACTGCAGGAGTCTAAATAAAATAAAGGATTCGCCAAAAGTCTTGAAAATTTTGGTGCTGACTATGTGTCCACTGATTCAATGCATCCTGAGTTCCAGGGAAGGGAATCCCCAATTCTTTCATAGAGTTGACTGGGTCTCCTAAGGTCAATGTTTTCAAACGATGGTGTCAGTAACATATGGTGTCACTGAAAGAGCATTTTAAACTAGGGCATGGCCACTTCCTATAGCCCTAGAGACACTGAGAGGTAAATGCCCTGTGAGCCCAGATGGAAACCTCCATGCAGGGCAGAGGCAGTGCTGCAGGGGGCGCCCAGGACCCACCCAGAACAGGCTCCAGCCCCAGAGCTGGTGCACAGGAGGCTGCAGAGGGAGTCTCTCACAAGGACTGAGTGTTACTTTACTGAAAACCAAAAAATTATAACATGCTAAATAAGAATTTTATGAGGACTATTTATGTATATTTAAATACCCTAATGTATTTAGAAATAAATAAATCAATAATTCAGTGAGAACCACATTTAAAAGGCAAAATTATTACTGCTTTGAGATATTTTACTAGTAAAAAGATAAAGAACAAGAATGGTTTTATTAAATAAAAATGTACACATTTCAGAGACACACTGGTCCCGAGAGTAAGACTGCGGAGAGCAAATCCTGGAAAGGGCGGAGGCTGTCCATGTGCCATGGGAACTTGGGCTCACGCTGAGAACCATGTCCGGTGTGAGTCAGCTTCTTAGCGGAGAAATTCTCCCTTCACAAATTTCCGGGCATATAAAGGGAAACATGTCATTAAATAAGAATGAAGATTTGTACCTCAGCATCCCACAGTTGTGTTGTCCATGTGAGATCTATTTTCTCTTTCTCGTGCTGGATCAGGTGTAATGCTATGAAGTAGTAGTCCTCATGAATACGCAAATCACCTGAGGTGAACACTACAGATAACTCTGTGCCCTGAGAGCATCACCCAATAACCACATCCCTCCTCTAGAGAAGCCCCTGAGAGCACAGCTCCTCACCATGGAGTGGACTTGGAGGATCCTAATTTTGGTGGTCGTAGCTGCAGGTAGGATAATTCTCAGTCCCCAGGACTAAGGTGACTGGGTCCAGTCAAAGGGGGTTTTATCCACTCCCGTGTCCTCTCCACAGGTGCCCAGTCCCAGGTGCAGCTGGTGCAGTCTGGGGATGAGATGAAGAAGGCTGGGGCATCAGTGAAAGTCTCCTGCAAGACTTGTGGATACACCTACCTTCACCAGTTACTCTATGCACTAGGTGCGCCAGGCCCATGCACAAGGGCTTGAGTGGATGGGAAGGATGTGCCCTAGTGATGGCAGCATAAGCTACGCAGAGAAGTTCCAGGGCAGAGTCACCATGACCAGGGACACATCCACGAGCACAGCCTACATGGAGCTGAGCAGCCTGAGATCTGAAGACACGGCCATGTATTACTGTGGGAGAGACACAGTGTGAAAACTCATATCCTGAGAGTGTCAGTAACCCTGAGGGAGGAAGCAGCTGTCCCAGTTTTCAGGATATGACAGGATTTATGGGGTTTAATGTTGTTTAGAAAATAGGTTATATAATTGAGGAAAAGAAGAAATAGAAAGATATATGCATTCTAATTATATAAGAAATATTCTTTTCAAATCTCACCCTATAAGCAAAATTAACAGAGTGGGAAAAGCAGCAATCAATCAAGCTGAAACAAACATTCCCATGGAGGATTTGTGGGGGCAGACGTTTTAAAATTGAATGGGTAAATCATTTAGGGCAAGATTGCTTGATCCAATACTAAGACTAAATGTAATTTCTGAGAAACTGCCTATCTTTTTATATTAAATTTATTATAAAGCAGTTTTAGGGTTACAGCAGATGTAAAAAGTAGAAACAGAGAGCTCCCATGTACCCCTGCCCAACACATACACAGCCCTCCCCATGATCAGCTCCCTGAAACAGAGTCCTAACTGCGTTATGTGGGATGAACCTACATGGACACACTAGTTCTTTCCTTTCCTGGTGGTCCCCCGGTATAACAAACATAAATTATTTTGAAGCGCCACGGGTTCTTCAAGTGGGTTACTGGGAATGATGCCAGTTAGAGGGAAAGTGGGTGGGGCCATTCCTTTTTGCACTCTTTCTTCAGGAATCCATAAAATGCACATTGACTTAGAGCTCATCTGACTCCTGGTTTTCTATGCCCCTTCCCAGAGGGTAAGTTCTCCAAGCGTGGGAGGAAGGTCCATTTCACTAAAAGGCCAGAAGCTTCTGGTGAATTCCATAATGCACAACCTTTTTTGAGAAGTGGAGACTTTGGACATGAGGGATTTCATGTATGATGCCCTGGAGTTGGATTAAATACAGCGTAAGCTCTTGGGGGTATTTCTGGAGGAGGCCCTTTCTGCAGGAAATTAGAATACATGCAGGGGATCCAGGCAGGAAGAATCACTTCCTTTGACATCGTTTGGCACCTGAAGGAAGCCCTCTCAGCATTGGGCACTGGTCCCACTTGCTGGCTGCACTTTAGCCAGAGGCCTGCGCCTGATCATTCTTGCAGTGGGAGAGCCTTACTGGGGTCACAGGTTATAAAAATGCCTGTCACTCTCCAGCTGAGCAAGTCCATATGCGTGCTTGTCAGTGTCAACCCCATGATGAGTGCACTCTGGAAGGTGACAATCTGCACACAAACCTCCTCCCACTAGTTACCCACTACTATACACTACTTTAAAAATTAATACTTATAATTATATAATATAATATATATTATATAACTATATAAAAATGATTATGATGATGACATTTGGCTGTTGCAATTTCTTTAGGATCTCTGCATCTCTCTTCACTAGACATGTAAGTCTTCAATTTCTTGTCCCTGTGACACGTTGCCCAGTGTTTGAAGTCAAAGTTGTGCCGAGTACCTGAGTATGTCCTCAGAGAAGATCTCAGCAATGGTTGATTGTTCTACAGGGACTTTTCCAGGAGACCTGTCCCAGGGAGTCATGAGGTTCCTCTGGAAATACTAGCCCCTGCAGGAGATGAGACGGAAGCAGGAGAATCAAGAGCAGGTGACAACATTGTCAGCAGGAGGCTCCAGATGCTTTCCAGACACAGTGAACCTTCACCCACTTGCCACACTGCACAGGGAGTTTGCAGGGGCACAATGAGGTGCCTGTCTGTGGGATGTTGGGGGACAAAGTGAAAACCTGAGCTCAGCATCCAGGAAAGTATGAACTCCAGCCCTGATAATATGTAGCCTGTGTTTTCTTTCCTTCTACGTGAACACTTTGCCTTATTGTTAAGAACAGAGGATTCTAGCTCTAAGTGCACGGATTGCAGACAGCTATGACTTTCCTCCGGGCCAGGCTCCTCTTAATGTACTTCTTGGACTTATTTGTTGATGAAGGTTGGTTCCATTAAATACCAAAACAGGGTTCATATTAAAGAAAAATGAAAGAGTGACAGGTAGATTAAACCCGAGCATCCAGTTCCAGTGATTCTTTGACCCTGCCTTCCCAAAAATCTCCGATATGAACAATGACAATGCCCTCCATGGTTAGATTATATTATAAACTAGATTGAGCTAGAGTGTTTGGTGTATTAAGTCACTATTTTTTTTAGCTTCCCTGTTAGTTTTTTGTTTGTGTGTTAGCATTTACTTTAAAATTCTATTAATCAGTTCTCTAGTAGGTAGAAATTCATCTGAGAGTTTCTTCTCTTGTTGTCCACTTTGATAAGATTTCCAGAAGACATAAGAACCCTTTTTGTTTGCAAAAATATTCCAAAGTTTTACACTAACTAGGAACATATATACTTAATTCTAATTTTTAATTTGTTTAAAAGCTCTAATAAGTGCACTGTTTTCTGCCTTTTGAGTTAATTTCACAACACATAGGAGAATATATCCTAAATGAAAGTTTGTGCTAATAATACAAATTATTGGTAAATAACCTCTGTTTTAATTATTGAGGTATTATCCATTAATATATAATCTTAAATTGATGTTCTCAATGGGACTCTTACCTAAAGAATATACAAAATATTTTCCTGATCTTGACATAAAATAGATGTGAACACATTCTTAGTATTCAGCCATGTCTCCTGTCTATCACATTATGAACCACATGCTAACTTTGATTTACTTGGGACTTGTTCTAATTTCAAACTAGTTATTTTTTTATCTTCATGCAGCTGGATTATTATGTGTGGCTATTTTATCAGAGAATGATAAAGACAATTTTAACAATTTTCACTGCAGGCACGTCTAGGCAAGCCCCCTGTGCACAATGACCTTCGTGGGTTGGACATTCTATGGGGACTCTCCCCTGTCTGCCTAGGAGAGTTATCTGCCTCCTCCCTCTATCATTTTCCTCTTTGAATAAGCGCATCTAACTGCCGTTAGAATACAGACAAAGGCCAACCTTAACTGCTCCCAGCTGACAGGGGATGCTGTTTTGGGAAGATCTCCCTTGAGGTCTGTCTAAGGGACCTAGTAAAAGGGAGCCATTATCCCAGGCTTCACTTGGATGACCATTTGGAGTTGATGCCTGAAGGTGAGAAGAGACAAACCAGGTTATTAGAAGACATGTATCAAAACCAAACAAGGTGGTAAGGACAGTTTGAAAAAAAATTCCAAGGCTGCTGACACACCCAGATAACTGGCGGCTGTAGTTATGCCTGCTAAGATTTGGGTGCATGGGGCTTGGCTTTCGTTAGCTCCCTAGGACTTATTTTCCCAAACAAAGAAACCTCCGGGTTAGGGGGACCCTATTTATTCCAGTCACCTGGCATGATTTGCAGGATAATTGCTCAGAATTAAAATATTCGTCCAGATGTTTATATAGCCCATGCCTGTGTTTCTTCTGAGCTGCAGCCAGAGATCATTGGTTCGTTCACAGCGATAAGCAGAGTTAGTCTAAAATGGAGGCAAATACTTAAAACAATTGAAGAGACTGTAATTTAAAGACAAATGTATGATATGTTTTGAAACATAATTTTTCTCTCTCCAGTTCTGATTTTTGTCAGAAACTAATCATTATAGGACTGAGTGATTTGCAAAATAAACTTTAGTCTTGTGGTTGGTCTGATCATTTGCATAAAGTGGAGCAATAATAATTAATAATAATTCTGTAGGAAAAGCCTGCAAGCACCAGGAGCTTCACAGTCTAACAGTATGAGCACATGCATCCTCCAGCAACTCACTGAATATTTTCAAGTCAGCTGGTTCTTAGCTTAAATAACATCCAGTTGGTATCTGTCCCAGGAACACTAATATATGGTTCTCTCTGCAGGCCCCTCTCGCCACAGATTTAAGGTTTATTTTTTTCCTCTGTGATATCAACTCAGATATGTTGAAGGTTTTTCCCACATTTGTGGTTTTTCAGGTTTGTTGTTAATAAGGTCAGAATAAGATCATAGTTTACTCATTTTTTTACATTCCCATGCTGAGTAGCTACTTTTCTCTATAAAATCCATTAGCTGAGAGAAAAAATAACATTTTCCTAACGGTGAACAATTAAATAGTTTGACATATATTTGTGTACCAGTATATAATGCAGCTTCGAATCAAGGTGTGCCTCAATCATAAAAAACATGGCTAAATTCTCAAAGAATTGTGCTGAGTGAAAGAAGCTAAGGAATTAAGAGTAAATTTTATATAATTCATTGTAGAAATATTAGAAGATGCCACTACCATAAATTAAAATGAAGAAGACTTAAATTTTTCTGAGAAAATGGTGTTGGGAATGATGCGGATGTGATTTAAGTTTCAGAGGAATAAGGAAAAAGATTTAGGGATTAATTTAATTATTCAAAAGTTGATTGAAGTGCCGAGTGAATGGCTGCAAACATAGCTCTACATTTTTCAAATCATTCCCTATAAATCTGAATTAATTATTTATTTATTATACTTGAATAAAGCAATAACGAAGAAATAAATGAATATTTTTGCTAAAATGGAGCAATAAAAAGACTGATATTGACAGAAGAAATATGACTGACTTCTGAAAACACACATGAACCATGGTTCTCTCTGCATATTTAGGTGAATTACAGAAAGTTGTCATAACAGATGGGGAATCCTGCAGACTTCACTAGGCATGGTCCACGCTGCCCTGGAGTTGTCTCAGGGGAGCTGCCTCCTCCGGTGATTAGAGCACAGGCCCAGATAATAGGATTACATTTTTTTAGATGTGTAAACTTAGACGCACTGCACAGCTGCTGTATTCTCTATGTAAATTATCTTCTGTAAAATACAACATTAAAGGCTGCATTAAATATATTGTGTAAATATGTAAAAATAAAATCAGATTATGAGAGCTAAATGTTAATCAAGGCACAATCACATAATATAAAATTATATTTTCCTGAATGATGGAATTACTACCAATCTCCCCCAGGAGACTTCATCTGCACTGGGCCCGGCCTCTCCTCAGATGTCCCATCACAGAGCTTGCTATATAATGGGGGACATGCAAATAGGGCCCTCCCTCTGCTGATGAAAACCAGCCCAGCCCTGACCCTGCAGCTCTGGGAGAGGAGCCCAGCACTGGGATTCCGAGGTGTTTCCATTCAGTGATCTGCACTGAACACAGAGGACTCGCCATGGAGTTTGGGCTGAGCTGGGTTTTCCTTGTTGCTATTTTAAAAGGTGATTCATGGAGAACTAGAGATATTGAGTGTGAGTGAACACGAGTGAGAGAAACAGTGGATATGTGTGGCAGTTTCTAACCAATGTCTCTGTGTTTGCAGGTGTCCAGTGTGAGGTGCAGCTGGTGGAGTCTGGAGGAGGCTTGATCCAGCCTGGGGGGTCCCTGAGACTCTCCTGTGCAGCCTCTGGGTTCACCGTCAGTAGCAACTACATGAGCTGGGTCCGCCAGGCTCCAGGGAAGGGGCTGGAGTGGGTCTCAGTTATTTATAGCTGTGGTAGCACATACTACGCAGACTCCGTGAAGGGCCGATTCACCATCTCCAGAGACAATTCCAAGAACACGCTGTATCTTCAAATGAACAGCCTGAGAGCTGAGGACACGGCTGTGTATTACTGTGCGAGAGACACAGTGAGGGGAGGCCATTGTGCGCCCAGACACAAACCTCCCTGCAGGAACGCTGGGGGAATCAGCGGCAGGGGGCGCTCAGGAGCCACTGATCAGAGTCAGCCCCGGAGGCAGGTGCAGGTGGAGGCTGTTTCCTGTCAGGATGTGGGACTTCATCTTCTTCCAACAGTTTCTCTAATGAACCTCTCTAATTTTAGAATTCTGTGGTTCCTAATGTCATCTCTACATATTTTCAAAAGATCATTTTAACATGAGGACATAACCTCTCATGCACCAAATGCACATTGATGCTTACAAAGATGAAAAGTTCTCAACCATTGTGACCAGGATCGCAGTCCTGAGGAAGCTCACGGGTGTCTGATGAGTCTCCTCCATTCAGGCCCAGGACAGAAACCTCAGAGGGATTCCTGGACCAGAACGGCAGGGATTCTGATCACAGCCAATAGAGAGGCTGGGCCAGGGTCAGTGTCCTGTAGAAGCTCACAGGGTTCAAGTCTGACCCTTCTCCTGACCCTAAAGCCAATGAGCATCAGCACTGATCTGGTGCTGCTTTTGCTCCCAATACATGTTCTTTCTTTGGAGTGTTTGTTCTCCCTTTTTTATTTGCTTTTCTTTCTTCCTGAAAAAGAAACACATGGTCTCTGTGATCTACACTCCAGGGCTCAAGGCATTTTCTTAGAACTCAGGCAAGGCTCAGGCTTGGCTACTCCAGCCACGTGGGAGAGGCTGACGGGATTTCCTTCTCTCTCCATATTCTCAGGGCCCTCCTCTGTGTTGTGTGTAGACTCATCTGGGAATGCAATTGGCTGTTAGTAGTGAAGGGGATGAACTCATTTGATCAAAATGGGATGTGGATGTGGAATTAACCCTGTTCTATGCACACTGTCAGAGTCATCTTCTTCAGAAGTAGTGTTAGAAAGAGCTTGTGAAATTTATCGGCAACAAAATGGATCCCCTTGTGTTAAAACCCTAATGAATGAAGCTGGGGAAGGCCATGAAGGAGGGTTCTAACACATATTCCTGATAAGATGAACTGTCATAAATAGACTCTGCACAGCCACAACCTTTTACACGGAGACCACCACAGCCTTAAAAGCTTTATTTCTCCAAGTAAATCTGCCCTGCAACTGCCTGTTCAACCTTACACCGCTGTCTCAAAATAGCTGCTGTCACCCTCCTCATTTTTCCTTAATTCTCTTTTTTATTATTTTTTAAATTATACTTTAAGTTCTAGGGTACATGTGCTCAAAGTGCAGGTTTGTTACATATGTATACATGTGCCATGTTGGTTTGCTGCCCCCATTAACTCATCATTTACATTAGGTATTTCTCCTAATGCTATCCCTCCCCCTTCCCGCCACCCCATGACAGGCCCCGGTGTGTGATGTTTCCCACCCTGTGTCCACATGTTCTCCTTAATTTTTTATCTTCCTTTTCCTACCTGAATGTACCCATACATATTTTAATTGAAATGCACATCCTGGAAAAAATATTATTATACTTTAGAGTCTCTTTCTGTCTGTTATTCAGGTTGACAAGCTGCAGACGGACATGCCACATTTCTGTGAGACATAGAGGATGACAGTTTTTGGAGATGTCTAGGAATCTCCAATGTCCATAAGATCAGCCATCAATAAATGCAGACTGGAGGTCCCAGAGAGAAGTGAAGCTGCTGAATCGCCGTGGAATTTCATTTTCTCCAGTTCTGCTCTGATGGAATCAGGCCCACCAATTTTATCAATGACAATCTACCTAACTTAGAGTCAATTGATAACAGTATTAATATCATCTATTAAGTAAATTCATAACTATATATATAGTAAGAGAGGGAGAGAGAGAGACAGAGTCTCGCTCTGTTACCCAGGGTGGAGTGCAATGTCATGATCTTGGCTCACTGCAACCTCTGTCTCCGGAGTTCAAGCAGTTCTCCTGTCTCAGCCTCCTCCCAGTATCTGGAAATACAGGCACACACCACCATATCCGGCTAATTTTTGTATTTTTAGTAGAGACAGTGTTTCACCACATTGGTCAGGCTGGTCTCAAACTACTGACCTCAGGTGATCCACCCGCCTCAGCCTCCCAAAGTGCTGGGATTACAGGTGCAGGCCACCAAGTCCGGCTAATTTTTGTATTTTTAGTAGAGATGGGGTTTCACAATATTGGTCTGGCTGGTCTCAAACTCATGATCTCAGCCTCCCAAAGTGCTGGGATTACAGATGTGAGCTACTGTGCCCGGCCAACATCACCTATATTAATGTTGGATTGAATAACTACAAAGTCTACCCTAACCAAGTGTACCATCAAACTTACCATTACCCAGAGGGAAGAATCTTTAACATGAGATCGATTTCTTAAGTGTTTTAAGGTGCAAAACTGACCACTGTACAATCACCCAATTATGATTTTGCTAATGAGTTGTAGAAGTTGCATGTACATTTTGGATATTAACACTTTTTCAGATGCACAGCTTATAATTATATTCTCTCTTTCTGTGGGTTGGAAATTTTTTCCATGCTTTGCAGCATCTTTTTGCTGTGATGTAGTTCTGCTTGTTCAATTCTGCTTTTATTGTCTGTGCCTTTAATTTGAAATATAGGAAATCATTCTTAATATTATTTTCTGGGTGGGGGAAATTTTACAATTGCAAGCCATACGTTTAAGTATTTCGCCCATTTAGAGTAAATTTTGGTATTTAATCTAAACTAAAATTCTTAATTCTTTGCATGTGTAGATTCAGTTTTTCTAACACCCTCTTAGGGAGAGACTTTGATTCATCCATTGTATATTGTTAGTTCTCATGCTGAAAATCAGTTTGCTGTAGATATATTAGTTTATTTCTGAGCTCTCTCTATATATTAATGCCAATACCATCCTGTTATTATTTATGGATCAAAATGTGCATATTTGTGAATTTCAAAATGTTGTTCAGAACTTGTGCATGCCAACAACTGTGTTTCTCCTGCACTCTTGGGCTAGTGAAGCTCTCACAGACCCTCTCTCTCACCTGTGCTGTCTCTGCATTCTCCATCACAACCAGTGCTTCCTGCTGGAGCTGCATCCATCACCCCCCGCAAGGAAGGGACTGGAGCGAATCAGGTGCACAGGTCATGAGGGAGTGCACATTCCAACCCACTCCTCAAGAGTCCAGTCACTATCTCCAGATCCACATCCAAAAAACAGTGTTTCCTGTAGCTGAGCTACCTGAGCAACAAGTACACAACCATGAATTTTAATACAAAAGACACAACGAGGGGAAGTCATTGTGAGCCCAGATACAAACCTCCCTGCAGGGGAGCTCAGAAAGAGCAGGAGGCACTCAGGACACCAGGGAACACTCTGGACACATCAAGGCAGGTGCAATGGGGGGACAAGGGGCTGGAGATGGGGTTTGGCATCACCATCGTATTTCACCACTGGACACCCACCACCGTGTTTATTCTCATGTACCTGATTCTGTGTATTATTAGAAAATGGCATTTATATAAATATATAGCCATATGTAGGTGCATCAAGTTGTCCTCTCCATCGTATGTGGACCTTTCCACTAAGACTCTGAGTCCCTGTATTTATATGAGCACCTCATAAATTATGGTCAATTTTGTGGGATCTCTATCTTTTCTTTCTCCCTTCTTCCCTCCTTCTCTCTCACTCACAAACTCACACACACGCAAAATTCTACAACTTCAGTTACGTGATGTGTTGAAGACAGTTTATAATGTGCAGCTTTTCCAGTTTAGCTGATGTTCATATTGCTGTGAGAATAGGAACATTGTGTTTCTCAGCTGTGTATTTCTCTAAGGTAGCAGCAACTTTTTTTTTTAATTTGACATTTTTTAAAAATTTTATTATTATTATACTTTAAGTTTTAGGGTACATGTGCACAAAGTGCAGGTTTGTTACATATATATACATGTGCCATGTTGGTGTGCTGCACCCATTAACTCGTCATTTAGCATTAGGTATATCTCCTAATGCATTTTTTTAAATACCCAGATACTGAAAGCAATCCAAATATCAATCAGCAGCTTAATCATAAACAAATTGTGGTAAATTCATTCCCTGGAAAATCACCCACTGTTACATTCTGGTACCGCTGGATACGTTCAACAGCAAAGGTAAAGTCACAAGTACATATGATGAGTCAAATAAGACAAATAAATACAAGTACACACATACAATTCCTCTTTTATAAATTCTATAAAATTAATACCAATCTAAAGTTACATAAAGAAAACCAGTAGTTGACTCTGGGTGTGGTGTGAGAAGGAAAGGTGTAGGAACAAGAAATTACAGGAAAACAAGAGGAAATTTTGAGGGCACTTGAGTTTTTTCTGTGTTGAGAAAGGTAATGGTTATGTCACTATTTGTCAAATTGTGCACATTATGGGATGGCTATTATTTGCTAATTTCACCTCATTAAAATATGCCAAATTTAAACACATATAATTTGGTAGAAAATAAGTTAGACAGAGATGAATAAAATATATGAGAAATAAAAAAAGAAAATCACAGAACGTTGGCATAAGGACTTCACTCATCAAACTGAAGAAATTTTAAATTTCTCAACACAGAATTAAAGATTTAATTAAAGATATATGAGAAATCAAAGACTCCTGGATATATACATGAATAAACCCTAAGCCTACCTATATTTTTAGGGAAACACTAGAATACAACAAAATAATGTCATGAATTCATTACATAATGGGCGTTAATCAAACCCCACCAGGCATGTCCAGCTGTGTCCTGGGGTTGATTCAGGGAACAGGTGTGTCCTGTGGTTAGGAGAAGTGGCAACAAGCTCACAGCATCTGTTCTAGTTGACACCATAAAAAGGCCAAGAGATCACAACCAAAATGTAGTGTGGATGTCACATCTGTGAGTGCCGCACACTCCCCCATGTGAATACGAAAAGGTTGATTACCTCTTGAGGTGTCTGCTGAGAGTAGAGCTGGTCTCTCAGGAATGTCCAAAATGGCTCGATAGAGCAAGAAAGGAGACTGGCTCAGGTTGCTATACCAGTTTGGTGGTGGAGGCAGAGTGAGGGTTCTCACTCACAGAAATGGGTTTGTGGGGTTTGAACCTCCAAATGGCATCAAATGAGGGAGTTCTTGTGATTCCTAACTAGATCCACCTCGTGTCGGAAAGAAAGGAGATGATGGAGGAATGAGCCTTAAGTTATCAGCAGTCAGACATCAAAACAAGTCTGATGACTTATTCTATGTAGCAACTATAAATAAATGAATAAAAATAGATCATAATGAATTATTCATAATAAATGAATAAAAATATGAATAAAAATAGATCAGTGTCCAATATGGGTGGACAAAAACCAGTCTACACAAAACAAGAAGACTGCTTATAAGAATAAGCAAATCATAATGAAAAGGAGGAAAATGAGGTGAAAGGCACGGGGCAGGGGATTACACAAGGGTCCTGTTCCAATGTCTTGTGTGGAGACTTTTCATTACCTAAAATCATCCGCTTGTTCTGAATGTCTTAGGTGAGCTGTCTGCTCCAAAACATCAGAAGCGCCAGAGGATTCATGAGGATATTCAGTTTAATATCTTCTATTTAAGGTGCCTTACAATAGTGTAAAATTCTTAATTATTATTATTATAATAAGAGATAGGGTCTCACTGTGTCACACAGGTTGGAGTGCAGTGGCACAACCATAGCTCACTGTAACCTTGAACCTCTGGCTCACACAATCCTTCTTTATAAGCCTCCTGAGTAGTGAGGACATGAGACCAAGCTGATTTTTTTTTAATTCTTTCATAGAAGTGGGGTCTCTCTATGTTATCCAGGCTGGTCTTGACTACTAGTCTTATGTGATTCCCCTGGTTTTGCTTCTCAAAGTGGTAGAATTATAGACATGAGCCACGATATTCGGTCTGAACTGATTCTTTAGTTGCAAAATATCAACCCAAGAATTGACTCCCTTAATTTTTTTCTGCAGTGTTTTGGTTAATATTGCCTGATAAAATTTATTCTAATTTGTTTCAACAGCAGAATTCTTCCTGACGTTTTTTCCAATATATGTATTTTCATGGTTGAAGATCACAAAATACTGTTAAAACATGACATAAAAAGGCAACCTTAAACTTTTGGTGATTGGAGTTAGTATAATACAAAAATTACGTCCAATATTGTGTAACACACACATGCAAAAAGACGAAGGTGAGCAATGAGGGTAAACTTTCTAAATGTATGAATCTTCCAGCTCCCAAGTCATAGGATAGTAACTGATGTGGCCTGAGGGAGGTACCAGAGTGACACAGTGCTAGTGGCATAACTCTTGGCCAAGAGACTTTCAATATTTTATTAAAGTTTTTATATTTTTTTAATTTAATGATGCCATTTTTTTCAACATATTCAGAATATTGTGAGTGGGATTGATTCTGGATGATATGAACAATGGGAATGCCTTCTATGTTTAGATAATATTAAGGACCAGGTTGAGATTGAAAGTTTGTAGAAATGATGCACCATAACATTATTCTAGTTTCCATACTAGGTTTTTTCTCTTTGCTTGCATTTCATTTCAAATTTATATGTCAGATATCTAGAATGTAATAATTTATTTAAAAATTTCTTTTCTTGTAGTCCATTTTGATGGGGCTTCCAGAAGATTTGAAAACCTCTTCTGCCTGCAGGACATTTTAAAATTCTGCACTACAGTAAAACATCTGTATTTAATCATGGTCTTCGGTTTATTGACAAGCTCTAGTAAGTGCAATAACTTCTGCCTTCTCGGCTGATTTTACATCAGATAGAGGAATTTATCTTAAATGAAAGTTTGTACTAGCAATATAAATTATGAGTTAATAACCACCACCTTTATTATTTAGGTGTTATTCATCAAGAAATAATGTTAAATCAAGGCTCTCAACGGGAATATTATCTAAGGGATGCACAAAATGTTTTGCTAATCTAGATAAAATAGATGTGAACACACTCTTAGTATCCAGTCATGTCTCCTGTCTGTCACATTATTAACCACACGGTAACTTTGACTTCACTTCGGACTCGTTCTAATTTTCAAATTCGTTACATATTAAGCTTAATGTCTCTAGACTATTCTAGCAGAGTGAAGAAAGACAAGCTAGACTGACAAACAACCTAGGATGACAAACTTCTTGTCACTCTCTATAAGAACTTGCTTCTCCCTGAACTTCAGACTTGTCGCGTGTTTTGAAACATTAATTATCAAAAGTATTAAAGAAAATTTGCAAAGCTACATCTTCTATGTTTATGTTATTGTTGATGCAATTGTAAAAAATAAGGAAAATGTATTCCTTTTCTATGTGCGTTTCCAAACTTAATAGCAGATTTTTAGTAAGACCCAGAATAATAAAAAATTCAAATATTGTTCAGCTGCTTAACAGAAAAACAAATTATGGTAAATTTGTTTGCTAGAATGCTATCCAGTATTTAGAATAAATAAATGTCTGCTATACCCAACTATAAGGTAAAATATCGAATTACATATGTTAAGTAAAATAAGCCAAACAAATAAGAATATATACTGCATTGATTTGTATAAATTTTAATAAACTAAATGACTCAGCCGCAATGTATAGCTCAGGAGTTGCCAGAGAAATGGTAGAAGAATGAAAGGGAAAAGGAGGAAGAATGTAGAAGAACAAAAGGAAATGTTGAGAATTCTCTTGTCCACCTTGATAACAATGATGGTTACATTATATTTATCAATTGTACAATTTAAATATGTGAAAGTTTATTATCTGTAAACTAAAACTCTCAAAATTTATTACAAGCAAACAAATGGAAACTTAGACAAAGAAGGAGTGATAGAAAGATAGAAAAAATGTATATTAAATTTCAGAAATACCTAAGAACTTATCTGCCTGAACCCTAGTTCTCACCATATTTTTAGGTGAATGCTAGAATGCAGCAAAATCACACGTGTTCTCACTACAGAAAGTGGGTTCCACAACCACACTAGGCACGCCCAGCTCTGTCCTGGAGTTGGCTCAGGGAGTAATTGGGGCCAGTGATGAGGAGCACAGGCTCAGGTACTGGGGCTTACTCATCCAGACGTGAGCTCTTAGACACATACTTAGCCCTTTCTCCATGCGTGGTTGACTTCCACATCTGTACATGGAGAAACAATTGACTCCGACAAAACATAATTTGCACAAATATGTAAAAATAAAATAGGATGATGAATTCAAAAAGTTTATCACAGCATAATTTTATAATAAGACAGCATATTTTCTGAGTACCATCGTTGTCACCAAATTCTTGCAGGGCACAGTCATTTTATCTGGGTACTGCCTTCTCGTCAGGCTTCCCACCCCAGAGCTTGCTATATAGTAGGAGACATGCAAATAGGGCCATCTCTCTGCTGAAGAAAACCAGCCCAGCCCTGACTCTGCAGCTCTGGGAGAGGGGCCCCAGCCCTGGGATGCCCAGGTGTTTCCACTTGGTGATCAGCACTGAACACCGACTACCAACCATATGAAGTCTGGGCTGAGCCGGTTTTTCCTTGTTGCTATTTTAAAAGATAATTAATGGTGAACTAGAGATACTTAGTGTGAGGGGACATGAGTGAGAGAAACAGTGGATAGTGTGGCAGTTTCTGATCACGATGTCTCTGGAGGTGTCCAGTGTGAGGTGCAGCTGGTGGAGTCTGGGGGAGGCTTGGTACAGCCTGGGGGGTCCCTGAGACTCTCCTGTGCAGCCTCTGGATTCACCTTCTGTTAACTACTGCATGCAGTGGATCTGCCGGGCTCCAGGAAAGGGGCTGGAGTGGGTAGGTTTCACTAAAAACAAAACTAATCGTGGAACAACAGAATACGCCGCGTCTGTGAAAGGCAGATTCACCATCTCAAGCGATGATTCCAAAAGCATCGCCTATCTGCAAATGAACAGCCTGAAAACCGAGGACACGGCCGTGTATTACTATACCAGAGACACAGTGAGGGGAGGTCAGTGTGAGCCCAGACACAAACCTCCCTGCAGGGGCGCGCGGGGCCACCGGGGGCGGTCAAAACCCACTGAGGACAGGACAGGTCCCAGGAGCAGATGCTGGGGTAGTTTTCCTTTCTCATCAGCTGGAGAAGTCAGGTTTGTATTTGCAGGACTCTGCAGCATTCTAGGCTGTGACATTTTATCACTTGTATTTATTATGACTTTATTATCGTTAGTATTTAAATTTTAGTAATTATTAAAATTATATATAAGTACATTTTAAATATGTACTTTGAAGATATAAATATTCCTAATTATTTGCACTGATTCTTCCAGAGTTTTATTAACATTTGTTGACATCAGCAACTACATAGCTATAGGGACATAAATTTATAAACATAGAAATATGTATCGGCAAGACATGGTGGTCTGTGCCTGTAACCCCAGCTTGGGAAGCTGAGGCAGAAGTACTGCTTGAACCCAGAAGGCGGAGGTTGCAATGAGCCGTGATCGCGCCACTGCACTCCAGCCGGGCAACTGAGACTCCATCTCAAAAAACTAAATAAATAAAAAGAAAGAAAGAAAAAAAGATGTACAAATACACAGACCTATGCATATATGTGTAGGCATTCATATTAAACATTAAGATAAAATAATTCTAAAAACATGTCCTGAAGAATCAAAATTAATGATGAACTAAATATAAATTATTAGAGTAATTCATAATTGATTTTGGTTATTTTTAATTGTTTACATGTTGTGATTTTACACAAAATATTAGTCATTTATCCTGATAAAACAGGTCAAAATGTTATATCAAGAGTTTATTTACTTTGTATTACTAATAATATAAAATGTTCCACATATTTTTAGCCATGTTTTACTTATCTGTGAAATGTGTTTATTAATTTTTCATTTTAATATGTCACCTTTATCTTTCTAATTTCCTGGATTTAATTCCACTACAGCTGAATGCATTTTAATAATTATTGTAATCACATTTACATTTTTTATTTGAATTTTCATATATATTTTATTAGGATTTTAATATCAATATAAATATTTTCCTACCATTGTCTATTTTCTATTTTTATGATATAAAATTAACATAAAAATGCTTAGATTTTCAATGTACAGCTTGAGGGCTTCTGACAAATGTGCGCACAAATAAGAATTATTTGCTTACTTTTTAGTGTATACTGAGGAGTGGGATTGCTGGGTAAAATGATATCTCTGTTTTAAGTTCTTTAAGAAATCTCCAGTCTGCTTTCCAAAGGGGCAAGATTAACTTATATTCTTCTCATCAGGGTATAAGTGTTCTCTTTTCTCCAGAGTCCCACCAGCATTCATTGTTTTTTGACTTTTTCGTGATAGCCATTCTGAGTGGTGTGTTGCTGCACACCTACAATCATCTCATATTTGATAAGGCTGATGAAAACAAGCAATAAGGAAGGGACTCCCTGTTCAATAAATGGTGCTGGGACAACTGGCTAGCCATGTGATGAAGATTGAAGCTGGACGTCTACTTTCAACATACATAAAATTAACTCAAAATTGATGAAAGACTTAAATGTAAGACCTCAAACCATAAAAATCCTTGAAGACAACCTAGGAAATACTCTTCTCGACCCCAACTTTGACGAATAATTTTTGGCTGAGTATCCAAAAGCAAATTCAACCAAAACACAAATAGATGAGTGGGACCTAATTAACTAAGGAGTTTCTGCACAGCAAACCCGCCAGGAGATAGATGCTCAGGACACCAGAGAGAACTCAGTTAAACCAGGGGGCGCTCAGAACAGCAGAGTGTGCTCAGGACACCAGGGGGCGCTCAGAACCACCAGCAGGAGCTCAGAACAGCAGAGTGTGCTCAGGACACCAGGGGGCGCTCAGAACCACCAGCAGGAGCTCAGAACAGCAGAGTGTGCTCAGGACACCAGGGGGCGCTCAGAACCACCAGCGGGCGCTCAGAACAGCAGAGTGTGCTCAGGACACCAGGGGGCGCTCAGAACCACCAGTGGGCGCTCAGAACAGCAGAGTGTGCTCAGGACACCAGGGGGCGCTCAGAACCACCAGCGGGCGCTCAGAACAGCAGAGTGTGCTCAGGACACCAGGGGGCGCTCAGAACCACCAGCGGGCGCTCAGAACCACCAGGGGGCGCTCAGGACGGCAGGGGTCGCTCAGACACCACGGTTCCCTTAGGAGGCAGCTCCACATTAGGTCCCTGGGCAGGGTGGGGTTTCCTTTTTGAACTTGCTATTTTTTGACCTTGTAAAGCAAAGGTCTTCCCCAGGATCTCTTAGTATTTCTTCCTTGTAACTCATGTCTTGTCTTGTTTTGTTTTTGTTTTTGTTTTTTGTTTTTGGTCATCTACAAAAACTTAAACTTAGAACAGTTGATTCAGAAAGGCAGGAAAGCAGGCATTCCTCTAAGTCTCCCCTGAGACAAATACATATATGATTTCTTCCTCCCCACTATAATTTATGTAAAAATGAAGATTCACTGAGTCAGACTAAATTGTGTATTCAGTGGAAGGATAATAAATGACACAAAAGAATGCAACCTATTGTCTCTTATCTTCTTCTAACCTGCAAGCCCCCATTTTCATTTGTCCTGGCTTACAGGAAAAAAAAATGTACATTTCACATGTATTGACTGATGTCTCATGTCTCTGTAAAATGTATAAAAGCAAGCTGTACTTCAATCACCTTGTGCACATGTCTCAGGACTTCCTGAGGCTGGTTATGGTTGGGTTCTTAACTTTGGCAAAACAAATGTATTAGTCTGTTCTCCTGCTGCTGATAAAAACATAATCAAGACTGGGTAACGTATAAAGGAAAGAGTTTTAATTGACTCACATTTCCACGTGGCTGGGGACACTTCGCAATCATGTCAGAAAAGGAAGGGACATCTTACATGGTGGAAGACTAGAGAGAGCTTGTGCAGATGAATTCCCCTTTAGAAAACCATCAGATCTAATGAAACTTATTCACTATCATGAGTTCATCATGGGAAAGACCTGCCCCTATGATTCAATTACTTCTCACTGGGTTCTTCCAATGACACATGGGAAATGTGGGACTACAATTCAAAATGAGTTTTGGATGGGGACACAGACAAACCATATTAATAAACTTCCTAAATTGACTGAGACCTGTCTCAGATATTTGTTGTTTATCCTACTCATGTACAGCCTTCAGAGTTCCAAAGCCTATATCAGTTTTCCAGGATTGTTTCCCCTTTTTGTTGGTTATTTCCTCCTTTATTTTCTATGTTTAGTTCCCTTTTTCTCCCACTATTTTTTCATCATTGGGATGTGAGACTTCACAACATTTGAAAGGTAGGTAACAATGAGCTATCTTAACAACATGGGACCTGTTTATCTAAGAGTAATCCATTCTATCAATGAAAGATAAAACAAAACAGGAGACCAGAAACTCATTTGGTTGTAAAATGCTTCCTCTGAATGATTTTGAAAAGGAACAGGTGGGGAAAATATAAAAGGAAAATAAAAACTTGTGCTGTCAATTCATTATGTCATGAGGGGGGAAAATCCTAAAGGATGATCCATGCAAGAAACTGATTTTCCTTTCATTCCTAAGAGAATAGCTACAAATAAAAAGTTAAATATCTTCACAGATAGCTACTCTTTGTTCATTTTACTTTATATAAAGTGCTAACTTAGTTCAGGAGAACTACATAATTTTTCTGTTTCCCTATGTGCTTCTCTCTCATTACAACATGTAAATTTTCATACTGTCCCTCTTTCCCCTCTATCCAGCTTTCCCCCCTTTTTTGTATTGAAAGCCCTGAAAATCATCTTTGGGGAACGGCACTGACCACAAATTTTTCTGTGATTACTTGTATTTTCATTCCAGGCATGCCCTAACTTTGGCAAAATTAATTTTAATTTGATTGAGATCTGTCTCGGAAACCTTTGGTTTACACTAGGAAAGATCCCAAATTACGAGTCAATTACTATAAAGCTCAGCCTTCCCACTGTGTATGTGTGTGTGCATGTGTGTGTGTGTGTGTGTACACGTGTGTTTTAATTTTTGTGGGCTTTGAGCCATGTAGTTCTCTCTGTGGACATACTATTTGGCGTGATCTTTGAATAGAGAATTCTGAAAGAAATAAGAGGCTCCTATGAGTTCTCTGAAAGTTTCTGGACTCACCATGGATCTTGACTGTGTCATTGCATCTGACAGTCCCAGGGAACAGACTCTCTGGTGGTTTCAAAGAATCTGTGCTTGGGCTCCCCCTGCAGTTTACTGGGTACAGTAATGTTAAATCACTGTTTCGAGAGACAATTTCGAAAGCATTAGATGCTGCTGAGAGAGGATTGTGAACCAGGGGACAGCCCCTTCATTCTGGGGGAGCGACATTGGGAGAATATGCTCTGTGAGCCCAAACAGCATCCTCCCCTGCCGGGTGAGGGCAGAGCTGCAGGACAGGCCCAGAAACCACTCAACACAGATGTCAGCCCTGGAGCAGCTGCAGAGGAGTCTGAGGAGAAAATTTTACCAGCATCTGAATTACACTTATTTCAAAACAAAAATGCAATTAAAAAGTTAAAATAAGTAATTAATGTCCAGGCACAGTGGCTTACACCTATAATCCCAGAAATTTGGGAGGCTGAGGTGGGAAGATTTCCAGGAGTTTGAGATCAGTCTGTGAAACATAGTGAGGCTTCATCTTTACTTTTGAAAATAAAATAAAATAAAACATAAATAATTTAGCAAAAACTACCGATGTGTCTTCCATATCCCATCGTACTTAGAGCATTGATGTAACCCAATGAGTCAATGAGAACCAAATTTGAAAGGAGAAAATTTTAGAGTTTTCAGATATCTTAAGAGTTGGAAGATGTAGAACAAAACTAATTTTATCAATTCAATGTGTGCAAACATGGAGAGACACACTCATGCCAGTAGTTCAACTTGCAAAGGGCAAAAACCAAAAAAGTTTGAAGTTGCTAGTGATCCATTTGTAGGTGAGATCATTTTGAGGATCATGTCCTGTGAGAGGCTGTTTCTCTATTAGAGGAGTTCTGTGCTCATGAAGTGCTGGACATGCTAGGGGACAAATATCAGTAAACAAACATCAGAACTTGAATGTCAGCTTCCCCCTGCTGCATTCTCCGTGTGTCATCTCTCTGTTATTTCTCATGCTAGATCAGGTCTTTAGCTATGAAATATTCCACCTAATTTACATGTCAATAGCTTGAAGTCTACTGAGTTTAATTCATATTTTTTCTATATGTTACAGTTACAGTTTGTCCACAAGGACAAGGTTTGTCCACAAGTTTGTCCACAAGGTTACAGTTTGTCCACAAGGACTCAATCATAGAAGTGCAGAGTCCTTTTCGGGCCACATTTAATTCACTTTATCAGTGCCCTTCAGTATGTGGTTCCTGAGAATTTCACATGACAACACATTTACCACACTGGAATTTAAGCAATCCAACACATGTTTGTAGCTTTATCTTGTAATAGGCTGTATTTCATATGGCAGCCTCTGCTTCAGTTTAGCTAACACTATGGCTTTGTTTCTCTCTACAAGAACTTGTTTCTCCCAAGATTTCCATGTTTGTGAAAGGAAAAGAAATCTCTGGGACCCCCAAATCACTAAGCCAAAGGGAAAAGTCAAGCTGAAAACTGCTTGGGGCAAACCCACCTCCATTCTTTCCCTAAAATGATAGCTACTAACTGTCAGGCCTCTGAGCCCAAGATAAGCCATCATATCCCCTGTGACCTGCACATACACATCCAGATGGCCGGTTCCTGCCTTAATGGATGACATTCCACCACAAAAGAAGTGAAAATGGCCTATTCCTGCCTTAACTGATGATACTATCTTGTGAAATTCCTTCTCCTGGCTCATCCTGGCTCAAAAGCTCCCCTACTGAGCACCTTGTGACCCCCTCTCCTGCCCGCCAGAGAACAACCCCCCTTTTTCCTTTACCTACCCAAATCCTATAAAACGGCCCCACCCCTATCTCCCTTCGCTGACTCTCTTTTCAGACTCAGCCCGCCTGCCCCCAGGTGAAATAAACAGCTTTATTGCTCACACAAAGCCTGTTTGGTGGTCTCTTCACATGGACACGAGTGAAACTAAGGTTTTAAAAAACTACATACCTCCTTCAAAATTTGACCACAAGGAAAAACCTTGTGGACCAACAACAGACAGAGTCATTTCTCTGCTCACATAAGTCAAATGCCTATCTGATTGCCACCATTTCTCTATTGTTTTGCTAAGCCAGACTAAGGCCTACGTGACTATTCCTGTAAATTGTGCATTCAGTTAAAGGCTAATCAGAAACTCAAGAGAATGCAAGCATTTGTCTCAAACCTACCTGTGATCTGGACGCTCTCTCCCCACTTCAGAAAGTCCTGCCTTTCTGAACCAAACCAATGTACATCTTACATATATTGATTACTGTCCCATGTCTCCCTAAATTGCATAAAATCAAGCTGTGTCCCACCACCTTGGGCATATATCGTCAGGACTCCCTGAGGCGGTGTCACTGCCATGTCCTTAATCTTGGAATACGAACTTCCTAAATCTATTGAGATTAGTCTCAGGTACTCTTTGGATTACAGGTTTGTTTTTTATTTCATAACTTCAATTATCTGAAATACTAAACAAAATTTGCCAAATTGTACATTCTCTTGTTACTGTTGTTGCAAAAAATATATTTATGTAACTTATATATAATTTATCATCTATGTGTGTTACCAAGCTGAGTAGCAGATTTATTAGTAAGACTTAGAGAGAGTAATGAAAAATTCAAATGCCAGTTAGTAACTTAATAGAAAAACAAATTATGCTACATTTGTTTGCTGAAATGCTACCCATTATTTGTAAGAAATAAACACATGCAACATAAAAGATTTAATTCTCAGTATTTCTATTGAGAAAAATAATCCAAATACATAAGAGCATATACTATATTTTTTCATTCTTATAAATTCTAGAATATAAAAGCTAGTCAAAAGACATGTGAAAACATCAGTAGATTTATAAAGAAATGGTAGAAGAAGGGAAGGAGAAAAACCAAAAAAATATAAAAGAGCAAGAGGAATGCTGAGGGGAGTTGACTTGTCACCTTCTTAAAAATAGAGATTTTATTTTTCAAAGTTTACTATTGTACAGAATAAATATGTGAATTTTCTTATCTGTCAATTAAACCTCATAAAATTTATTACAAAAAAACTGAAATTTTAGACAAAAAGAGGGTGATAGGAAGGAACAAATAAATATGTTAAATGTCAAATATACCTAAAAATTTATTTGTCTGACCCCTAGTTTTCTCCGTATTTTTAGGTAAATGCAGCAAAATCACACAGGTTGTCGTGGCAGGAAGTGGATTCTGCAAACCACACTAGGCCCGTTTATCTCTGTCCTAGAGTTGGTTAAAAGAGCAACTGAGGCCAGCTGTGAGGAGCATAGGCCCGGGTACTAGGACTCACTCATGCCAGATATAAGCCCTTAGACACATACATAGCCCCTCCATGTGTGGGTTCACTTTTACATCTGTACATGAAGAAACCACTGATTCCTAAATAACATAATTTATACACATAGGTAAAAATAATTAAAAATGTGATAGTTATTAAGTGTTTATCACACAACAATTTCACAATAAAACAGCATTTTCCCAAATGTAATCATTGTCATCGAAATCCCCAAGGACACTCTCATCTGCCCTGGGCCCTGCCCTCTCCTCAGGCATCTCACCCCAGAGCTTGCTATATAGTAGGAGACATGCAAATAGGTCCCTCCCTCTCCTGATGAAAACCAGCCCAGCCCTGACTCCGCAGCTCTGGGAGAGGAGCCCCCGCCCTGGGATTCCCAGGTGTTTTCATTTGGTGATCAGCACTGAACACAGAAGAGTCATGATGGAGTTTGGGCTGAGCTGGGTTTTCCTTGTTGCTATTTTTAAAGGTGATTCATGAGGAAATAGAGATATTGAGTGTGAGTGGACATGAGTGAGAGAAACAGTGGATTTGTGTGGCAGTTTCTGACCTTGGTGTCTCTGTGTTTGCAGGTGTCCAGTGTGAGGTGCAGCTGGTGGAGTCTGGGGAAGGCTTGGTCCAGCCTGGGGGGTCCCTGAGACTCTCCTGTGCAGCCTCTGGATTCACCTTCAGTAGCTATGCTATGCACTGGGTCCGCCAGGCTCCAGGGAAGGGACTGGAATATGTTTCAGCTATTAGTAGTAATGGGGGTAGCACATATTATGCAGACTCTGTGAAGGGCAGATTCACCATCTCCAGAGACAATTCCAAGAACACGCTGTATCTTCAAATGGGCAGCCTGAGAGCTGAGGACATGGCTGTGTATTACTGTGCGAGAGACACAGTGAGGAGAAGTTAATGTGGGACCATGCAGAAACCTCCCTGCGGGAACGCTGGGGAAAGTCATCTGCAGGGGGCGCTCAGGAGCCACTGATCAGAGTCAGCCCCAGCGGCAGGTGCAGATGAAGGCTGATTTCCTGTCACGATGTGGGACTTCATCTTCTTAAAGTTTCTCTACTGAACCTAAGTTCGGAATTCTGTGATTACTAGGGTCATTTCTACATATTTTTAAAATGATTGTTTTAATATGAAAACCTATTCTCCTATGCAGAAAATGCAGATTGATCCTCACAGAGGAGATGAAAAGTTCTCAACCATGGTCACCACTGTCAGAGTCCTGAGGAAGCTCAGGGCTTCCTGGTGAGTCTTCTCCAGTCAGACTGAGGACAGGAACTCCAGAAAGAATCCTGACTAGAACTGAGGTATTGCTCCTCACAAGAGAACTCAAGCTGCGGGGGGTCTGTTCCTGCAGACCCCTGACCCGGTGGCGGATGAATAAAACGTACACTGACACACAGATATTCTGTTTTGCCAGTTCAGCTGAGGGTCCGAGGCAACTTACAGACTCCAAGAAGAATCCTGTAAAGAACGGCAGCAGTGGCCCTGAGCAGCTCGCACTCCAGGCGTGTATTGAGTATAGAATTAACAACAGAAGCTCTGACAACACACTTGTGGATAATTAACATGGTTAAGAGAGTAGTTCTACGAATGATTAAAGCTCAGGGACTGCGGTCTAAAGTAAATACCATTAGGGGGCAATACCCTGGTTAGTTAATGGAGGTAGGGTAACCAGACTTAACTGGGGAGGCCTCTATTGTCCCTAGTATTTACCCTATGCCTAACGCTCTAAGGTAAGAACTGGCCGCCTTCAGCCTGTTCAATTATTACAAGCTATGTAACCTTTCGGCCTTCTAAAAAGGTATATGACTATTCCCTATAACTTTCCTTAATATTCCCCTTTAATATTTCCGCCACCATCCTGAGTGAATCCCAGCAAGAACAGTCTTTGGGGATTCTGATTACAGAAAAAAGAGAGGCTGGGCCAGGGTCAGTGTCATGTAGAACCTCACAGGTTTCTCGTAGGACCCTTCTCCTGACACTGAAGAATGCAAATCAGAATCAATACTGATCTGGAGCTTCTTTTCCTAATTCATTTACTGTCTTTTTTAGATGTTGTTCTCATTTTTCCATTTGCTTTTCCTGCTTTCCGAAAAAGGAAGATGTTTTTGCTGTGGTCAAAATTCCAGACCTCAAGCCCTTTTCTTGGCGCTCAGGTGGGTCTCAGGCTGTGGCTGCTGCAGTCACGCAGGAGAGTCTGGTGGGACTTTCTTCACTCTTCGTCACTCAGGACCCTCCACTGTGTTGCATGGAGACTCATCTGGAAATGCAAGTTGCCAGTGGGAACTGAAGGGACAAGCTTGTCTGGTTAATGTGGGATGTGGATGTGTTTCTAATCCTGTTCTGAAAAACCGTCACACAGTAACGTTCTTCACTAGTGGAGAAGGAAGTGGGTGTGAACGTTGTCAGAATAAAAATGGAGCCACGTGTGTTATAATCTTTACAGGCGAAGCTGGAAGAGGTCATGAATAGAGGGTTCTCATGCACACATCCCTGATAACAAGAATTACCCTAAAAATACTCTGCACAACCACAATCTTGAACAAAGGCTACCACAACAATAAGAGAATTAATACTGAGGGGATATCTGCCCTGCAACTCCCTGTTCAGCCTTAAACTGATTCTACCCTTGTTATTGATTCTTCTACCCCAGGATAATTGTCTCAAAATAGCTCAGGTAATCTTCTCATTTATCCTTCAGACACTTGTCTTTCTTTACCAACCTAAATGTGACCATGGATAATCCCATTGCAATGCTCATTTTCAAATAAATACGATTTGATTTTGGAGAATCTCTTTCTCTCTGATGTTTAGGTTTGACAAGCTGCAGAGGGACACACCACTTTCCTGTGAGATGTAGGGGATGACAGTTTTGGGGGATGGCTGGAAACGTGCAGTATCCTTAGGGTCAGCCATCAGTAAATGCAGGCTGGAAATCTTAGAAAGATCTCAAGCTGCTTAATCACCACGGAGTTTTACCTTCTCCAGATCTGTTCTGATGGAATCAGGGCCAAGTTTGTTATTGATGATAATCTACCTAATATTGAGTCAACTGATCACAGTTTTAATAACATCTATTTAAAAATTCACACCTGGATTAGTGTTTGATCAAATAACTACAAAGTATTGCCCAACCAAGCATACCATCAGGCAGACTGTTACCCACAGAGAAAAACATTGAACATGAGTTTGAGGTTCTCACATTGTTAAAGGTGTAAAACCGATTATGTTTAAATTATGCTATTTTTATTATTGTTATTGAGTTGTAGATGTTTCATTTACATTTTGGATATTAACGCTTTTTCAGATTCATGGCATATTATCCAATTCTGTGAGTTGGAATTATTTTGTTACTTTGCGGAATCTTTTTTTAAATCTAGTCCCACTTGTCCAATTCTGTGTTTTTTTATTTGTTTGAATGTAAAATCCAGAAAAAGATTGCTAATTTTTTGAGGGTTGGGAGTTTTACAATTGCACGTGTTTCATTTAAGTATTTAATGCATTTAGAATTAATTTTTTTGTTTATTCTAACCTAAAATTCTTAATTCTTTGCATGTAAATATCCAATTTTCATAACACGCTCTTTGGAAGACACTATAATTTAGCAATTATATATTGATGGTTCTCACGCTGAAAGTCAGCTGGCCATCAATATGTGGGTTTATATCTAAGCTCTCTGTATGAATTTATGCGAATGCCATTCTGATTTATTACTGTATGTTTCTAATAAATGTTGAGGCCTGGAAGTGTAATACCTCAAGCTTTATTCTTGCCTTGTTACAGATATTAGACCAAAATATTCTAAAATTTTACTATTGAGTATAATAATAGCTGTGGCTTTTCTTAATTGGTTTCATTATGTACAAGTTGTTTTCTTGTCTTCCTACTTTGTTCAGAGTTTTTATAATGAAATCCTGAATTTTTTTCAAGTGTTTTCTGTGTCTGATGAAATGTTACTGAGATATTTTTTCTTTAGTTTTTTAATTAATCAACTGAATTGATTGATTTGAGAATGTCAAATCATCTGTGCATCTCAGAATAAATTTGAGTTGATCATGGTGTATGGTCTTCTATAAAATCTTTAGAATTTATTTTACTATTGTTGGGGGGTTAATTTATGTCTACTAATGATATTGGTCTATGATTTTCTTTTATTGTGGTGCCTTTGTCTATTACTGGTAGTACTCTAACGGTAGCCTCATAGAAAGAGTTTGGAAGGTGTGTTGCAGACTACCTTTAAAATAGATTTTATCAGTGGAGAAACGGTGATAGTTTTTTTCTTCAGTTTTCTGTTGGGAAGAGTTTTGTTTGTTTGTTTGTTTTTTGTTTTTTTGTTTTGTTTTGTTTGTTTTTTGAGACAGAATCTCGCTCTGTTGCCCAGGCTGGAGTGCAGTGGCAGAATCTCGGCTCACTGCAAGCTCCGCCTCCTGGGTTCATGCCATTCTCCTGCCTCAGCCCCCAAGTAGCTGGGACTACAGGCGCCTGCCACCACGCCTGGCTAACTTTTTGTATTTTTAGTAGAGATGGGGTTTCACCGTGTTAGCCAGAATGGTCTCGATCTCCTGACCTCGTGATCCGCCCGCCTCGGCCTCCCAAGGGAAGAGTTTTATGTTGTTTAAAAGATATTCTGAATAACTTAACCTGCTTAATGGGCTTACATAATATTCCTTTCTTCCATTCTTTTTAAAGAACTGCTTACCTTTCCTAATTATTTTTAGGGTGATTTTTTTCATAAAGATTGTGCAATACATTTTGAGGTGAGACTTAGTGGATTTTTTCTAATGAATTAGAAATAATAAATCACTTAATTGACTATTGTATTAAGGTTGATTTGTTGAATATTTGCTAAAGGCCAGTTCTTTAAGCTGTGCCATGTACTAAATCCCTAACCGACTATTTTATTCAGGTTGGTTTGTTGAATATTTGTTAGAGACCAGTTCTTTACACTATGGCATGTAATAAATTCCAAATGGCAGTACGTCATTGTTTACTTAGCTTTTGTGCTTATATTTTTCAGAGGAAAAAAAATACTGTAAATTGTAAATACCCAATACCTAACAGTATTGTATGCAAATCTGTGACTGTTGGCAGTGTCATCTCTGAGAAACAGATAAAGTTTATTTACTATATATAAAAAAAGAGTTTGGAAGGTGGACTCCTCACCAATTTTTGAAAGAGTTAGAGAAGCATTAGCATTAATTCTTTAAATGTTAAGACTAATTTTATGATGTAACATATAACCTATCATGGAGAATGTTCAATGGGTGCTTGAGAAGGATGTGTATTACATGGCTCTTGGTTGGAAGGTTCTGTAAATGTCTTTCAGGTAAATTTGTTCAATACTGTTGTTCAAGTTCAGAGGCTTATTAAGAATTTTCTTTCTGGATTTGCTATACATTATTCTAAGTGAGGTATTAAGGTTTTCCCTTATTTTTATATAGTTTTCTATTTCTCTCTATATATATATCTTAAAGTTTGCTTAATGCATTTATATTTGTATTTGTACTGTGTAAAAAGTAAAATAAAATAATAATTGCTTAGTGAGTTTCATGGCACAATCACGTTATGAATAATCATATTTTCCCAAATGCTGTCATTGCCACTAACTCCTCCAGATACATGGTATATTATCCAATTCTGTGAGTTGGAATTATTTCGTTGCTTTGCAGAATCTTTTTTTGTTAATCTAGTTCCACTTGTTCAATTATGCTCCTCCGGGAGTCTCACATCTGCTCTGGGCACTGCCTTCTTCTCAGGCATCCCACACTGGAGCTTGCTATAGAGGAGGAGGCATGAAAACAGGGCCCTCCCTCTACTGGTGAAAACAAGCCCAGACCTGGCCCTGCAGCTCTGGGAGAAGAGCCACAGCACTGGGATTCCCAGGGGTTTCCATGTGGTAATCAGGGCTGAACACAGAGCTCACTATGGGGTTTGAGCTAACCAGAATTTTTCTTGTTGCTATTTTAAAAGGTGACTCATAGAGAAATAGAGTGAGTGAGAGTGAGTGGATATAAGTGAGAAAAACAGTAGATGTGTTTGGCAGTTTCTGACCAGGACGTTTGTGTATTTTCAGGTGTTCAGTGTGAGGTGGAGCTGATAGAGTCCATAGAGGGCCTGAGACAACTTGGGAAGTTCCTGAGACTCTCCTGTGTAGCCTCTGGATTCACCTTCAGTAGCTACTGAATGAGCTGGGTCAATGAGACTCTAGGGAAGGGGCTGGAGGGAGTAATAGATGTAAAATATGATGGAAGTCAGATATACCATGCAGACTCTGTGAAGGGCAGATTCACCATCTCCAAAGACAATGCTAAGAACTCACCGTATCTGCAAACGAACAGTCTGAGAGCTGAGGACATGACCATGCATGGCTGTACATAAGGTTCCAAGTGAGGAAACATCGGTGTGAGTCCAGACACAAAATTTCCTGCAGAAAGAAGAAAGGATTCTGGGCCGAAGGGGACACTCAGCACTCACAAAACAGGTGGAGCCCCAGGGCAGGTACAGAAAAGCAGTCAAGGGCTGCTGTCCTTCAGGATCTGTGCTTTCCTCTGCATGTAGCAGTTCCCCTCGAATCCTCTGCACTTTTATGTTTCTGTGCCCACCATGAGGTCCCTGGATTACAAAACTTTAATTTAAAAGAGGAAACATTCTTATATGTCCCAAAAACAAAAGTAAGTATTAGAGGCACAAAAGTGCACAGGCGGCCAGGTGAGGCTGTAGACACTGCCACCCCGCAATGCCAGTCTCACAACTAGCACTGGAGAGTAGTGGGCATTCAGTGGAGCTTCCTACCTATCCTGTGGTCCGAGCTAAGTCCAGCAAGGCCATTGGTGCCTTCCAGAGCACAGTAGTCCATCAGGAATCTCCCATGTGTCCCAGCAGCAGCCTTGCCTCAGTATCTCCACTGTGCACAGCCATTGTCTGGGAGGAGCTCCCAGGATGAGTGTCTTTGGCACACACCAGGTGGCGGGTGTTAGAGTGCAGTACAGCAGCTGGCTGCCTGGTCTATTGGGCTCCCTGATGTTGGAGGGATTTGAGGTGCATTCTCAGGCCCAGCACCCTCTTTGTGAATTTTTATATAAAAACCCTGATTTTACTTCATTTTCTCAGATGACATAGATAACTAAAAACAGAATCTGCAAAGAAATTGTAATTTTCAACTTTACCCCAAATTCATTGTTTCTTAATTCTGTGCAAGATCCAAACATATTTTTGCCTTCCACATGAGAAATTGTTCTGTTTAAACTGAAATCATTTTTTCTCATATTCTTTCTTTTTGCCCAAGTACAGAGATCTTGTTGAAAATAAGTTGGGTTCTTTCCACACACTAACCCTCACCTCCCCTAGAGAAAGAGCAGAGATTGTCCTCACTCTGAGTCTAGGGGAGGAGCTGTTCCTGTACAATTCAGAGCCTGCAGAGACCCCCAGGTGCAGCTTCAGTGAGTCAGACATTTCTCCATGTGGGCGACCTCCAGTGCCTGTGACTGCTTCTCAGGCCTAATTGTGGGTTAAGAATTAGGACACTCTTTAAGTTATCACATCTGAATCCTATTCTGAAAATCACCATAAAGAGAGATAGTTCAATGGCTATTCTCCTGACATAAGTTTCTCTTTATTACTTGGTTCCAAGTATGGAGAAACATGTGACCCTATATTTGTCTGAATCCAACATCAGAATCCACTGCATTACTCTGGGATACTCACGGATCGAACACAGGTGAGCTCTTTATTCTCACAGAAATGTATGTAGTTGGGAATTTCAACATATTGTCCAGAACGTGTGCCTGCCAACAACTGTGTTTCTCGGTGCACTCTTGGCCTGGTGAAGCCCTCACAGACCCTCTCCCTCATGTGTGTCATCTCTGCATTCTCCATCACAACCAGTGCTTCCTCCTGGAGCTGCATCCATCAGCCCCTCTCTGGGAGGGAATGGAGTGGATTGGGTGCATAGGTCATGAAGGGAGCACACATTACTCCCCTTTCCTCAAGAGTCCAGTCACCATCCCCAGATCCATGTCCAAAAACAGTTCTTCCTACAGCTGAGCTACATGAGCAACAATCACATAGCCATATATTTTTAAGCAAAAGACACAGTGAGGGAATCACAGTGTGAACTCACACCAAAACCTCCCTGTGGGGATGCATAGGACAGAAGGGGTTACTCCGGAGCCCAGGGGGCTCTCAGGACACCAAGGGGCACTCAAGACCATTGTAGAGGCACGCAGGTAGCCGGGGGCTCTCAGGAACCATGGAGGAAAATCAGGACACCAAAGGGTGCTCGGTACAGCGAGGGGCTCAGGACAATTGTGGGGATTCAGAAAGAACAGGTTCAAGGCTCAGCTTCAGGGCAGGTGCAGCTGGTGTGAAAAGGGGCTGGATGAGGCGTTTTGTGTCACCATCATGTTTCACCACCAGACACCCTCCACTACATCTGTTCTAATGCATGTGTTTGTATGATTAGAAAATGATATTGATATAAATATATAACCATAGCTAGGTGTGTCTTTTTCTGCCTTCCGTCCTCCCTTCTTCTCTCTCTCTCACACAGAAATTTACATACACCCACCCCACAACACACATAAATCTATAACTTTTATTACCTGATGTATTCAATAAACCTGATTAATGTGTTTTGCAGCTTCATTGTTTATGCTGTTGTAGCAATAAAAACCATCTGTTTCCCAGCTGTGTACTTCTCTAAGCTGAGTAGCATCTTTGTTCATAATACCCAGAATGAAAAACAACCCAAATGTCAATCATCAGCTTAACTGGTAAACACATTGTGGAAAAGTCATTCATTGACATACTACCCACTACTACCATCAGCTAATGTTGGCTATGCTCAAAAGCATGGTTAAATTCACAAGTACTTCAGATGAGTAAAATGAGCCCAAGTGATAAAAGTGCATACATAGGATACAACTTTCATAAGTTCTATAGAACAAAAAGTAATCTAAAGTTGCAAAAAAAAAATCAGTAGTTCACTGTGAATATTGTAGGAGAAGGGATGGTCTAGGAAGGAGGAATTATGGAACAAGATAAAATGTTGAGGGAATTGACTTGTTATCTATGTTGATAGTGATAATGTCTATGACAATATTTGCAAAATTGAACACTTCATGTGGAGATTATTGTTTTTAGTTTAGCCCCATTAAAGATAGTATTAATTAGAACAGGTATAAATTGGTATCAAAGGAATTAAAGATAAATAAAATACATGAAAAGTCAGAGAATCCTGAATATACACATGAATGAGCACTGGACATCTCTGTATTTTTAGAGAAGCACTAGAATACAGCAAAATAATGGCATAATTTTACATCACTAAGAAAGTTTATCAAACCCACCAGGCATGTTGTATTAGTTCATTTTCACACTGGTATAAAAAACTACTTGAGACTGGGTAGTTTACAAGGAAAAGAGGTATAGTTGGCTCACAGTTCTGCATGGCTGGGGAGGCCACAGGAAACTTACAATCATGGTGGAAGGTGAAGAGGAAGCAAGGCACGTCTCACAGCCCAGCAGGAGAGAGATAGAGGAGGGGAAGTGACACATACTTTTAAACCATCAGCGGTTGTTAGAACTCACTCACTATCATGAGAACAACATGGGGAAACTGCCCCCATGATCCAATCACCTCTCACCTGGTCCCTCCCTTGACATGTGGGGATTAGAATTTGAGATGATATTTAGGTGGGGCACAAAACCAATCTATATCACATGTCCAGTTCTGTCCTGGAGTTGTTTCAGGGATCCAGTGTGTCCTGTTGATAGAAACAGTGACACCAAGTTCATATTATCAGTTGTAGTTGACACCATGCAAAGCCAAGAGATCTCAAGTGAGATTTAGTGTGTATGTTGTGTCTAATGAAGTCACACACTCAGAGCAAGTGAATAGGGAAAAGTTCATTATCTACACTGTAGAGGTGTCTGCTGAGTGCAGGGCAGGTCTCCCAGGAAAATCTAAAATGGCTTGAAAGAAAACCAAAGGAGACTGGCTCAGGGTTTTTATAATGGTTTAGTGGTGGGGGCAAAGTGAAGCTTCCCACTCACAGATGGGGGTTTATAGGGTTTGAAACTCCCACTGGCATCAAATGAAGAAGCTCCTGTGAGTCTGAACTAGATTCATCTTGTGTGGCAAAAAAGGAGACGATGGAGGAGTGAGCCTTAAGTAATCAGCAGTCATGCACCAAAAGATAGAGTGACAACTTATTCCATGCAGCAGGAATAAAAATAATGAATAAGAAAGAAGACAAGGGTTCAGTATGGGTGGACAACACCCAGATCTGCAGAAATGAGATGACTTTAGAAATGTAAGCAAAGAATAATGAGAAAAATAAGAAGTGGATGGAAAATTAAACAGGGGCCTGGTCTAATGTCTTGGGTAGAAGCTTTTCACAATCAAGGACTATCAGCTTATTCTGCAGGTCTTAGGTCAGCCATCTGCTTAAAAACATCAGAAACGCCAGAGGGTCTATGAGGATGCTCAGTTTAACATCTCCTATTTGAGTAGCTTTACAGTTGTGTGGAATTCTTAATTGATTATTTTTTGTTTGTTTTTAGGGACAGGCTCTCACACTGTTCCACAGCTTAAAGTACAGTTGTGTGATCATAGCTCACCTTAAATTTGAGCTCCTGACTCACACAACCTTTCCATCTTAGCTTTCTGAGTATCTACAACTAGATGGGCACACCACCCCTACCCTCCTTATTTTTTAAACATTTTTTCATAGAAATAGCATCTCTTTATGTTGCTCAGGTTGGCTTCGATTGCCTGGTCTCATAGGATTTCCCTCACTTTGCTTCTGGAAGTGGTGTGATTATAGGGAAGATCCACTGCATCTGACCTGAATTTATTCTTTAGTTGTAAAATATGAAGCCAATAATTAACTGCCTGAATGTTTTCTGCAGTGAGTTAGTTAAAAGCATCTGATAAGGTTCCTTCCTATGTGATTCACGAGCAGTATTTTCCGCTGATGTTCCTTCCAGTTTCCTTGCTGAAGATCACAGGGAATTGTGGAAAATATGTAGTAAAAAGGCAGCCTTAAACTCTTCATTGTTAGAGTGGATATCACACAGGAATCACTTTCAGTATTTTGTAACACATGCATGCAATAGAGCAAACATGATCTCTGGGGGTAAAGTCTATAAACGTATGGGCCTTTTAGCTACCAAGTCATAGGGTAATAACTGATGTACCCTGAGGACTGGACCATGATTCCATAGTGCTAGTGGAAGAACCCTTGACCAAGGGAGTTTTACATTTTATTAAAATATGTAGAGATGCCACTTTTTAAACATTCCCAGAAGGTTGTGAGTGGGATTGACTCTGTCTCGTATGAACAAAGACAATGCCCTCCATGATTAGATAATATTATAAACTAGATTGAGCTACAGTGTTTGCTGTATTGAATCACTGTATATTTTATTTTTTAGCTCCATGTTAGTTTTTTGTCTGCGTGTTAGCGTTGGCTTTAAAATGATATTAATCAGCTCTGTAGTAAGTAGAAATTCATCTGAGAGTTTCTTTCCTTGTTTTCCAGTTTGATAGGATTTCCAGAATACATAAGAACCCTCTCTGTTTGTAAAAATATTCCAGGCCAGGCCAGTGGCTCATGCCTGTAAACCCAGCACTTTGGGAGGCCGAGGTGGGGGGGATCATTTCAGGTCAGGAGTTTGAGACCAGCCTGGCCAACATGGTGAAACCTCCTTTCTACTAAAAATACAAAAATTAGCCGGGCATGGTGGTGCTTGAGGATTGCTTGAACCCTGGAGGCTGATGTTGCAGTGAGCCGAAATTGTGCCACTGCACTCCAGCCTGAGAGACACAGCGAGAG
Organism: Homo sapiens; assembly: GCF_000001405.40. NCBI lineage: Eukaryota > Metazoa > Chordata > Mammalia > Primates > Hominidae > Homo > Homo sapiens. The sequence goes on along the minus strand of NT_187600.1, from coordinate 1,138,446 downwards.
TCCATCTCAAAATAAAAGAAAACAAAACATTCCAAAGTTATGCACAATCTAGAAACATATGTACTTAATTCTCATTTTTAATTTATTAAAAAGCTCTAATAAGTTCAATGTTTTCTGCCTTCTCAGTTGATTTCACAACACATATAATAATATATCCTAAATAAAAGTTTGTTCTCTTAATACAAATTACTAGTTAATAACCCTTACTTTATTATTGAGGTATTATCCATCAGTGTTCATCAATGCTCTCAATGGGACTCTTACATAGAGAATATACAAAATATTTTCCTGATCATGACATAAAACAGATGTGAACACATTCTTAGTATTCAGCCATGTCTCCTATCATGTTATAAACCACATGCTAACTTTGACTTTATTGGAACTTGTTCTAATTTCAAACTAGTTATTTTTTATCTTCATGCAGCTGGATTATTATGTGTGGTTATTTATTCCGAGAGTGATAAAGACAACATTAACAATTTTCACTGCAGGCATGTCTAGGCAACCCCCTGTGCACAATGACCTTGGTGCATTGGAGATTCTATGGGGACTCTTCCCTACCTGCCTAGGAGAGTTCTCTGCCTTCTACCTCTATCATTTTCCTCTTTGAAGAAATACATCTAACTGTCGTTAGAATAGAGACAAAGACAAATCTTAACTGCTTCCAGCTGACGGGGGATGCTGTTTGGGGAAGATCTCTCTTGGAGGCCTGTCTAAGGGACCCCAGGAAAAGGGAGCCATTATCCCAGGCTTCAGTTGCATGAGCATTTGGAGTTTGATGGTCTGAAAACGAGAAAAGGCAAATCAGATTATTAGAAGACATGTATCCAAACCTAACAAGGTGGTCAAGGTGGTAAGGACAGTTTGAAAGAAAATTCCAAGGCTGCTGACATGCCCAGATAACTGCGGCTGTAGTTATGCCTGCTAAGGTTTGGGCGCATGAGGCTTGGCTTTTGTCAGCTCCCTGGGATTTATTTTCCCAAACAAAGAAACCTCCAGGTTAGGGGCACCCTATTCATTCCCATCACCTGGCATGATTTAAAGGATAATTGCTTAGAATTAAAATATTGATACAGATTTTTTTATATTCCCCATCGCTTTTTGTTTCTTCTGGGCTGTAGCCAGAGATCATTGATTGGCGCTCAGGAATAAGCAGTCAGTCTAAAATGCAGGCAAATACTTAAACAACTGAAGAGATTAGAATTTAAAGATGATCGTATGATATGTTTTGAAATACAATTTTTCTCTTTCCAGTTCTGGTTTTTGTCAGAATCAAGTAATTGTAAGACTGAGTTGTTTGCAAAATAAACTTTAGTCTTAAACTTGGCCTGATTATTTGCATAAAGTGCAGCAAGAATATTAATAATAATTCTGTAGGAAAAGCCTGCAAGCACCAGGAGTTTCACAGTCTAACACTATGAGCACGTGCATCCTCACGCAACTCGCTGAATATTTCCAAGCCAGCCTGTTCCTATCTTAAATGCCATCCAGTTGTATCTGCCCCAGGTACACTAATATATGGGTCCTGCTTCTCTGCAGCCTCCTCTCTCCTCAGATTTCAGGTTTTGTTTATTGTTTGTTTTCTCTCTGATATAAACTCAAATATGTTGAAGGTTTTTTTGTGTGTGGTTGTTCAGGTTTGTTGTTAATGAGGTCAGAATAAGATAATACTTTACTCTTTTTATTTATTTATTTATTTATTTTTTGAGACGGAGTCTCGCTCTGTCACCCAGGCTGGAGTGCAGTGGCCCTATCTCAGCTCACTGCAAGCTCCGCCTCCCGGGTTCACGCCATTCTCCTGCCTCAGCCTCCAGAGTAGCTGGGACTACAGGCGCCCGCCACCATGGCCGGCTAATTTTTTGTAGTTTTAGTAGAGACGGGGTTTCACCGTGTTAGCCAGGATGGTCTCGATCTCCTGACCTTGTGATCCGCCCGCCTCGGCCTCCCAAAGTGCTGGGATTACAGGCGTGAGCCCCCGCGCCCGGCCCATACTTTGCTCCGTTTTATATTCCCATGCTTTAGTAGCTGCTTTTCTCTATCAAATCCATTAACTGAGAGAACAAATCACATTTAGTTACAGGTGAACAATTAAATAGTTTGGCATATATTTATGTACTGGAACATAACGCAGCTTGAAATCAAGGCATGCCTCACTCATATAAACAACATGGCTAAATTCTCAAGTAATTCTGTTTAGTGAAAGAAACTAAGGAGTTAAGAGTAAATTTTATATGATACATTTGTAGGAATTTTAGAAGATGCCATTATTGTAAATTAACACGGAGAAGATTTGAGTTTGTCTGACAATACGCTGTTGGGAGTAATGTGGATGTGAGTTGAATTTCAGAGAAATAAAAGAAAGATTTAGGGATTAATTTAATTATTCAAAACTTGATTGAAGTGCTGAGCAAATGGCTGCAAACATAGGTCAACATTTTTCAAATCCTTCACTATAAATTTGAATTAATTACTTATTAATTACACTTGAATAAAGCAATAACGAAGAAACCAATAAAATAACATTTGACTAAAATGGAGCAATAAACAGATCGATGTTAACACAAGGAATATGACTGACTTATGAAAACATGCACATGAACCATGGTTCACTCTACGTATTTTGGTAAATTACAGAAAGTTGTCATAACAGATGGGGAATCCTGCAGACTTCACTAGGCATGGTCCACGCTGCCCTGGAGTTGTCTCAGGGGAGCTGCCTCCTCCAGTGGTTAGAGCACAGGCCCAGGTAATAGGACTAATTTTTTTAGATGTGTAATTTTAGACACACTGCACAACTGCTGTGTTCTCTGTGTAAATTATCTCCTGTAAAATGTAACATTGAAACCTGCATTAAACATATTGTATAAATATGTAAGAATAAAATAAGATTATGAGAGCTAAATATTAATCAAGGCACAAGCACATAATATAAAATTATATTTTCCTGAATGATACAATTATTCCAATCTGTCCCAGGACACTTCATCTGCCCTGAGCCCAGCCTCTCCTCAGATGTCCCACCACAGAGCTTGCTATATAGTGGGGGACATGCGAATAGGGCCCTCCCTCTGCTGATGAAAACCAGCCCAGCTGACCCTGCAGCTCTGGGAGAGGAGCCCAGCACTGGAAGTCGGCGGTGTTTCCATTCCGTGATCAGCACTGAACACAGAGGACTCACCATGGAGTTTGGGCTGAGCTGGGTTTTCCTTGTTGCTATTTTAAGAGGTGATTCATAGATAAATAGAGATGTTGAGTGGGAGTGGACATGAGTGAGAGAAACAGTGGATGTGTGTGGCAGTTTCTGACCTTGGTGTCTTTGTGTTTGCAGGTGTCCAGTGTGAGGTGCAGCTGGTGGAGTCTGGGGAAGGCTTGGTCCAGCCTGGGGGGTCCCTGAGACTCTCCTGTGCAGCCTCTGGATTCACCTTCAGTAGCTCTGCTATGCACTGGGTCCGCCAGGCTCCAAGAAAGGGTTTGTAGTGGGTCTCAGTTATTAGTACAAGTGGTGATACCGTACTCTACACAGACTCTGTGAAGGGCCGATTCACCATCTCCAGAGACAATGCCCAGAATTCACTGTATCTGCAAATGAACAGCCTGAGAGCCGACGACATGGCTGTGTATTACTGTGTGAAAGACGCAGTGAGAAGTCAGTGTGAGCCCAGACACAAACCTCCCTGCAGGGTACCTGGGACAACCAGGGAAAGCCTGGGACACTGTATACTGGGCTGTCCCCAGGGGCAAGTCCAGGTGGTATAAGCCTAGGTTTCCTGTCATGGTCTAGGGTTGCCTTTTTAGCAACTTACCCCAGAGAACTTCTCTAGATTTCCAATTCTGTAATAACATTTGATGTCGTCTCTGGCTGCAAAATGTCCCCTCAACTTTGTATCTTTTTTTTTTTTTTTGTAACAGGAGGACACATCCTCACCCTGCAGAAGCCTGAGTGTCACATTGGGGGCAGAAATGATCTGCCTTGATCTCACTGATCACTGTCCCGAGGAACATACCCCACAGGGGACCCTGATGACTCCAGTAATGTCTCTGCCTCAAAACCATTGAAGAGTCCTTCCTTCCATTAGAGTTGACCACAGCACCTGGGCTTCAGCACAAGCCATACCACAGACGTCACAAAGCAGCAGATTGACACCTGATCCAGGTGCATTTTCTCACCTTTAGAGGCTGAGAGAGGGGTGTATTCTCAAGGTCAACACACTCTTTGTGGATTTTTACAGAGAACACCTACTTTTACTTTATTTCATTTGAAGATAAATGAACAAATGTGCAGCTGCAAATGATTGTAATTTTCACATTTATTCCAATTCCAATATTTCTGAATTCTGCATGATGTCCTGGCACAGGGTTGTGTTTTCTACAGGTATTTTTCATCAAACCAAGAAAATGCATTTTCCACTTTCCGTGGTTTTTCTCCATGTGCAGAGGCCTTGAGTAGAGCACGTCTGACTGTGTTTGTTTTCACGCTGCTGATAAAGAGACCTTGAGTAGATCACGTCTGACTGTGTTTGTCTGTTTTCACGTGGCTGATAAAGACATACCAGAGACTGGGAAACTTACAACAGAAAGAGTTTTATTGGACTTACAGTTCCACGTGGCTGGAAAGGCCTCACAATCATGGTGGAAGGTGAAAGGCACATCTGACATGGCGGCAGACAAGAGAAGAGAGCTTGTGCTGGGTCTCCCCTTTTTAAAACCATCAGATCTCATGAGACTCATTCACTATTAAGAGAACAGTGCAGGAGAGACACAACCCCCATAACTCAGTCACCTCCCACTGGTCCCTCCCACAACATTGAGAATTATGGGAGCTACACATCAAAATGAGATTTGAGTGAGGACACATCCGACCCATATCATTCCACCCCAGGTTCCCTCCCAAATCTCATGTCCTCACATTTCAAAACCAATCATGCCTTCCCAACAGCTCCCCAAAGGCTAAACTCATTTCATCATTAACTCAGAAGTCCACAGTACAACATTTCATCTGAGGCAAGGCAAGTCCCTTCCCCTTATGAGCCTGTAAATTCAGAAGCAAGTTACAAGCATTGGGTAAACACACCCATTACAAATGACAGAAATTGCCCATAACAAAAAGGCCCCATGCAAGTCCAAAATCCAGCAGGGCAGTCAAATCATAGAGCTCCACAATGATCACCTGTAACTCCCCTTCTCACATCCGGGACATGTTGATGCAATAGGTGAGTTCCGATGGTCTTGGGCAGCTCCACCCCTGTGGCTTTGCAGGGTACAGCCTCCCTCCTGGCTGCTTTCACAGGCTGGTGTTCAGTGTCTGTGGATTTTCCAGGCACAAAGTGCAAACTGTCAGTGGATCTACCATTCCAGGGTCTGGAGGATAGCAGCCCTCTTCTCACAGCTCCACTAGGCAGTGCCCCAGTAAGGACTCTGTGTGGGAGCTCTGGCCCTATATTTCCTTTCCTCCTTGCCCTAGCAGAGGTTCTCCATGAATGATCCACCACTGCAGCCAACTTATGACTGGACATCCAGGTGTTTTCATACATCTTCTGAAATCTAGGCAGAGGTTCTCAAACACCAATTCTTAGCACTCTGTCGATAATGGTTCATTTTTTTGGCCTGTTCATTACTGGTATTTTTCAAAGGAATCTCACTTGAATCTTTACTCTTTTGCATTTTGTCTCCATGACAATGTTGGGAAGTTTTACCTCCACCATCATAACATGATCTAGTGATCTCACACATTTGTGGCAAACAATACCTACAAATTCAGAAGCTCTTTGCTTTTCTTTCCATGAAATATAATTCTTTCTGTTCTGTGTATAAGCATATCTTAGCAACTCTGTGCACACCCACATAGATGTCCACAAGCCTATGAATTATTCTCTGTAAATAAAAATTTATATCAATTTCCCTCAATGTTCATAATTCTCCTGAGGGTGAGGAAGCTCCTTCTCGATCTGTTCAAACAAAATGCCCAGAAACCATCTGGTAGGTAAGGAGTTCACCTGGCTCTGGTGTGGGGTCTGTCTCTTTCCCTCTGTTGTCACACAGGTCAGCCCAGTTGTTCAGGTCCTAAGAAGAAAGCCCAGGTTTGTCCTGATTTTAAAACACATCAAACTTCTGATGACTCTCCTGTTACCCACATCCATGGAGATAGATTATTTATTATATAATTCACCAAACTAATGTCAAATGCCCAAGTTGCAATACCACACATCCTAGGGTATGTTCATGCAATTCAATGGAGGAGAAAGTCTTTCAGAGACAGATGGATCTGAAATGATAAATATGTGGGTAAGGACTCTGGGCTTGAGTATCATTGTCCAGCCATGTTTCACAAGTGTGTCCTGTCAGGGAAGGACAAGAGTTCCTTGTGTTCTCAGAGGGAAGGGGTCACAGAGTTCCTCTCTGGTTCCCAGGAAAGATAATCGCACTAATCTTCATGATCTTCATGAGACTATCCTCCAGTGCTGACCTGTTATAGAGTTTTTGTCTGAAGTTCTCACTGCAATCCCCAATCTACATATTTTCAATCAGAAGTGTTTAGAGGCCAGGACATATCTTCACGGTCACACATTGAGAAGGATGTAGATATGTCCCACTACCTTCTCCTGAGATCTCAGACAGAATCCCAGATTTCAAAAGGACACAGAAGGACAGCTCTCAGGTGCTTTTAAAAAATGACCCACTTCCAGGGACAGGGAGCTTCCCTATAACCATGGTGGATGTTCTGAACTACAATAAACATTGGATGGATCCAGGATTGTTTGAAGTCACTGTCATTATTACATTCAGCTGCTGTTTCAATGTGTCTGAAGTAGTAAATGACAATTTAGATGACAATTTATATGAATCTTCAAGGGTAGAACAATATTGACCATATTCCAAAATCTGTCCTTGATCCATGATCACACTCATCTCCCAGACCAGGTCCTTCAGCACGTCTCTTTACCTGAAAGAAGAGGACTCTGGGCTTGGAGAGGGGAGACCCCAAGAAGACAACTGAGTTCTCAAAGGGCACAGCCAGCATCCTACTCCCAGGGCGAGCCCAAAAGACTGGGGCCTCCCTCCTCCTTTTTCACCTCTCCGTACAAAGGCACCACCCACATGCAAATCCTTACTTAAGCACCCACAGGAAACCACCACACATTTCCTTAAATTCAGGTTCCAGCTCACATGGGAAATACTTTCTGAGAGTCCTGGACCTCCTGTGCAAGAACATGAAACACCTGTGGTTCTTCCTCCTCCTGGTGGCAGCTCCCAGATGTGAGTGTCTCAGGGATCCAGACATGGGGGTATGGGAGGTGCCTCTGATCCCAGGGCTCACTGTGGGTCTCTCTGTTCACAGGGGTCCTGTCCCAGGTGCAGCTGCAGGAGTCGGGCCCAGGACTGGTGAAGCCTTCGGAGACCCTGTCCCTCACCTGCACTGTCTCTGGTGGCTCCGTCAGCAGTGGTAGTTACTACTGGAGCTGGATCCGGCAGCCCCCAGGGAAGGGACTGGAGTGGATTGGGTATATCTATTACAGTGGGAGCACCAACTACAACCCCTCCCTCAAGAGTCGAGTCACCATATCAGTAGACACGTCCAAGAACCAGTTCTCCCTGAAGCTGAGCTCTGTGACCGCTGCGGACACGGCCGTGTATTACTGTGCGAGAGACACAGTGAGGGGAGGTGAGTGTGAGCCCAGACACAAACCTCCCTGCATGGACGCGGAGGGGACCGGCGCAGGTGCTGCTCAGGACCAGCAGGTGGCGCGCGGGGCCCCCAGAGCATGAGGCCGGGTCAGGAGCAGGTGCAGGGAGGGCGGGGCTTCCTCATCTGCTCAGTGGTCTCCGTCCTCGCCAGCACCTCGCTGTCACCAGGGCTCCTCTTTCTTTATTATCTGTGGTTCTGCTTCCTCACATTCTTGTGCCAGGAAAGAAACGAGGAAGACAAATTTTCGTCTATAGTTGAAGCTTCACCAATTACTAGGAACTTGCCTACAAGTTCCTGCATGACCCATTATAACTTATCGATTAAAAAATATATATTCTAATGCTTCTCACCATCTCTTGATTTGTATCATCAACTGAATTGTACCCTCTTTGAAATTCATATGATGAAACCTTAAATTCAATGGATCTATATTGGAATTTTAATGAAATAATTAAGGTTAAATGTGGTCATAATTGTAAGACCCTAATGCAATAGACGTGTTGTCTTTATAAGAAGAGGAAGAGACACCAGAGACCTCTCACTTTTCACGTGCAGGCAGAGAAGAGGCCATGTGGAGACATAGTGCACTAGAAGGTGGCCCAGTGCAAGCCAGGAAGAAGCCGCGCCAAGAACCAGCCCTGCCAGCACACTAATCTTCAACATTCAGACTGCAGAATTTTAAGAAAATCAATATTTGTTGTTTAAGCCACCCACTCCTGTTGTCTTCTTATGAAGATCCAGACAGACTAATACCACATAACTCTGTTAGTGCTGTCCCCTGGATGGAGAATTAGCCTCCTGAGGCTGGGCACATCTCTCAGATTTCCACATAAAACAGGTAAAAAATAGTAGTTCTGATATAAAAACTTGTCATGTCCCTGTTGGCCAATTTCTGGGCAAGGTCTTTTAAATAAGCCAAGTTTGCGGGGAAATGGAGACCATATGTTTGTGGGACTCTAACCGTGGAATCTACTGCATTGCTCTAGCAGAATCAAAAATTGAACACCAGTGAGCTCTTTATTCTCATTAAAATGTGTGTCTTTGGAAATGTTAACATTCTGTCCAGAATCTGTGCTCACAAACAACTGTGTTTCTTAGTGCACTCTTGGCCTGGTGGAGCCCTCGCAGACCCTCTCCCTCACCTGTGCTGTCTCTGGATTTTCCATCACAACCAGTGTTTCCTGCTGGAGCTGGATCCACGAGTCCACATGGGAAGGACTGGAGTGGACCAGGCGCACACGTCATGAAGGGAGCAAAAATTCCCACCCACTCCTTATGAATCCAGTCACCATCTCCAAATTCGGGTCCAAAAAACACTTGTTTTTACAGTGGAGCTATGTGAGCAACAAGCTCACAGCCATGTTTTAAAGAAGAGACAGAGTGAGGGGACCACGGTGCGAGCTCACACCCAAACCTTCCTGGAGGGGTGCACAGGACAGCAGGAGTGCCGATGATGGAAGGGGGTGGTCTGGATTCCAGGGCACACGCAAGACCATTGTAGAGGCACTCAGGTCACCCGGGGGCTCTCAGGAACCATCGAGGAAAATCAGGACACCAGAAGAGACTCGGTACAGCAGGGGGCTCAGGACCATTGTGGGGACTCAGAAACAGCAGGTTCTAGGCTCAGCCTCAGGGCAGGTGCAGATGGGGTGAAAAGGGGCTGGATGAGGGGTTTTGTGTCACCATCATATTTCACCACTAGACACCCTCCACTACATGTGTTCTACTGCATATGAGTGTATGATTAGAAAATCATACTTCTATAAATATATAACCATACGAAGGTGTGTCAAGTTTTCCTCTTCAACTTCTATCGGCCTTGTTCGTAAGGACTAATTCCCTGTAATTACTTGAGGACCTCATAAATTGTGGTCAGTTTTGTAGGTTTCCTCTCTTTCCTTGTCTCCCTTTCCCCTTATTCTCTCTCACACAAATGGACATAATCCCCACTCCACACGCAAAGAAATCTATAACTTTCATTACCTGATGTATTGAATAAAATTGATTAATGTGCAGCTTTCCCATCTTTGTTGTTGTTCATGCTGCTGTAAGTATAAGAACCATGAGATTCTCAGCTGTGTACTTCTCCAAGCTGAGTGGCAGCTTTGCTTATCATACTGAGATGGCCAACAATCCAAATGTCAATCATCAGCTTAACTGGTAAACAAATTGTGGAAAAGTCATTCATTGGCATACTACTGACTGTGACCACAATATACTAATGTTGGATACGCTCAACAGTATGGTTAAATTCTCATATGGTGAGTAAAATGAGCCAAACAAATAAAAGTACACACATATGATACCACTTTTATACATTCTCCCATCCAAGTACTAACCAGGCCCGACCCTGCTTAGCTTCCGAGATCAGACGAGATCGGGCGCGTTCAGGGTGGTATGGCCGTAGACACACTTTTATACATTCTATAGAATAAAAACTAAAGTTACATAAAGAATCAGTAGTTCACTGTGAATATTATAGAAGGGAAAGTGTAGACAGGAGGAATTACAGAAAAGAGAAAATTTTAAGCATAATTGACTTGTTATCTATATTGATAATAATGATGTCTATGATAATATTTGTACAATTGAACACTTCATGTGAAGATCTTTTTTTTTAGTTTAACATCATTAAAGATAGTACTAACTGTAACGTGTGTAATTTGGTAGAAACGGAGTCAGACAGAGATAAAATACATAAAAAGTCAGAGACACCTGAATATTCACATGAGTGAGCCTGCACTTCTCTATGTTTTTATGAAAACACTACAATACAGCAAAATAATGACATCATTTTATGACGTGAAGGGGGTTTATTAAACCACTCCAGGCACGTTGTATTAGTTTGTTTTCCCACTGCTACAAAGAACTACCTGAGTTTGGGTAACTTATAAAGAAAATAGGTTATTGACTCATAGTTCTACATGGCTGGAAAGGCCTCAGGAAACTTGCAATCAAGGCAGAGTGTGAAGGGGAAGCAAGAGACATCTCACATGGCAGCAGGAGAGGTGGGGAGAACCACCACACACTTTAAATTATCAGATCTCCTGAGACCTCAATCTGAGACCTCAATCATGAAAACAGCATGGAGGAACCACCCCATGAGCCCATCCCCTCTCACCAGGTCCCTCCCTGGACGTGTGGCAATTCCAATTCGAGATCAGATTTGGGTGGGGACACAGAACCAAACCATATCACATGTCCAGTTCTGTCCCAGAGTTGGTTCAGGAATCAGATGTGTCCTGTTAACAGGAGCTGTGACACCAAGCTCCCAGCACCACTTGTAGTTGACGTCATGCAAAGGCCAAGATATCTCAACTAAGATTTAGTGTGGATGTGATGTTGGATGGTGACACACCCTCAGACCAAGTGGATATGGAAGGGATAATTATCTCTATTCTAGACGTGTCTGCTGAGAGCAGGGCAGTTCTCTCAGGAAAGTGCAAAATGGCTTGATAGAACAGGGAAAGAGAGGGCCTCAGGGTTTGGTGGTGGGGGCAGATTGAGTCTTTCCACTCACAGAAAGGGGTTTATAGGGTGGGAAACTCCCACTGGCTTCAAATAAGGAAGCTCCTGTGATTCTGGACCGATATTCACCTTGTGTGTAAAAAAGGAGGTAATGGAGGAATGAGCCTTAAGCTATCAGCAGTCACACACCAAAATACAGTGTGACAAGTTATTCTATGTAGCAACTATAAAAATAATGAATAAAAAACGAGATAAGGGTTCAATATGATGGGCAACACTCAGGTCTACAGAAAATGAGATGAGTGTTTATAAGTCAAAGCAAATAATAATGAGAAGCAGGAGGAGGGTGTGCAGAATTAGACAGGGGTCCAGGTCCAGTGACTTGGGTGGAAACCTTTTGCTATTAAGGATTATCAGCTTAGTCTGAAGGTCTTAGGTCAGCTATCTGTTTAAAGACATCAGAAACACCAGAGAATCTTTGAGGATGCTCAGATTAACATCTCCTATTTTAGTAGCCTTGCAGTTGTGTGAAAACCTTTTTTATCTTATTTCATTTTATTATTTATTTATTTATCTGTTGAGATGGAATTTCGCTCTTGTTGCCCAGGCTGGAGCGAAATGGCACGATCTTGACTCACCGCCTCTTCCACCTCCCAGATTCAAGCGATTCTCCTGCCTCAGCCTCCCAGTAGCTGATATTACAGGCATGCACCACCAGGCCCAGCTAATTTTGTATTTTTAGTAGAGATGGGGTTTCTCCACATTGGTCAGGCTGGTCTCAAACTCTCAACCTCCGGTGACCCGCCCACCTTGGCCTCCCGAAGTGCTGGGATTACAGGTGTGAGCCACTGCTCCGGGCCGAAAATCTTATTCATTCTTTTTTGTTTGTTTTTAGAGACAGAGTCTCTCTCTGTTGCACGTTGAAAGTGGAGTGGTGTGATAACAGCTCACTGTAAATTTGAACTCTTGGCTCACAGAGTATGTTCCTATGTATCGTGCAGGTGTGTCTGTGTGTGTTTACCCGGCTTGGGGTCCTCTAATTTTTGGATCTGTAGTTAGGTGTTTCACATTCTTAAGATATTTTTCTTAAGAAATATATCTTAAGATATAAGTATATCTTAAGATATCATTAATTCTTAAGATATTTTCTCTGTTTCTAATTTCTATTTTTGAAATTTGAAATATATCTACACTATACTTTTTGATGTTAGTTCTTAAATTTCTTCACTCTTTTTCCCTTTGAAATTCACTTTGTGTAATTTCCAGTAACGGAGTTGAAGTCCCTGGTTTCATTTAAGAGCTGAGCGAATTCTACTGCTGAGCGTGCCCAAGGTATATTCAACTTTATACTGCATCACTTTTGATAATTTTATGAATTTCCATTTGATTCTTTCTTAGTATTTCTCTCTGTCAGTCACCTATCTAGTCTTGCACTGTGTCCACATTTTCTTTCAGATACTTTTAACAAATTCAATTACTTTAAATATCCTACTTAATAAGATAGTTCTAGTATTGTGTCATTTACAAATATCAATTCTGAGGATTTTTCCATTATGACTTTGGTGTTTTTTATAACTTATATGACTTTGATGAATGTTATAATTTTTGTTGATAACCAGCCATATTTGGACCCTTGATATTGACGTATTATTTTATTTTGTGCATTTCTGCCTGTATTTGACCACACCCTATCTGTGCTGGGCCTTGATTGTGGAGATGTCTGTGCATCTCTTCAGAGCTACATTTGACATTTACTTTTGCAACGGCTGTAGCAGTTGAAGTGTGTTCTTCTATGTCCACTGGAGACTTCAGATACTCTAGTGATACCTTGTTTTCATGCCTGCTTGGCTTTGTCTATTCACCTCATTCCATTCTACAGAGAATCTCCTTCACATTCCTAGGGTGGATTAAAGTGTTATATTTAACTGCCAATTGTGAAATTGGCGGAAGGCATTAGACTAAAGGAAGAAACTGACCTCTCGTTGGGCCATAATTCTAGAAAGCCGTTGTGATCCTGAGTCTGAGTGTGACCTTCCAAGTTTTCCCGACCCTCCTGCAAGTGAGATACTGGTCTGTGTGTTCTTGCCTCTTCCCCTGGGGTAGAGTCCTCCTGTTTTCCCCAGTTGTTCCCTCCCACAGCTCTCACAATCTCTGTTGGTGTCCCCATCTTCCAGATCTGCTGCCATGACCTGCAGATTAAGGCTCTGATTCCATAAGAAACTGAGGGGAGCTGCTTCTCAATAGATCTTTGATGGGGACCTCTGTTCCCATATCAGTTCATGAGGGGCTGCTCCAGTGCCCTAGGATGCTGATTTTCATGGCTTGCTCCTGCAGGGTAATATCTGAGTTTCATAGTGGGAATCAGAGAGTTGGGTCTGGATGCATTTCAGAAGTGTGGGCTCTCATTCTCTCCCAGACAGTCACTTTGGGAAGGATAGATTCTTGTGACTGTAAAGGTTCTTCAAGAGAATAGCACAACTCTTCAGTATGTTGTCCCTTAGAATTTCTCACTACAACACGCTTAACACACTCGACTTCAAGCAATGCAATGTGTATTTGTGCTCCATCTTGTAATGGCCTACGTTGAATACGACAGACTGTGCCTCAGGTAATTTCATATCTTGACTTTATTACTCTGTACTAGAACTTGCCTCTCCCTAGATTTCAATTTTTTTTGTTTTAAACCTTCAGTTATCTGAAGCATTTAATAAAATTTGCGAACTTCCATCTTTTCTGTTTATCTGTTATTGCTGATGTTATTGTTTTAAAAATAAATATATATTTCTCATTCATGTACATTTTTAAGCTGAGCAGCATATTTTTAAGTAAAACCTGGAATAATAAAAGAATCCAAACATTTTTCAGCTGCCCCAAAAAAACCAAATTATGGTAAATGTGTTCACTGGAACACTACTCATCACTTATAATAAATATATTTCTGGTACACAGAGCAACAAAGAAAAATATCTAAGTGTTTATGCTGAGTAAAATACGCCAGACAAATAAGAATATGTACCATATTACTCCATTTATGCAATTTCTTTTAAGTGAAAAAGAATCTAAAGCAATATCCAGAAGATCAGTAGTTACCTGGAAAAAGGGTAGACCAAAGGAAGGGGAAAGGAGGAAACTTACAGAAGAACAAGAGAAAATGTTGAGGGGAGTTCACTTGTCCAGCTTGGAAATGATGGGTTACATCATGTTGATCAATTGCACACTTTAAATATGTGAAGTCTATTATCTGCCAATTAACACTCGCAAAATTTATTGCAAGCAGACAAATGAAAAATTAGACAAAGAAAGGATGGTATAAAGATAGAAAATATATATTAAATGTCAGAAATGTCTGAGAATTTAACTCCTGACCCTAGTTCCGTCCTTATTTTTAGGTGAATGGTAGCGTGCACCAAAATCACACACATTCTCAGTACAGGAAGTGGGTTCCACAAAGCACACGAGGTATGTCCAATTCTTACCAAGATTTGGTTCAGGGAGTAACAGTGATGAGGAATCACAGGCCCAGATACCGGGGCTCACTCATCTCAGACATGACCTCGTGGACACACACTTAGCCCCTCCTCCATGTGTAGGTTGACTTCCACATATGTAAATGGAGAAACCATTGACTCCTACAGAACATAATTTACAGAAATATACAAAAGATAAAATAGTGCAAATACTTATCACAACAAAATTTCCTAATAAGACAGTGTATTTTCCAAATACCGTAATTGTCACCCAACTCCTGTGGGGCCGTGTCATTTTATCTGGGGTCTGCCGTCTCCTCAGGATTCCCACCCCAGAGCTCTCTATGTAGTAGGAGACAAGCAAATAGGGCCCTCCCTCTGCTGCTGAAAATCAGCCAAATCCTGACCCTGCAGCTCTGGGAGAGGAGCCCCCGCCCCGGGATTCCCAGCTGTCTCCACTTGGTCATGAACACTGAACACAGAAGACACACCATGGAGTCTGGGCTGAGCTGGATTTTCCTTGTTGCAGTTTTAAAAGGTGATTTATGGAGAATGAGACACACTGAGTGTGACTGGACATAAGTGAGAGAAACAGTGGATTTGTGTGGCAGTTTCTGACCAGGGTGTCTCCGTGTTTGCAGGTGTCCAGTGTGAGGTGCAGCTGGTGGAGTCTGGGGGAGGCTTAGTAAAGACTGGAGGGGTCTCTGAGACTCTCCTGTGCAGCCTCTGGATTCACCTTCAGTAGCTCTGCTATGCACTGGGTCCACCAGGCTCCAGGAAAGGGTTTGGAGTGGGTCTCAGTTATTAGTACAAGTGGTGATACCGTACTCTACACAGACTCTGTGAAGGGCTGATTCACCATCTCTAGAGACAATGCCCAGAATTCACTGTCTCTGCAAATGAACAGCCTGAGAGCCGAGGGCACAGTTGTGTACTACTGTGTGAAAGACGCAGTGAGAAGTCAGTGTGAGCCCAGACACAAACCTCCTGCAGGGTACCTGGGACAATCAGGGAAAGCCTGGGACACTGTATACTGGGCTGTCCCCAGGGGCAAGTCCAGGTGATATAAGCCTGGGTTTCCTGTCATGATCTAGGGTTGCATTGTTAGCAAATTACCCCAGGGACCATCTCTAGATTTCCAATTCTGTAATAACATTTGATGTCGTCTCTGACTGCACAATGTCCCCTCAACTTTGTATCTTTTTTTTTTTTGTAACAGGAGGACACATCCTCACCCTGCAGAAGCCTGAGTGTCACTTTGGGGGCAGAAATGACCTGCCTTGATCACATTGATCACTGTCCTGAGGAAAATACCCCACAGGGGACCCCGATGACTCCAGCAAAGGCTCTGCCTCAAAACCATTGAAGAGTCCTTCCTTTCATTAGAATTGACCACAGCACCTGGGCTTCAGCACAAGCCATACCACAGACGTCACAAAGCAGCAGCTTGACACCTGATCCAGGTGCATTTTCTCACCTTTAGAAGCTGAGAGAGGGGTGTATTCTCAAGGTCAACACACTCTTTGTGGGTTTTTACACAGAAAACCTGCTTTTACTTTATTTCATTTGAAGATAAATGAACAAATGTGCATCTATAAATGATTGTAATTTTCACATTTATTCCAAATCCAATATTTCTGAATTCTGCATAATGTCCTGGCACAAGGTTGTGTTTTCTATAGGTATTTTTCAACAGACCAAGAAAATGCATTTTCCAATTTCCCTGTTTTTCCTCCATGTGCAGAGACCTTGAGTAGAGCACGTCTGACTGTGTTTGTCTGTTTTCACGCTGCTGATGAAGACATACCAGAGACGAGGAAACTTACAATAGAAAGAGTTTTATTGGACTTACAGTTCCACGTGGCTGGAAAGGTCTCACAATCATGGTGGAAGGTGAAAGGCACATCTGACATGGCGGCAGACAAGAGAAGAGAGCTTGTGCTGGGTCTCCCCTTTTTAAAACCATCAGATCTCATGAGACTCATTCACTATTAAGAGAACAGTGCAGGAGAGACGCAACCCCCATAACTCAGTCACCTCCCACTGGTCCCTCCCACAACATTGAGAATTATGGGAGTTACACATCAAAGTGAGATTTGAGTGAGGACACATCCGACCCATATCATTCCACCCCAGGTTCCCTCCCAAATCTCACGTCCTCACATTTCAAAACCAATCATGCCTTCCCAACAGCTCCCCAAAGGCTAAACTCATTTCATCATTAACACAGAAGTCCACAGTACAACATTTCACCTGAGACAAGGCAAGTCCTTTCCACTTATAAGCCTGTAAATTCAAAAGCAAGTTACAGGCATTGGGTAAACACACCCATTGGAAATGACAGAAATTGCCCATAACAAAAAGACCCCATGCAAGTCCAAAATCCAGCAGGGCAGTCAAATCATAAAGCTCCACAATGATCACCTGTAACTCCCCTTCTCACATCCGGGACATGTTGATGCAACAGGTGAGTTCCCATGGTCTTGGGCAGCTCCACCCCTGTGGCTTTGCAGGGTACAGCCTCCCTCCTGGCTGCTTTCACAGGCTGGTGTTCAGTGTCTGTGGATTTTCCAGGCACAAAGTGCAAACTGTCAGTGGATCTACCATTCCAGGGTCTGGAGGATAGCAGCCCTCTTCTCACAGCTCCACTAGGCAGTGCCCCAGTAGGGACTCTGTGTGGGAGCTCTGGCCCTATATTTCCTTTCCTCATTGCCCTAGCAGAGGTTCCCCATGAATGAGCCACCACTGCAGCCAACTTGTGACTGGACATCCAGGTGTTTTCATACACCTTCTGAAATCTAGGCAGAGGTTCTCAAACCCCAATTCTTAGCACTCTTTCCATAATGGTTCATTTTTTTGGCCTGTTCATTACTGGTATTTTTCAAAGGAATCTCACTTGAATCTTTACTCTTTTGCAATTTGTCTCCATGACAATGTTGGGAAGTTTTATCTCCACCATCATAACATGATCTAGTGATCTCACACATTTGTGGCAAACAATACCTACAAATTCAGAAGCTCTTTGCTTTTCTTTCCATGAAATATAATTCTTTCTGTTCTGTGTATAAGCATATCTTAGCAACCCTGCACACACCCACATAGATGTCCACAAGCCTATGAATTATTCTCTGTAAATAAAAACTTATATCAATTTCCCTCAATGTTCATAATTCTCCTGAGTGTGAGGAAGCTCCTTCTCGATCTGTTCAAACAAAATGCCCAGAGACCATCCGGTAGGTAAGGAGTTCACCTGGCTCTGGTGTGGGGTCTGTCTCTTTCCCTCTGTTGTCCCACAGGTCAGCCCAGTTGTTCACGTCCTAACAAGAAAGCCCAGGTTTGTTCTGATTTTAAAACACTTCAAACTTCTGATGACTCTCCTGTTACCCACATCCATGGAGATAGATTATTTATTATATAATTCACCAAACTAATGTCAAATGTCCAAGTTGCAATACCACACATCCTAGGGTATGTTCATGCAATTCAATGGAGGAGAAAGTCTTTCAGAGACAGATGGATCTGAAATGATAAATATGTGGGTAAGGACTCTGGACTTGAGTGTCATTGTCCAGCCATGTTTCACAAGTGTGTCCTGTCAGGGAAGGATCAGAGTTCCTTGTGCTCTCAGAGGGAAGGGGTCACAGAGTTCCTCTCTGGTTCCCAGGAAAGGTAATCGCACTAATCTTCATGATCTTCATGAGACTATCCTCCAGTGCTGACCTGTTATAGAGTTTTTGTCTGAAGTTCTCACTGCAATCCCCAATCTACATATTTTCAATCAGAAGTGTTTAGAGGCCAGGACACATCTTCAAGGTCACACATTGAGAAGGATGTAGATATGTCCCACTACCTTCTCCTGAGATCTCAGACAGAATCCCAGATTTCAAAAGGACACAGAAGGACAGCTCTCAGGTGCTTTTAAAAAATGACCCACTTCCAGGGACAGGGAGCTTCCCTATAACCATGGTGGATGTTCTGAACTACAATAAACATTGGATGGATCCAGGATTGTTTGAAGTCACTGTCATTATTACATTCAGCTGCTGTTTCAATGTGTCTGAAGTAGTAAATGACAATTTAGATGACAATTTATATGAATCTTCAAGGGTAGAACAATATTGACCATATTCCAAAATCTGTCCTTGATCCATGATCACACTCATCTCCCAGACCAGGTCCTTCAGCACGTCTCTTTACCTGAAAGAAGAGGACTCTGGGCTTGGAGAGGGGAGACCCCAAGAAGACAACTGAGTTCTCAAAGGGCACAGCCAGCATCCTACTCCCAGGGCGAGCCCAAAAGACTGGGGCCTCCCTCCTCCTTTTTCACCTCTCCATACAAAGGCACCACCCACATGCAAATCCTCACTTAAGCACCCACAGGAAACCACCACACATTTCCTTAAATTCAGGTTCCAGCTCACATGGGAAATACTTTCTGAGAGTCCTGGACCTCCTGTGCAAGAACATGAAACATCTGTGGTTCTTCCTTCTCCTGGTGGCAGCTCCCAGATGTGAGTATCTCAGGGATCCAGACATGGGGATATGGGAGGTGCCTCTGATCCCAGGGCTCACTGTGGGTCTCTCTGTTCACAGGGGTCCTGTCCCAGGTGCAGCTGCAGGAGTCGGGCCCAGGACTGGTGAAGCCTTCGGAGACCCTGTCCCTCACCTGCACTGTCTCTGGTGGCTCCATCAGTAGTTACTACTGGAGCTGGATCCGGCAGCCCCCAGGGAAGGGACTGGAGTGGATTGGGTATATCTATTACAGTGGGAGCACCAACTACAACCCCTCCCTCAAGAGTCGAGTCACCATATCAGTAGACACGTCCAAGAACCAGTTCTCCCTGAAGCTGAGCTCTGTGACCGCTGCGGACACGGCCGTGTATTACTGTGCGAGAGACACAGTGAGGGGAGGTGAGTGTGAGCCCAGACAAAAACCTCCGTGCAGGGAGGCGGAGGGGACCGGCGCAGGTGCTGCTCAGCGCCAGCAGGGGGCGCGCGGGGCCCACAGAGCAGGAGGCCCGGTCAGGAGCAGGTGCAGGGAGGGCGGGGCTTCCTCATCTGCTCAGTGGTCTCCCTCCTCGCCAGCACCTCAGCTGTCCCCAGGGGTCCTCTTTCTTTATTATCTGTGGTTCTGCTTCCTCACATTCTTGTGCCAAGAAAGAAATGAGGAAGACAAATTTTCGTCTGTAGTTGAAGTTTCACCAATTACTAGGAACTTTCCTAGAAGTTCCTGCATGGCCCATTATAGCTTACTGATTAAAAAATATATATTCTAACGCTTCTCAGCATCTCTTGATTTGTGTCATCAACTGAATTGTGCCCTCTTTGAAATTCATATGCAGAAACCTTAAATTCAATTGATGTATATTGGAATTTTAATGAAATAATTAAGGTTAAATGTGGTCATAAGTGTAAGACTCTAATTCAACAGACGTGTCGTCTTTATAAGAAGAGGAAGAGACACCAGAGACCTCTCACTTTTCACGTGCAGGCAGAGAAGAGGCCATGTGGAGACGTAATGCACTAGAAGGTGGCCCAGTGCAAGCCAGGAAGAAGCCTCACCAAGAACCAACCCTGCCAGAACATTGATCTTCAACATTCAGACTGCAGAATTTTAAGAAAATCAATATTTGTTGTTTAAGCCACCCACTCCTGTTGTCTTCTTATGAAGATCCAGACAGACTAATACCACATAACTCTGTTAGCGCTGTCCCCTGGATGCAGAATCAGCCCGCTGGGGCTGGGCACATCTCTCAGATTTCCACATAAAGTAGGCAAAAAATAGTAGTTCTGATATAAAAATTTGTCATGTCCCTGTTGGCCAATTTCTGGGCAAGGTCTTTTAAAGAAGCCCTGGGGGCTTTGTCACAAAAGTTGCCTTTTATCATTTATTAGGACATAACTGATGAACAATGAGTACCAGTTGGATGGAGACTGACCACTGACCATCTTCTGCTGTCTCCTAAGTATGCCACAGAAAACCACACCAACATTACTCTATGTCTTCAACTTTCTAAATTTGCACTGATTGGTATTTAAGGCAGGCCCAGCGTTGAATAACTCCTTTAGTTTTTGCTTCTCTGGGAAAGGTCTTATCTATCCTGGCCTTGGTCTTCAAGTTTCAGCAATTCTGGGAAGCCAAGGACGCCTCTATCTCCTCCTCCATGCTCTGCAACTCACCTGAGAACAGCTTTCTCATTGGAATGTCTTCTGTTTAAGGAATAAGAGTCCCTGTTTCAGGCTTGGGTGCCTGAGTACACCTACTGGATCCAGCCCAGGATTGGAGAAACTTTCCAGAACACATCACCTGAGAAATGACCAGTCACACTGTTACACTTTCACAATTTCCGCTTCCTCATGAGAAAATTAAAATTGCAGAGACTTTTTCATAAGCGTTGTGCCATGTCCTTTCTTGTTTTCTTGCCTGTTCATTTATGTCAGACCAGGTGCCACATCTATGTAATCAGGTTAGAATCCTGCCTCCAGTAACACATGAAAAGGACCTATGGTTGTACTTTTGGTCTTTGCTCCAAAGTGTAAAGATTACAAAAGTCATCACCCTCATTCTTATGCCAAGAGTCATCTGCACAATCTGATCTTCAATACATTTTAGAATCCATCAAATGAATGAAATTCCATTTTTTAAATTACCACCCCAAAAACTAGAGAGATGGGCATGTCCAGAATAGCAGTTGATGGTTGCTTAACTGGAAGAGAAGTTTCAGAAGCCACAAGCTGTTGAAGGCACTTACGTGGTTAGCACTATAGACGTCTGCAAGACAGATGTGGACTAGGGTGAAATGACAGTTCCAGAGGGCCGCACTCTCCTCAGTCTTCTGGAATTTCCCTCTAGAAATCTCCAGAATCTAAAAAATACAATC
This sequence comes from Homo sapiens, assembly GCF_000001405.40. Taxonomy (NCBI): domain Eukaryota; kingdom Metazoa; phylum Chordata; class Mammalia; order Primates; family Hominidae; genus Homo; species Homo sapiens. The sequence continues at coordinate 1,116,943 of NT_187600.1, read as the reverse complement.
CAAATATGTTTCCTATGGGTCATAACTGGGGAAGTTTAATTACTGAAAAATATATCAGGAGCCTTCTCCAAAAGATCCTACAGGGAAGAACTTTTCCAGAACCTCATACTATGTGAAGGGAAGAAAAATCTGCCCATTCCAGATCCCTCCCCACTTCCTCCATTATTATACAAATGAGTAAGTTTAGCCAATAGGGTAAGATGTAAGCAAATAGTCCAGGGAAACTGAAGCCACAAAAAGGAGTAAAGATGAAAATTCAGCTTTTCCCCTGGAGATGCCTGGTCAAGGTCACAGCCCAGAAAAGGAATCTGATTGAGTCTCTAGGTTTCCATGGTCAGAACAAGCAGTGCTGACCCGCACTGCACAATCCTTTCTAACCAGGATGATGGCTCTGGATTAAATATGAGAGTGTGCCAATGCACAGTCTCTGAGGAGAACATAGGGACACTAAAAAAGCAATGGCAGGGAGTTAGACAAGGACAGTAGAGCAATATGAAGCCTCTGACGTGAACATTTTTAAAAACAAGATCTTGGAAACTCCCTCATTCACCTCAGCTTCTTTTATCATGAAGACTTTCCAAGATTCTTAACTGAGACAAACAAAATAACAACCTGCATGCACTTCCGAAGTCTCCGCTTGTATCCTGTTTGCTTTAGATCTCTAGGAGAAAAATGTCAGACACCTGGGCCTAGTGTCAATGTGGGAGGCACTTTCTACAGATGAGGCACAAGAAGGAAGGGAAAACGTGTGTTATTGGAATAGTGGATATGAAGTGTGCTCTCATCTGAAAGCATCTGCACCTGCTGGAAATCTCAGATGCAACATTCAACTGCAAGAACCAAGGCACACCCAAATCTCCTGTAAGATTTTGGATTCATTATCCACTGATTCAGTGCAACTGGAGCTTCAGAGAAGGGGCTCCCTCCTGTGTCATAGCATCCTTGCTTTGAGTTCATTAGATTTAGTAAGGCTAATCAATTGTTTGAAGAGATGGTGTCAGCAGCGTATGCTGTCACTGAAGGAGTATTCTAAACCAGGACAAAGCCATTTCATGTTAGGCGAGGGAAGCTGGTGGAAAATGCTTTATGAGCCCCACAGGAACTTCCTTGCAAGGCAAGGGCTGGGCTGGAGGGGGCGCGCAGGAGCCGCCCAGCACAGGTTCCATCCCCGGAGGGGTGCACAGGAGGCTGGGGACGAGGTTCCCTCTCAGCGCCTGTGTCTTCCTTTGGCAACAAAAAAAATCCTAAGTGTTCAAGAAGTTGCTGATGTGTCTTTAAGTATCCTGTTCCGTCAGAGCCTTTCCTATAACTGAAGGCAACCAGAACTGTGTTTTAAAGTCGGTTCCGAGGACTGCAAGTATCTTAATAGTGAGGATATAAAGGATAGGAATGGTTTTACTAATTGAAAGGATACAGAATTGTGGGGTTCCGAGGACTGCAAGTATCTTAATAGTGAGGATATAAAGGATAGGAATGGTTTCACTAATTGAAAGGATACAGAATTGTGGGAGTCACTATGTTCCTATGAATAAAAAATTCAGATTTCAGTGTTAAGTAATGTTGCCTACATTGTGTGAGTGACAGGGCAGTGGTGGATCTGAGAGTGTGGCAGGTGCACAGACCTAGTGAGTCAGAAATCAATATGGAAAGATGAGGATCTATGGATATGAACTGAAAGTAAGTAAACAGTTCATGAAATTCTATTAAATGGAGTAGGAAATAAAACCCAAACTTATCCAAAACACAAATTCCTTGGCGATTATTTTGGGAGCAGTGAGTTCATCAGGAACCCCAAACTTCTCTTACGTCTTCTGATTCCTGTTGTCCATGAGATGAGAAATTCAGCTCTAATTGTACATCACAGGGCAAATCTGTAAACCAGGAGTGTTTCTATTGAGGATCATGGTGGATCAGGATTCCAGGCAGGTGCTGGAGACACTGTCTCAGGAGCGCCCAGATGATCTCAGGGGGACCTGCTGGACACTCACGTGGGACATCAGCAGTCACTTTCTCAGAGTAACCAGTGAGCTGTGCTGGTGCCTGATGGGACTAGGATGGGGTCAAGGCACCTTCTCAGTGTCATGGAGAGTGATTGTTCCAGAAATCATCCAGGTGGTCTCTACGCTAATCAAATATGGGTTCACAGGGAGGAACATGTGCTCTGGGTGCTTGGTCTTCAGTGAAAGGACGTCTGGCCACCAAAAGTTTGTAAATGGAGCAGGGCATGCATTTCCTCAAGGAGGATTAGGGCTTGGAGCATCAGCATCCCACTCTTGTAAGGCTGATGTGTCATTTACCTTCCCTTTCTTATCCCAAATCAGGGTCTTCAGCTATGAAATGCTCTGACTCATGAATATGCAAATAACCTGAGATGCACTGAGGTAAATATGGATATTTGTCAGCCCTGAGAGCATCATCCAGAAACCACATCCCTCCGCTAGAGAAGCCCCTGACGGCACAGTTCCTCACTATGGACTGGATTTGGAGGATCCTCTTCTTGGTGGGAGCAGCGACAGGCAAGGAGATGCCAAGTCCCAGTGATGAGGAGGGGATTGAGTCCAGTCAAGGTGGCTTTCATCCACTCCTGTGTTCTCTCCACAGGTGCCCACTCCCAAATGCAGCTGGTGCAGTCTGGGCCTGAGGTGAAGAAGCCTGGGACCTCAGTGAAGGTCTCCTGCAAGGCTTCTGGATTCACCTTTACTAGCTCTGCTGTGCAGTGGGTGCGACAGGCTCGTGGACAACGCCTTGAGTGGATAGGATGGATCGTCGTTGGCAGTGGTAACACAAACTACGCACAGAAGTTCCAGGAAAGAGTCACCATTACCAGGGACATGTCCACAAGCACAGCCTACATGGAGCTGAGCAGCCTGAGATCCGAGGACACGGCCGTGTATTACTGTGCGGCAGACACAGTGTGAAAACCCACATCCTGAGAGTGTCAGAAACGCCAGGAAGGAGGCAGCTGTACTGGCATGGAGGGGATGACAAAGGTTATTAGATTGAAGATTTTCTTAGAAAACGACTTCAAGTCATTAAAGAAGAGGAACAACATAAATGTGTATTTGTGAAATTTTAATTGAGAGATTTTTCATACAACATTTATTCTGTAAGCTATTTCAGGGATTGGAATATGAATCAAATTAATAAAGCTGATATAGACATCCTCTGAAGGCATCTTCGTAAACATCAATTTCTGAATCAGTGTTGTAAATATTTTGGAACACAGACACAAGATCACATTTTTACTCTACTTTTATCTCTATTTTTAAAAAATGCCAAAAAGAATCTTATTTTGTGCATGCCCCATTTTGAATTCCCACCGTCAATGCATGATAGTTCTTGGTTTTCCTCATTCAAGTTGTCATTTGTCATTAAGAGTGTTGTGTGTTTTAACCATTCTAATAGGTGAGTAACGGTATCTAATTTTTATTTAAATGCACATGTCCCTAAAAAATTCATATTTAACAATTTTTATATAATTTTTGGTGAGATGCCTCTCGTGATATTTGGTTCATTTTTTAAATGCATTTTTTATCAGTTGTAAGTATGCTTGCATATTGATTATAAAAGTCATTTAACAAATTAAAATAATTCATTTAACAAATATGCATCTTGGAATTTTTTTCTCCAAGTCTGCAGTTGTCTTTTACTCCCTTATCCCTGTGTATTGCAGAAAAATGTTTGTGTGTGTGTGTGCCTGTGTATGTACAAATTTAGATTTTAAAAATGTACATTTTTATTCATTTAAAGATCATGTCTTTGGCAGTATATCTGAAATCTCATTGTAAAAGACACAATAGTCATTATTTTTTCCATGTCTCTAATCTTAGGACACAATCAACTCATGAGTGTTTAACCTTCCCTACCTGATTGGAGGACTATCCACCTGAGACATTTGGAATACTTCTGTAAGGAGATGTGTCCTTCCCATTATTTCTTTATTTAGTCATCTATTGATGTTCCTATTGGTTTATGGATGTCTATTTCATACTCCGAAGAAGATCCTTGTTACATTACTTGTTTTATTGTTCAAAACACCACAGCTTTATTAGGTGCTGGGAGCTCATTTAGTTTGGATCCTGCATCCTTACAGCACACCTCATCTTTTTGTTTTTAGACATTTCCCTGTTTCCAAGTATTACAATAAATTCTAAGCTTGTTCTCTACGTTACCTTTTTTGTACATAGAATCAGCCATTTTTCTAAAGACTGCTTGTTTTTCATGTTAAAGAACAGTATTGAAATTTAAAAATGTGATCCTGGGTATGTGTGTTGTTAATGTGGTATCAGTACTTCTTCTAGGATATCTCCACCAATTGGCCTAGTAAATGGGCATGTTTATAGGAACCCAAGTTTATGGACACATCGAAACTATTTATGTATCTAATCCTCTGTAATGTGATTACATTAAAAATGAGAACACACTGGTGTCTCCATCCAACTATGCTACCATATGGATGTTTCCAGCCTTCCTTCCCTCACTGTCCATAACCACCCACTGCAAAGTGAGGAACCCCATCCCACCATATGCCATTTTATTACTTAGCTGCACAATTTCAGGACACATGCATAGCAGTATCAGAAATGTAAAGCTCGTTGGAAACATGTTTATCTACTAGAACAGACTGCTTATGTGCAGTTTCTTTACACTGTAAACTTATAGAATTTCTTCATTTTCAAAGTTGCTTAGGTCAGCAACTTCATTTTCCACTCTCCTCAGTGAAGTCATTTCAATGACAATGTATAATGTCATTTATTTGAAATTCTTTCAAAGCCAAAACTATAGTCCGGTAAACATATAGAGGATATTCAAGGAATTTAGAGAGTGGGTATAAAATAAGTAAAAATGGCACTGTTTAAGAAGAGTAAAATTGTTTTTAGTGATATACAATGGTTGAGACACAACACAATTAATTTGGCTAAGCTCATACTTTTGTGACAGAAAATATAAACCTAAATATATACAATTTTTGTAAAAAAACTTTAGCAGTTCATTAACCCCAGGGTTAAACAAGACTGTGTAAAATTATCTAATAACTTATTTGATGAGGGTGGGGATATCATGAGACATATGCAACAAAGAATGAAGGCATTTTCCTCATTTGCATGTAAGATGTTACCATTCACTAAAGACCTTTAATAAAAAAAAATTTCTACGTGATCCAGTATTTTTTTCCTTCTGTCAAGCAAATAACTCATAGGATTCTTTTCTTTCCTTGGTTGAGAAAGATTTTCTACAAGCTTCAGCACACGTCAGGCATACACTGTCCCTGAATGGGCATTTACCCTCAGATGGGTACACACACCTGTCAACATGGGGGCTCTTCTGTCAGACAAACACACCTTTACTCATGTGGATTCTTCCCTCAGACAAACACACATGTCCCCACGTGGACTCTTTCCTCAGATTACAACATTTGTCCTTACATTTACTATTTCCTCAGAAAACAGACATTGCATCATGTGGTCTCTTGTCTCAGACAAGCAAACATGTCTTCAGTCAGATAAGTCTGTGGATTTCCACATTGACTGTTTCCTTACACAAGCACCTATATCCAATATTTAACTGTTTTGTGAGAAATTTATCCCTTTTCTCTGGAAATGTATTTTTATGTTCTTACTGGACATATTTTTTAATAATGTTTGCTACTATGAAGATACCCGAACACTGTCCATACGAGAGAATAAGAAAGAGTAATAAGCAGATTAACCCTGTGCATCCAGACCCAGGAGTCCTTTGATCCTGCCCTTCCGAAATGGAGACACAGAGGAAGGATGAGCAATGCTGAGCAGTGCACCCATGACCACAAAAGGAAAGACATGGCAATGTGTCCCCTCCCCTCCTCATGAAAGGCAGCTCATCCCCTGTTCCTTCAGGCCCTGGTGAGGAGCCACCCCATGTATATTCCCTTGATCAGTGTCCACACCATGGGGTCTGCACTGATCTGGGCTTCCCTTCTCATCACCCTCAATATTAGTGTCCCTTGTGAATCAGGTCCAGCTGCGGCTGTTCCACATGGGGCCGTTCTTCCATTTCCTCAGTGTTTGCAGAAGTCCTGTGTGAAGTTTATTGATGGAGTCAGAGGCAGAAAATTGTACAGCCCAGTGGTTCACTGAGACTCTCCTGCAAAGCCTCTGATTTCACCTTTACTGGCTACAGCATGAGCTTGGTCCAGCAGGCTTCATGACAGGGATTGGTGTGGGTGGAAACAGTGAGTGATCAAGTGGGAGTTCTCAGAGTTACTCTCCATGAGTACAAATAAATTAACAGTCCCAAGCGACACCTTTTCATGTGCAGTCTACCTTACAATGACCAACCTGAAAGCCAAGGACAAGGCTGTGTATTACTGTGAGGGACACAGGAGAGGGAATATCTGTGTGAGCCCAGACACAAAAATCTCTGCAGAGAGACAGGAGGGAACTGCATGGTAGATGCTCCTCATAACCACAAAGGGGCAGTCAGGACCATCAGGAGGAGCTCAGGACACCTGGGGGTGCTCAGAACCATGAGGGGTGCTCAGGACATCGGGGGCTCTCAGAACCATGAGGGGTGCTCAGGACATCAGGGGGCTCTCAGAACCACCAGGGGGCGCTCAGGACACCTGGGGGCGCTCAGAAGCATCAGGGGTGCTCAGGATATCAGAGTGCCCTCAGTACCACGAGGGGGCGCTCATGACACCAGGGGCACTCAGAACCACCAGGGGGCGCTCAGTACACGGGGGTTCTCTTAGGAAGCAGCTCCACATCAGGAGCCTGAGAGGCTGTGATTTCGTTTTAAACCTTGGTGATTCCCGACCTGGTCAAGCAAAAGTCTTCCCCAGGATCTCTCACCATTTCTTCTTTGTAAATCCATGATTTTTTTTTACCTACAAAACATTAAGTTAGAACAGGGATTTAATTCAACTTTTAATTCTGCAGATTTTCCGAGTAATAGTAGCAATGTTCCCTCAGGACAATTTTTAAAATTGGTTATTTATATATTTTATTTATGTAAAATGATACTATCTTGAAAATAGTAAAATTTTTAAAATCATACCTCTAATCCCAGCACTTTAGGAGGTTCGGGCAGGCAGATCAGTTGCGCTCAGGAGTTTTAGAACAGCCTGGCAACACATTTAGATCTTTTCCATACAAAAAGAAAAAGAAAAAGAAAATAGCTAGGTGTGGTGCTACCTCTGGTACCAGCTATTTGAAAGTCTGAGGTGGGAGGATCCCTTAAGCCTGGGAGGTTGATGCTGCAGTGAGCTGTGATTGTGCCACTACACTCCGGCCTGGTTGACAGAGTGAGACCCTTTCTTAAAAATACAAACTGTTTCAATAAGTAGAGCTTTGTGTCTTTGTGCTGTAATAATCAGTTGTATATATTTTCTAACTGTAACTCAGCATATGCATGGTGTTCTGTTTCTTTTTCTTTCATTTGCTGTTTTTGGAAATTAAACACCTCTTTAAACGCTCTTGTTCTCCCCTTTGGTTCGCTTCGGGTGTCCTGTTTTTCAGACTATTTCTTCATCTTCCCTTTTTCTTTGAAAGTCTTTTTCTTTCTCAGTTTCCATGCAGGATAAAGAAAGTCCCTTTACTTTCTGTCCTCCAAGTCTGGTGAACAGTTCCCTTCTCTTCATAACCACTGAAGCCAACCAAGTTTAGGAGGATAACAGTTCTCCTTAGAATATGCTCGTCTACCTGCAGACTCTCTGCCCTCCTCACCCTTTTCTAGGGTCCTGCACACATCACACTCATCCCATCCCCTCCCTTCCCTAAGTACCACAGAGTGGGCTCTGCAGTTCCTGCTTCCCTGTGTGTGCTCAGCCCTGGGGCTCACTAGTGCTTTGATGATGACGTTCAAATCCCCATGTGCTTAGACTCTCTAAGACCACCCTCTAGGAAGATGCCATTGTGAGTGAGTCCTGGAAATCATGGGCTGTGTTCAGTTTCATATTGCTGGATCTTCTCTATTTTAAAGGAATACTGGCAATTAAGATTAGAGTTTGTATTGAATATTCATGCCAAAAAAGTTTTCTTTCAAAACTTTTCAAATAAAACAATTTTTCCTGCCTAGTTTGAAAACTACAATGTAAATTCAACAAATAATATAATACAATTTTAAAGGTGACGTTTGTCTTATTGGTTATTCAATTTATTAAAAACAGAAGATATTTAAAATAAATTCCATTGCACATTTAAGTGATGTATTTGACAAGAATGGCATTTACATACATTTTTACCAAAACACGTATTTAAATATATTTGTCTTTTTAATATTGGTAGAGGCAGACATACACGTAGAAAAGCATCATTTTGTACTACAATCTCAAACTGTAAACACAATTTAAATTCAGTTAAATAATTAGAATAATATGAAACAGGCCGGGCGTGGTGGCTCATGCCTGTAATCCCAGCACTTTGGGAGGCCGAGGCGGGCGGATCACGAGGTCAGGAGATCAAGACCATTCTGGCTAAAACGGTGAAACCCCGTCTCTACTAAAAATACAAAAAATTAGCCGGGCGCAGTGGCGGGCGCCTGTAGTCCCAGCTACTTGGGAGGCTGAGGCAGGAGAATGGCGTGAACCCGGGAGGCGGAGCTTGCAGTGAGCCGAGATCCCGCCACTGCACTCCAGCCTGGGCGACAGAGCGAGACTCCGTCTCAAAAAAAAAAAAAAAAAAAAAAATGAAACAAATAGGTGCGTTGTTTTGGTGTTTAGATATACATTCACTTTTGCATGGGCACATGTATGTGTCTTTGCTGGGCTGTTGTGTATGTATGTGTGCTTGTATGACCATCAAGTTTTCAAATACATCATTAAATTTCATAGTTACATTCGTCTTGGCCAGGCACGGAGGCTCAGGCCTGTAATCCCAGCATTTTGGGAGGCTTAGGCAAGCAGATGACTTGGAGTTAAGAGTTCAAGACCAGCCTTGTCAACATGGCAAAACCCCATCTCTACGAAAAATACAAAAATTAGCCAGGTGTTGTGGCACGTGCCTTTAGTCCCAGTGCGACAGGGAAATGCTGGGTCAGAAATCCCACACAAAGTCTCTACTTGGTTACCACCTAATGGAACTGTAGGAAGAAAGCCACCATCCTTCAGAACCCAGAATGGTAGATCCACTGACAGCTTGCACAGTGTGCCTGGAAGAGCCAGAAACACTCAGTGACAGCCCATGAGTGTAGCCAGAAGGGAGATTGTGCCCTGCAAAGCCACAAGGGCAGAACTGTCCAAGACCATGGGAACCCACCAGTTGCATCCGGTAACCTGGATTTGAGACATGGAGTCAAAGAAGACTATTTTGGAACGTTAAGATTTGACTGCCCAGCTGGATTTCAGACTTGCACGTGGCCTGCAGTTTGGACCAATTTCTCCCATTTGCAATGGCTGTATTTACACAATGCCTGAACCCCCATTGTACCTAGGAAGTAACTTGCTTGTTTTTTATTTTACAGGCTCATAGATGGAAGGGAGTTGCCTTGTCTCAGAAAAGACCATGGGCTGTGGACTTTTGAGTTGGGGCTCAAATGAGTTAAGACTTCAGGGGCCTGTTGGAAAGTCATGAATGGTTTTGAAACGTAAGGACATTAGATTTAAGAGGCGCCAGTGTTGGAATCATATGGTTTGGCTGTGTCCCTGCACAAATCTCATCTTGAATTGTATCTCCCACAATTCCCACGTGTCGTGGGAGAAACCCAGTGGGAGGTGATTAAATCATGGAGGGAGTTCTTCTTTGTGCGTTATTGTGATAGTGGATGACTCTCATGAGATCTGATGGTTTTAAAAAACGGGAGTTCCCTGCCCTCTCTTTGTCTGCTGCCATCTCCATGTAAGATAAAACTTGCTCCTCCTTGCCTTCCACCATGATGTGGAGGCCTCCCAAGCCATGTGTAACTGTAAGTCCATTAAACTTTTTCCTCTATAAATTACTCAGTCTCATGTATGTCTTTATTAGCAGTGTGAAAACAGACTAATACAGCAAATATCAATCTCTTAAAATATTTTGTTGTTCTGCATGTAATATAGCACAGTCTAATATGGGAGGTAAAATAAATCATCCATGGACCTTCAGATATAAGTCATAGGGTAATTATGCCTGTGTCCCTGAAGGAGTGAACTAGAGGTTATACACACTAGTGGCACTACCTTTGGCAAAGGGTGTTCAGGGGTTTCTGAAAGTTCTGATAATTTTAATTTTAAAATTGAATTTACTATGTATTTCTTCATCAACCTTTCCAGAAGATTTTTGGCAGTAAGAACAGCCTAGTATTGGAGTAATACTGATGAATTAGAGAGTTATTTTGTAATTATTCTCCTGAGATTTGCATGAATCAATTGATATAGAAGTTCGTATGTCCCAAGTTGAAACATCAGAATCAAGAAGGCTTCATCACCCTTAATGGCTGTGGTTTTTGGCAAGGCAGTACTTCAATTCAGCCAGAAAGAGAGACAACAATAAAACTTTCAAATGCAGGGGAGTCTGACCTCAGTCTCTCTCTTATAAAGGCAAAGGCAAAGCTGTGCCACATCAAGATTTTTCTTCAAGCCTTCAGAGTCAACATTGGGAATGGAAAAGCCAATCACTTTGTCCTTAGAGAAGGCGAAGATCTGAGAGGAATGCAGAGTTGTGTTCATGAAGGTGATGACATTGTTATTTCTTCTCCTTTGCCCAGTGACTGCTTTCAAGTTGAGTGTTTCAGATGTCAGACCTGACTTATAGGGATGGTTGTGACTGCACGTGACTGACAGGGACTGAGACTCTATATCTCTAAGTGTCCTGTCCTAGGAGCAGCTACAGGAGTCAGCCCTAGACTGGAAGTGCCCTCACTGACCCTCTGCCTCACCTGTGCAGCCTCTGGCCAGTTGAAGAAAGTTTTATCCCTGGAACATCTTTTGTCAAAACCACTCCAACTAGTATTCATGACCTATGGTCCACACCCTCAAGTACACAGACATGATCATGCTATGACTTGGTGTCTAGAAGATCCCTGCACTTTTAATTTTACCTCTAATATTAGACTCCACTTTATCACATGCGGACACAGCAGAATATTTTAAGACTTTGATATGTTATGCTGAAAAATTCAATAGTTCATAAAAGTCTACTTCCCATCACTGCCAGTGTTTACTACTGAGTAAGGATCTGCCATCCCCTAGGGAGGAACTATAATGGATGGTGTGCCCTGTTAGTGGTTATGGGAATGAATCCATCTTGTGGCAAATGGCAGCATCTTCTTGTTTTGCAAGATTAAATAGTTTTCTATGGTGTATAAATACAACATTGTCTTTATCCATTTGTCTATCTACTGACACTCAGATTGTTTCCATATATTGGCTAAGATTAATAGTGTTTCAATAAACATAGGATTCAACTATCTTAACAAGGTGGTAATTTCATCTGCTTTGGGTATATTTCTAAAAGCAGAATTTCTGGTCATATAACATTTCCAGTTTTAATTCATTTGGTGCCTTTATATTGCTTTCCATAATTGTGAAAATATAGAGTGGTATAGCCATTATGAAAAACAGTTTCAGTTTTGAGGTATGATCCATAAACAAATAATGTTTGATTATGGCTCTCCATGAGAATTTCTAATAAATATGATAGAAGTCAAGAAAGCGTCTCACATTAAAGCAAGGATTAATTTTATCCCTTACTCCCTCAAAAGCAAAAGATTGGAAGCATGCATGATGGAGGCTGTTAGCAGGGTTCAGAATGATATCATAAAAGGAAACTCAGTTGGATAAAAATGTTGGGCTTTCAGTCATAGGTATGTCGATACTCAATATGAAACCGCGAAGTCAAATGAGGATCTAGAATGTGTTCACTTGAAGCAACAGCACATTCTCAAACGCACCTATTGCTGCATCACAAGGGTGATGAACTTTTGAAACAAGTAAAGTGTGAGTGCACAGTAAGTGATAAAGTTATCACCTTTACATGAAGTTTGTTCAATATGCCAAAGGCTTTTACAGATTAATCATACACAAATATACACAATGTATTTTTGCATACACAGATGTCTAGAGGATGATTCTTTTAGGGAAAATTCTTCAGGTCACAGAAATCTGTGTAAGTTGGAGGTCCCATGAAAAAGTATCTCTTTATAAATACTGTTCTATTGCTCAATTAGGGAAAATGATCTCTGTTGGAGAAAGCTTCCAATTTTGCAGATTTCTTCATTGCTTCTTGAGTTGTAAGACATGAACCAAAAAATTGACTGGAGTTTTTTGGAGTTTCATGGCTGGAGTTTCATGGCTGTGTTGTTAAAAATTTCTTATACGGTTTCTTTCAATTATTTGAGATCAGTTTTTCTGATTTTTTTCTCCAGTAGATAAATTTTCACAAGATCTCAGGAAACCATGTCTCTGGTGCTTTAGTTTGAAAAACTAACTTCCTAGGTAAAGAAGCTTCTGTCTAACCATGATGAGCTCATTTCTTCTGCATACCATGAAGTTTGAGACCCCATTGTCCAGAATCATGAAAATTTTACACTCCAGTTTACTGAAAATCTTGACTTTGAATTTAATATTGATTGGCATTGACAAAAATGGTTCATTCTTGGATGTGTCCTAAGTTGCTCACCCAACATATCAGTGGACTGAGAATCTTCCATTAGCTCCCTCTGTCCATAGCACTGAGTCTATTGACAATCTTTGCAGTCCTCTATGAAGGAGAGTCCTGAGGTTCATCAGATTCTTGTAGACACTCAGATGAACCAAAGGAATTAACGGAATTGAGGACTGCCAGCCATTTCCACAACACTAGGAATAATTACCATCTAAGTGTAAAGGTCTACATCATTCAGAATACCCTGCATGACAGGCTGATGCAAAAAAAAATCCAACCCTGCAGAGGCTTCACAGCAACCCTCACAGTTCCTTCAGGGAAGAAATAATCTCCAAGTTCAGTGAGTCAGTAAAGCTGTTCTGAGCTACAGTAAACATTGGATTGGGCCCAGTTTTGTCTGAGTTCAATGTGATTGTTATACTCAGCTGCTGATCCTATATGGACTGAGTATGGATAATTTAAATGAGCCTGGCTGCGTGGTTTGTTATATGAAAACCTGAACTAAATATAAATAAAGGGCATGTCTGGACTAGCATGAGGGTGAGAGATTCTGGGAGCTCCACCCCCCTTACTCTTATTGCCCTTTCCTCCAGGAACCTCCAGGTCCTCAGGGTGAGAATCCACACAGATCCCTTCATGGCTCTATTGCCAGGAGACCAAATCTCTGATAAAATCACTCAGACCTTCTTCAGACAGACAACCCAGGGAAAGGGCATTTTTACACCCTTATGTATGTGGGGAAAGGTAATCCATACCCATTAGAAGCCCCTGCCAGCAGCCTAACTTTATCATGAAAATGGGTAAAATTAGCCAATAGGGGTACATTTAAGAAAATTTTCCTGTGATGTTCCATCCAGAAAAGAGCAAAAATCAGCTTCACACCTGGAGACTTCCTGTATCGGGCACAGCCCAGAGAAAGAAGATCACCACAGAATTAAAATGCAACTGTAAGAACATGTAATGCTTCCGTGTTCCACACATTATGTCTCACCAGTTTAGTCAATATGGATTAAATATGAGAGCGTGGCAATGCACAAACTCTATCTGAGGAGGAAAGTCAGAGAAAAAATGTTAAAGAAAATATGGCAATTTGAAGCCTCTGACACCAGCAACTTCAGCACCAAGGAAATGATTTCACCCTCATTGGCCTCAAATTTACTTTTCATGGAGCATCTTCAGGGTTCCAAAGTGAGACCAGGTGAATTCAATGTGCATGCACTTCCCGGGTGTCCACTTGTATTTTGTTTACTTTACTTCTATTTGCAGAAAGTAAACACATACTCAGCCTTAGTGTCAGTGTAGGGAGTGCTTTCCATGACATGAATACCAGAAAAAAAGGAAAAACATGGGGCCAATTAATGTAAAAATTAGCCACTGTGTGTGTGTGTGTGTGTGTGTGTGTAGGTGTGATTTGAATACTAGAGTTGGAGTGGGCTTCTATCCACATGCACCTGCACCTGCAGGTAGTCTCAGGTGCAATAATCAACTGCCTGACCCTAAAGGAAACAAGAATCTCCCCAAACCCCTGAAGAGTGTTTGGGTTTACCGTGTGTCCAGTGATTCAGTGCCTCTAGAGCTCCAGGAAGGGGCTCCCCGGTGATGCCTGAGATCTTTTCTTCAGGTCTCCCTGCAGAGTTCTCTGGGTTTCCTAAGGGCAATTCACTATTTCAAAAGATGGTGTGAGAAGCACATGCTGTCATTAAAGGAGAATTCTGAGCCACGGCACAGCCACTTTATACTGGGCTAGAGACACTGGTATGAATATACTCTGTAAGTTTAGACAGAAAGCCTCGTGCATGGTAGGGGCTGGGCTGCAGGGGGTGCTCAGGATAAACGCAGCACAGTCTCCCGCCCCAGAGCAGGTGCACAGGAGGCTGGGGAGGGGTTCCTCTCAGGGCCTGGGACTTCCTTTGAAAATATCTAAAATAAGTATTTCACAAGGGCTGCTGTTGTTTGTATAAATATCCTATTCAATTGTGAGCATTTATCAAACTGGATGTTGTAATGACAACCACTTTTACAATGGGGATTTCAAACTCCCCTAGATATCTTAATAGTAAGCAGCTGGAGGTCAAGAAGAGATCCTTTCTTTTAAATAAGTGCAATTTTTGGAGAAACATACTAATTCCCAAAATAACGCATTCACATATTAAGGTCTAGAAATGGCTCAAGTTGTCCCTGGTGCATTCGAATGTGGGTTCAAAGTGAGGTGCGTGTCCTGAGGGAGCTTGTTCTCCAGTGGAGGAAGCTCTGTCAACACAGAGTTCAGGGATGTGTAGGGGTCGCATCGCCTCTAACAGGATTACGGCTTGAACCCTCAGCATGTACAATTGTGTCGTCCATCTGTCATGTATTTGCTCTATCTCATCCTGGCTCAGGAATTGGGCTATTCAATAGCATCCTTCGTGAATATGCAAATCACTAAGGTTAATACAGATATCTCTGTGCCGTGAGAGCATCACCCAACAACCACACCCCTCCTTGGGAGAATCCCCTAGATCACAGCTCCTCACCATGGACTGGACCTGGAGCATCCTCTTCTTGGTGGCAGCAGCAACAGGTAAGGGACTCCCCAGTCCCAGGGCTGAGGGAGAAACCAGGCCAGTCATGTGAGACTTCACCCACTGCTGTCTCCTCTCCACAGGTGCCCACTCCCGAGTGCAGCTGGTGCAGTCTGGGCCTGAGGTGAAGCAGCCTGGGGCCTCGGCGAAGGTCTCCTGCAAGGTGTCTGGTTAAACTGTCATCACCTATGGTATGAATTGGATACGACAGACCCCAGGACAGGGGCTTGAGTGGATGGGATGGATCATCCTACCCTGGTGAACCCAATGTATGCCCACAGATTCACACACGGTTTGTCTTCTCCATGGACACCTCTGTCAGCACGGCGGATCTGCAGACTAGCTGCCTAAAGACTGAGGATGCAGCCATTTATTACTGTGTGAGGTACACCGTGTGGAAACCCACATCCCGAGAGTTTTAGAAACCCTGAGGAAGGAGGCAGCTGTGATGAGCTGAGGCAGTGGTGCAGCATGTCTCTAAACTTCCATTTTATCTAAGTTTGCATTGAGTTCCGCTTTAATATTAGCCAGGAATGTGGGATAGACGGGTGCTCCTAAGAGGTCCTTAATTTGCCCATTTTGATGGGTTTTCCAGAAGACGTGAGAAGCCACTTTGTTAACAAAGCATCCCAAAGCCATGCCCTGCTCCAGAAACACGTGTACCCATTTCCTGGTCTTTGGTTAACTGACAAGCTCTCATCAGCGCACCTGGGCTAATTTCTCATCAGGTAGAAAAATGTGTTGTAAAGCAAGGCTAACGTTGTGATAGCAATTCCTGCTCAATAACCTTCAGCATCGTTGTTGTTGTGTTCTATCAACTAATTACTTGACTTCAAGGTTCTCATTGGGAGTGTCTTATAAATTTAAGGGATATATAGAAGTTCCCCTAATTAAAATAAAACAATTGTGAGCACAACCTCAGTGTTCAACCATGTCTCCACCCTTCCCACCATTCACCCCAAAGAAATGTTCACCTCTCCTGGAAGTCGGGTTCATTTTCAAATTAGTTATTTTTTATTTTACTATATCAAGATTATTGTATGTGACTACTGTAGCAGAAAGTGAATTAGGGGAACTTGAAGTAACCAACGAAAGATAAATTCAGAACTAATTAAACAAGATGTCAGAACGTGATTGGCTCTAGTCTTTTAAAATTCAGCAGGTTATGTAACCAGGCTTTAAATTTACACATCTTCCTGTTACCTTCACGGCACAGTCAACTCCCATTATGTAAGAAATGGCAACTGCATTCCCAAGCGTCATCCAAAATTGTAAAAATAGACTGGGTGAGGTGAGGAGTTGATTGTTTAAATTCCGCTCTGAAGAAGCAGCATCAACTCAACAAACCACCGCTTTTCCCTCAGTGACTAGAGCTATGTCGCAGGCCACATGGACCTAAATATCCTTGATAGAGATAATAGGACTACATAAATTGGGCTGATCATTTTTATGCTGTAAAATTAATAGGTGAGTCTGCACTCCAGCCTGGGCAACAAAACAAGTCTTGCCTGTAAATACAAAAGAAAGATAAATTAATAGGTACTGACTTTGACATTTCGGATAATAATATTTTCATAAACCGAATTTAATTATACCCACATTGTTACCTACACCTTCACTGAAAAGTTCCTAGTTATCATGAGTTCCATCAACACTCCACGTGTTCAAATCTGGACATCCAAGAGAGTCTGGAGAATAAAATGCAATGAGGGCAGTGAAACTTGCATATATTCAGCACCTCTTAACTCAGGAGGACTCAATACACCCTGGAACACTCTGCTTTTCTGAATGGCTCACAATGACTCCAGCTCACTCTCCAACCTCCTCAAACATCTGGCTTCTGTTTGCCCTAAGTTCACGCTCTGCTCTTAGTCTGTGCTCTGAAGTCTTTGCAAAGGTGAAAATGAGCTGTCAGATGGAACTTCCTTCTCACCTCAGCATGGAATTTACTGTTTCATTTAATGACCACTCTTTCCATAATGGTTGATTTCTTTCAGCCTGTTCATTACTGGTGATTTTCAAGGGAATCTCTATTGAATTTTTACATTTTTGCATTTTTGTCTCGGTGACAATGTTGAGAAGTTTTTACCTCTAGCATCATAACATGATCTAGTGACCTGACACATTTGTGGCAAGCAATACCTACAAATTCAGAAGTTCTTTGGTTACTTTCCACAAAATATAATTATTTCTGGTCTGTGTATGAGCATATCCTAGCAACCTTGTACTCCACACAGGTAGATGTCTACAAGCCTATGAATTAATCTCTGTAAATAAAAATTTATCTCAATTTCTTTCAATGTTCATAATTCTTCTGAGGATGAGGAAGATCTTTCTGGATCTATTCAGACAATAGGCCCAGAGACCACCTGGTATGTAAGGAGCTCACCTGGCTCACCTGGTTCCCCCTGTTGTCTCACATAAGGTCAGCCCACTTGTTCAGGTCCTAAGAAGAGAGCTCAGTTTTATCTGATTTTACAACACTCCCAATTTCTGCTGACTCTCCTGTTACCCACATCCATGGAGATACATTATTTATTATACAATTAACCAAAGTAATGTCAAAGGCCCAATGTGCAATATTGCACATCCTAGGGTATGTTCATGCAATTGAATCGAGGAGAAAGTCTTTCAGAGACAGATGGATCTGAACTGGTAAATATGTGTGTAAGGACTCTGGGCTTAAGTGTCATTGTCCAGCCATGTTTCACAGGTGTGACCTGTCAGGGAAGAACCAGAGTTCCTTGTGTTCTCAGAGGGGAGGGGTCCCAGAAGTCCTCTCTGGTTCCCAGGAAAGGTAATTGCATTAATCTTGGTGATGAGACTATCATCCAGTGATGATGTACTATAGAGTTTATGTTTGAAGTTGACACTGCTATCGCAATCTACATCTTTTCACACAGAAGTGTTTAGAGGTCAGGCCACATCTTCAGGATCCCACATTGAGAAGGACAGAGATATATTCCACTACCTTCTCCTGAGATCTCAGGCAGAAACCCAAATTTCAAAAGGTCTCAGAAGGGCAGCTCTCAGGGGCTATTTAAAAATAACCCACTTCGTGGGACAGGGAGCATCCTTCTAACCATGATGGATGTTCTGAACTACAATAAACATTGCATGGATCCAGGGTCTGAATTCACTGTGATTATTACACTCCACTGCTGTTTCAATGTGTCTGAAGGGGTAAATGACAATTTAGATGACCTGGGTGTGTGGTTTGTTTTATATAAATCTTCAAGGATAGAACAGCATTGAACCTATTCCAAAATCTGTCCCTGATCCAAGATCACACTGATCTCCCAGACCAGCATCTTCAGCACATTTCCCTACCTGGAAGAAGAGGACTATGGGCTTGGTAAGGGGAGGCCACAGGAAGAGAACTGAGTTCTCAGAGGGCACAGCCAGCTTCCTACTCCCAGGGCGAGCCCAAAAGACTGGGGCCTCCCTCCTCCCTTTTCACCTGTCCATACAAAGTCACCGCCCACATGCAAATCCTCACTTAGGCACCTACAGGAAACCAGCACACATTTCCTTAAATTTGGGATCCAGCTCACATGGGAAATACTTTCTGAGACTCATGGGCCTCCTGCACAAGAACATGAAACACCTGTGGTTCTTCCTCCTGCTGGTGGCAGCTCCCAGATGTGAGTGCCTCAGGGATCCAGACCTGAAGATATGAGATGCTGCCTCTCATCCCAGGGCTCACCGTGGTTCTCTCTGTTCACAGGGGTCCTGTCCCAGGTGCAGCTGCAGGAGTCGGGCCCAGGACTGGTGAAGCCTTCGGAGACCCTGTCCCTCATCTGCGCTGTCTCTGGTGACTCCATCAGCAGTGGTAACTGGTGAATCTGGGTCCGCCAGCCCCCAGGGAAGGGGCTGGAGTGGATTGGGGAAATCCATCATAGTGGGAGCACCTACTACAACCCGTCCCTCAAGAGTCGAATCACCATGTCCGTAGACACGTCCAAGAACCAGTTCTACCTGAAGCTGAGCTCTGTGACCGCCGCGGACACGGCCGTGTATTACTGTGCGAGATACACAGTGAGGGGAGGTGAGTGTGAGCCCAGACACAAACCTCCCTACAGATAGGCAGAGGGGGCGGGCACAGGTGCTGCTCAGGACCAACAGGGGGCGCGCGAGGCCACAGAGCCCGAGGCCGGGTCAGGAGCAGGTGCAGGGAGGGCGGGGCTTCCTCATCAGCTCAGTGATCTCCCTCCTCGCCAGCACTCAGATGTCCCCAGGGCTCCTGTTTCTTTATTGTCTGTGGTTCTGCTTCCTCACATCCTTGTGGCAGACAAGAAAGGAGGAAGACAATTTTTCTGTTTACTGTTGAGGTTTCACCAATTACTAGGAACTTTCCTACAAGTTCCTGCGTGACTCATTTTACCGTATATGTGTGTGTGTATAAATATATACACATACACACACACACCATATATATACACCATATATATTATATAGATACACACCATATATATTATATATATACACACCATATATATTATATATACACACCATATATATTATATATATACACACGATATATATAATATATATATACACACCATATGTATATTATATATAAACACACCGTATATATATATGGTTCTCACCATCTCTTGATTTGTGTCATCAATGGAATTGTGCCTATTTGAAATTCATTTACCCAAACCTTAAATCCAATGGATCTATACCGGAATTTTAATGATGTAATTAAGGTTAAATGTGGTCAAAGTGTGAGACCCTAATTCAATAAACCAGTTGTCTTTATAAGAAGAGGAAGAGACACCCGAGACCTCTCACTTTTCGCGTGCACACAGAGAAGAAGCCGTGAGGAGACGTAGTGCACTAGAAGGTGGCCCTGTGCAAGCCAGGAAGAAGCCGCGCTAAGAACCAATTTTTACAGCTCCTTGATCTTCCACATTCAGACTGCAGAATTGTAAGAAAATCAATATTTGTTGTTTAACCCACCCACTCCTGTTGTCTTCTTATGAAGATCCAAACAGACTGATACCACGTAATTCTGTTAGCTCTGGTTCGTGGAGGGAGGAGCAGCCCCCTGAGGCTGGACACTTCTCTCAGATTTCCACGTGAAGTAGGTAAAAATAGTAGCTCTCATATAAAAATGTGTCATGACCCTGTTGGCCATTTTTGAGCAAGGTCTCTGAAACCAGCCCTTGTGTGTGTGTCACAAATGTTTTCTTTTATCTTTTATTTGGACATAACACATAGACAAGGGGTACCAGCTGGATGGAGACTGGTCACTGCCCATCTTCTGTTGTCTCCTTAGTATGTCACAGAAAACCACACCAACATCACCAACGTCACTGTTTTTCTTCAACCACCTCAAACCGACTATAGAAATGATCCCTGCAGTATAGTCTATTTCTTCAACTTTCTAAATTTGCACTGAATCTCTTCCTAAATGGGGAGCTACATGGGGTCTGAGTTTTGTTCCTTTCTTCCCAGTCTTCCCCAAGTGCCAAGGACAGAATAGACTTAAAATAAAATTTGGCCGTCAGTGGCCCCAACCCCACATCACTTTCTAAAACCCACATCCTGCATCCATCCTTCTCTGGACACCCCTCATCGGGCTACCTACGAATGGCCAGAAGCTGCCATCACCTTCTGGGCTGAGGCCACGAGTTATACACACGTGTGATTTCAGTCACACACACTCTACTGCAGGACACACCTGTGTTCTGAGGCACTCAGGCACCTGCTGATCTCAGTCATTCTCTAATAAATTACACATCTCTTATTAATAAAGGTCCAGATGGTCCCATCAGCTGCAGAGCAGTGGAGTAAAGCTCATGGGTGGGTCCGTCAGGTAGAAGTCAGACAATGGATGGGATGGCTGGTCACTTCCCTTTTCACTGATGTCCCCAGTGAATATTAATGGAATAAAACCATATTAACTACAGAGGGACAGAAAAGAAGACTAGCTCATCAAGGTATTTAAGGACCAGGAACTTTATTTGGGGGGAAAGTGAAAGACACTTTTAAATGGAAAGCCCTAAAGCACATACAACAGCTGAGAGAGTGGCCACTGTGCACATGAAGGCTGAGGAGACGGATGGCAGCGTCCGTTCCTCCAAGATGTCCCTGGGTGTGTGATGGTTGGACTCCTTATGCATATGAATATAAGAGCTGGACTCAGGGAGAAAAAAGGGCCATATCCCATAGGAAAGGAAGACAAAAAAGCAGATGGGCATCCCTGGAGAGAGCTCATTAGATTTGGTGTGTTTAAGACAAAAATTTCTTCCAAAAATTGTAATGTTCTAAGCTAAATATGAACCTCTTCAATAAACTGAGAATTAACAGGAGAATAGAGCTATGAGTTGAGAGAAGAAACAAATCATGAGAGAGCAGAAAGCAAATCCACAAAAAACTGTCATATGACAGAAGTCAGAATGGAGCTGGGGCAGCTACTTCATTATTCTGAAGACTTGTTGACCATGTGGAGAAGGGGCTTGAACAAATGGGGACGTTCTCCAACCTTCTGAATCAGCCTCCTTCTTATGCATGAGTAAAAATCATAGTTCTGGGGGTGACCCTCCCAATTTTCCTGTCTGTACCTCTTCCCCCAGGGGTAGAGTGTCTTCCCAACCACAATGGTTTCTCACCAGTGTCCTCAGCTTCTCCTCCATTGAACTTACCCTGCAGATTAAGAATTTCTTCTAGATGTAGTTCTTTGGGAATTTTCTGTTTTCTTTAGTTTCTGTTGACTCCACCACACCCCATAGGTCACAGGTTTGATTGGATTTCCCCTGGAGACAGTGGAGGTGGATCCAGGCGTTCAACAGTCCTCGCTGTTCCTCCCTTCCTGTCAGCACCACAGGACAGCAGATAAGGGAGTTGACTGTAGATTTTTCGAATTCTTGGGAAAATCCTGCAAGGACTAGTAGATTCACACTCCAATACCATTAGCACATGCATCCAAAAAAAATACTCACGAAATATTTCCAGGTTAGCCTGTTCCTCTCTCAATGCCATCCAGTGGCACCTGCCCTGGGTTCACCAACATGTGGGCCCCACTCCTCTCTGCTGGCATCTCTCTCCTCACATTTCAGTCTTCTCGTTAGCTCTGTGAAAGCAACTCAGATATGTTAAAAGGTTTTCTTCTTCATTTATTCAGTTTTTCAGGTTTGTTGTTAATGAGGTCAGAATAAGACCATAGTTTTCTCATTTTTCACATTCCCACACTGAGTAGCCACTTTCTATATAAAAGCCAGAAACTAAGGGAACAAATCAAATATCCATATCCACTACAGGTGAACGTTAAACAATTTGACATATGATTATGAACTAAAGTACAATGCAGAATTAGAATCAAGGCATCCTCATTCTCATAAAAGCATGTCTACATTCTCAAATAACTCTGCTGAGTGAAAGTAGCTGAAGAATTAAGAGTGCAATTCATAAACTTCTAATTGTATAAACTGCAAAAGGTCCAACTATTCTAAAGTAACAGAGCAGATTTGAAATTTGTGAGAAACGGGTGTTGAAAGTAATTGGCTGGTGAGATGAAATTACAGAGAAGTGACAGAAAGATTTAGGGGTTAACTTAATTGTACACAACCTGATTAAAGTTTGCACACATACGTTACCATTTTCCAAATTGTGCAGTGTAGATTTGAATTAATTATTAATTGTACTTAAAAAAAGCAGTAACAAATAAACACATGAATATGTTTACTGAGGAGGAACAAAAAATAGATGGGTATGAACACTGGAAACATCTCAGACTCTTGAAAGTACACAGGCTTGAACACTGGTTCTCTCCGTATACTTCCGGTAAACGGCTGAATACACTAAAAGAAAACAGAGATGTCCTGGCAGGGGTGGAATCCTGCAGACCTCACTAGGTGTGTCCCACACTGCCCTGGAGTTGTCTCAGGGGAGCAGTCTCCTCTAGTGGTCAGAGGCACAGGCTGAGATAATGGGGTTAACTCTGTCCAGCTGTGTGACTTTGAATGCATTGTATAAACACTCTGTTCTGTATGTAATTTATCTTCCTTAAAATGCAACATTGACACTTACATTAAATGTATTCTACAAATATGTCAAAAAGAAGATGATGACTGCTAAATGATTATCAAGGCACAATCACATAATATAATGATATTTTCCTGAGTGATAAGATGACTACCAATCTCGGGGGCACTTTGTCTGCTCTGAGCCCTGCCCCTCCTCAGGATTCCCATCCCAGAGCTTGCTATACAGTAGGAGACATGCAAATAGGTTTCTCCCTCTGCTGATGACCAGTCCTGACCCCATAGCTCTGGGAGAGAAGCGCCAGCCCTGGGATTCCCAGGGGTTTCCATTTGGTGATCAGGACTAAAGACAGAGGACCCACCATGGAGCTTGGGCTGAGCTGGGTTTTCACTGTTGCTGTTTTAAAAGGTGAACTAGAGAGATTGAGTGTGAATGGATACACTTGAGAGAAACAGTGGATATGTCTGGAACTTTCTGACCAGGACACCTACAAAGTTTGCAGGTGTCCAGTGTGAGGTACAGCTGGTGGAGTCTGAAGAAAACCAAAGACAACTTGACAACTTGGGGGATCCCTGAGACTCTCCTGTGCAGACTCTGGATTAACCTTCAGTAGCTACTGAATGAGCTCAGATTCCCAGGCTCCAGGGAAGGGGCTGGAGTGAGTAGTAGATATATAGTACGATAGAAGTCAGATATGTTATGCACAATCTGTGAAGAGCAGATTCACCATCTCCAAAGAAAATGCCAAGAACTCACTCTGTTTGCAAATGAACAGTCTGAGAGCAGAGGGCACAGCTGTGTGTTACTGTATGTGAGGCACCAGGTAAGAAGACATCAGTGTGAACACAGACACAGAATTTCCTGAAATAAGGGAGGAGTCTGGGCTAAAAGGGCACTCAGGACCCACAGAAAACAGGGGAAGCTCTAGGGCAGGTGCAGATGGTCATCATGGGCTGCTTTCCTTGAGGGTCTGAGGCTTCCTCTGCATCTAACAGTTTCCCTGGGAGCCTCTCTACATTTATGCTTCTGTGGCCACCCCTGAGGTCTCTGGACATTCTCATTTGTTGCAAAGGCAGATGTAAGTATTGGAGGCATAAAAATGCACAGGAGGCCAGGGAGTCTGTAGACATTGTTACCCCAGAAGGTCAATCTCACCACTAGTGCTGGAGGAGGGTGGGAGTTTGATGAAGCTGCCCTAAGTATCCTGTGGTCTAAGCTAAGTCCAACGAGGCCATTTGTGCCTCCCTGAGCACAGTTGTCCATCAGAGATGTCCCATGTGTCCCAGCAGCAGCCATGTCTCAGTGTCTTCACTGTGCACAGCCATTGTCTGGGAGGAGCTCCCAGGATGGGTGTCTTTGGCACACACCAGGTGGCGGGTGTTAGAGTGCGGTGCAGCAGCTGGCTGCCTGTTCTATTGGGCTCCCTGATGCTGGAGAGATGGGAGGTGCATTCTCAGGTCCAGCACCCTGTTTGTGAATTTTTATATAAAACCATGATTTTACTTCATTTTCTCAGATGACATAGATAATTAGGAACAGAACCTGCAAAGAAATTGTAATTTTCAACTTTACCCCAAATTTATTGTTTCTTAATTCTGTGTAAGATCCAGACATATTATTGCCTTCCTCATGAGAAATTGTTCTATTTAAAATGAAATTAGTTTTTTCTCACATTCTTTGTTTCTGTTCAAGTACAGAGATCTTTATTAAAGTAAGTTGGGTTCTTTCCACACACTAACCCTCACCTCCCCCAGAGAAAGAGCAGAGATTTTCCTCACTCTGAGTCTAAGGGAGGAGCTGTTCCTGCACGACTCAGAGCCTGCAGAGACCCCCCCCCGCCAGGTGCAGCTTCAGTGAGTCAGGTATTTCTCCTTGTGGGTGACCTCCACCGCCAGTGATTGCTGCTCAGGTCTAATTGTGGGTTAAGCATTAGGACACCCTTCAGGTGATCACATCTCAGTCTTATTCTGAAAATCACCATGAACAGAGATAGTTCAATGTCTATTCTCCTGACATTAGTTTCTCTTTATTATTTGGTTCCAAGTATGGAGAAAAATGTGACAATAAATTTGTCAGAATCTAACCTCAGTATCCACTGCATTACTCTAGGAGACTCACAAATTGAACACAAATGAGCCCTTTATTCTCATAAAAGTGTATGTATTTGGGAATTTCAATGTGTTCTCCAGAACCTGTGCATGCCAACAACTGTGTTTCTCAGTGCCCACTTGGCCTGGTGAAGCCCTCACAGACCCTCTCCCTCACCTGTGCTGTCTCTGGATTCCCCATCACAACCAGTGCTTCCTGCTGTAGCTGCATTCATAAACCCCCCAGGAAGGGACTGGAGTGAATCCGGTGCACAGGTCATGAGGGAGTGCACATTCCAACCCACTCCTCAAGAGTCCAGTCACCATCTCCAGATCCATGTCCAAAAAGCAGTTCTTCCTACAGCCGAGCTAAGTGAGCCGCAAGCACACAGCCATGTATTTTTAACAAAAGACACAGTAAGGTAACCACAGTGGGAACTCACACCCAAACCTCCCTGTGGGGGTGCACAGGACAGCCACAGTTACTCAGGACCCCAGGATTCCTCAGGACACCAAGGGGCACTCAAGGCCATTGTAGATGCCCTCAGGTAGCCAAGGGTTCTCAGGAAACATGGAGGAAAACCAGGACCCCAAAAGGTGCTCCGTACAGCAGGGGACTCAGGACAATTGTGGGGACTCAGAGCAGGCTCAAAGCTCAGCTTCAGGGCAGGTGCAGCTGGGGTTGAAAGGGGCTGGATGAGGGGTTTTGTGACACCATCATATTTCACCACTAGACACACTCCACTTTGTCTATTCTAACGCATGAGAGTGTATGATTAGAAAATGATATTTATATAAATACATAACCATAGTTAGCTGTGTCAAGTTGTCCTCTTGCTAGGTGTCCATAGCTAGGTGCATCAGCCTTGTCCATAAGGACTAATTCCCCGCAATTACTGGAGAATCTCATAAATTGTGGTCAATTATGTCAGATTCCTCTCTTTTTCTGCCTTCCTTTCTCCCTTCTTCTCTCTCTCTCACACAGAAACTTACATACACCCACCCCACAACACACCAAAATCTATAACTTTTATTACCTGATATATTCAATAAACCTGATTAATGTGCAGCTTTTCCAGCTTCGTTATTTATGCTGTTGTAACAATAAGAACAATGTGTTTCCTAGCTGTGTACTTCTCTAAGCTGAGTAGCATCTTTGTTTATAATACCTAGAATTAAAAACAACCCAAAAGTCAATCACCAGCTTAACTGGTAAACAAATTGAGGAAAAGTCATTCATTGACATACTATCCACTACTACCATCAACTAATGTTGGGTACACTCAACAGCATGGTTAAATTCACAAGTACTTGTGATGAGTAAAATGAGCCAAAGTAACAAAAGTGCATACATAAGATACAACTTTCATAAATTCTATAGAACAAAAAGTAATCTAAAGTTACATAAAAATCAGTAGTTCACTGTGAGTATTGTAGGAGAGGGGAAGGACTAGGAAGGAGGAATTATAGTACAAGACAAAATTTTGAGGGAATTGACTTGTTATCTATGTTGCTAGTGATGATGTCTATGACCCATTTGTAAAATTGAACACTTCATATGGAGATTATTATTTTTAATTTAACTCCATTAATGACAGTACTAATTATAGTAGGTATAATTTGGTATCAAAAGAATTAGACAGAGATAAATAAAATACATGAAAAGTCAGAGACTCTTGAATATACACATAAATGAGCCCTGGGCATCTCTGTATTTTTAGAGAAATGCTAGAATATAGAAAAATAATGGCATAATTTTATGTCACTAAAAAAGTTTATCGAACTCCACCAGTCATGTGGTATTAGTTCATTTTCACACTGGTATAAAGAACTACCTGAGACTGGGTAGTTTACAAGGAAAAGAGATTTAGTTGGCTCACCGTTCTTCATGGCTGGGGAGGCCACAGGAAACTTACAATCATGGTGGAAGGTGAAGGGGAAACAAGGCACATCTCCCAGGGCAGCAGGAGAGAGAGAGAGGGGGGAAGTGACACATACTTTTAAACAATCAGTGGTTGTTAGAACTCACTCACTACCATGAGAACAACATGGGGAAACTGGACCCATGATCCAATCACCTCTCACCTGGTCCCTCCCCTGACATGTGGGGATTACAATTTGAGATGATACTTTGATGGGGATACGAAATCAATCTATATCACATGTCCAGCTCTGTCCTGGAGTTGTTTCAGGGACCCAGGGTGTCCGGCTGATAGAACCAGTGACACCAAGCTCACACCCTCAGCTGTAGTTGACACCACACAAAGCCAAGAGATTACAACTAAGATTTAGTTTGAATGTCGTGTCTGATGAAGTCACACACTCAGAGAAAGTGAATATGGAAAAGTTTATTATTTGCACTCTATAGGTGTCTGGTGAGTGCAGGGCAGGTCTCCCAGGAAAATCTGAAACAGCTTGAAAGAAGAAGAAAGGAGACTGGCTCAGCATTTTTATGATGGTTTGGTCCTGGGGGCAGAGTGAGGCTTCCCACTCACAGAAAGGGGTTTGCAGGGTTTGAAACTCCCCCTGGCATCGAATGAAGAAGCTCCTGTGATTTCAAACTAGAGCCACCTTGTGTGGCAAAAAAGGAGATGATGGAGGAATATGCTTTAAATCATCAGCAGTCATGCACCCAAAAATAGTGTGACAACTTATTCTATGCAGCAGGAATAAAAATAATTAATAAGAAAGAAGATAAGGGTTCAGTGTGGGTGGACAACACGCAGGTCTACAGAAATGAGATGACTTTAGAAATATAAGCAAAGGATAATGAAAAAAAGGAGGGGAAGGGGAATTAAACAGGGTCCTGGTCTGATGTCTTGGGTAGAAGCTTCTCACAATCAAGGACTACCAGCTCATTCTGCAGGTCTTAGGTCAGCCATCTGCTTAAAAACATCAGAAACGCCAGAGAATCTATGAACATGCTCAGTTTAACATTTCCTATTTGAGTAGCTTTACAGTTATGTGAAATTCTTAACTGGTTCTTGATTTTTCTTTTAGATACAGGCTCTCACCCTGTCACACAGTTTAAAGTGCAGTGGTGTGATCATAGCTCGCTGTAATTTTGAACTCCTGACTCATATTCTTCCCATCTTAGCCTCTTGAATATCTAGAACTAGAGGGGCATGCCACTCATCCCCTCCTTATTTTTTATTTTATTTTTTCATATAAATAAGGTCTCTTTGTGTTGCCCAGGCTGGTTTTGATTGCCTGGTCTCATGGGATTTCCCTCACTTCCCTTCTGAAAGTGGTGTGATTATACAGATGATCCAGTGCATCTGGCCTGAATTTATTCTTTAATTGTAAAATACGAACCCAATAATTAACTGCCTGAATGTTTTCTGCAGTGAGTTAGTTAAAAGGATCTGACAAGATTCCTTCCAATATGATTCAAGAGCAGTATTGTCCACTGATGTTCCTTCCAGTTTCCTTGTTGAAGATCACAAGAGTCTGTGGAAAAGAGGTAGTAAAAAGGCCGCCTCAAACTCTTCGTGGTTGGAGTGGGTACCACACATGCAAGCAGTAGGACAAGGATGATCTCTGGGGTAAAGTCTATAAACATATAGGCCTTTTAGCTGCCAAGTCATAGGGTAATAACTGATGCATCCTGAGGAGTGGACCATGGTTTCATAGTGCTAGTGGGAGAACCCTTGGCCAAGCAAGTTTTACATTTTATTAAAGATTTGATAATTTTAATGTAAAGAAGACATTTTTTAAACGTTCCCAGAAGATTGTGAGTGGTATTGATTCTGTCTCGTATGAACAATGACAGTGCTCTCCACGGTTAGATTATGTTATAAACTAGAATGAGGTAGAGTGTTTGGTGTATTAAATCACTATTTTTTTAGCTTCTATGTTAGTTTTTTGTTTGTGTGTTAGCATTTGCTTTAAAATTCTATTAATCAGATCTCTAGTTGGTAGAAATTCATCTGAAAGTTTCTTCCATTGTTGTCCATTTTGATAGGATTTCCAGAAGATGTAAGAACCCTCTCTGTTTGCAAAAATATTCCAAAGTTGTGCACCATCTAGAAACATAGTTACTTAATTCTAATTTTTAATTTATTAAAAAGTTGTGATAAGTGCAAAGTTTTCTGCCTTCTGAATTGATTTCATAACACACAGAATAATATATACTAAATGGAAGTTTGTACTAGTAATACAAATTACTGGTTCATAACCTCTACTTTTATTATTGAGGTATTATCCATCAATATATAATCTTAAATCAATGATCTCAGTGGGAATCTTACCTAAGTAATATACAAAATATTTTCCTGATCTTGACATAAAATAGATGTGAACACATTCTTCATATTCAGCCATGTCTCCTGTCTATCACATTATGAACCACATGCTAACTTTGATTTACTTGGGACTTGCTCTAATTTCAAACTAGTTATTTTTTATCTTCACGCAGCTGGATTATTATGTGTGGCTATTTTACCAGAGTGATAAGATACAATACTAACAATTTTCACTGCAGGCATGTCTAGGCAAGCGCCCTGTGCACAATGACCTTAGTGGGTTGGACATTCTATGGGGACTCTCCCCTGTCTGCCTAGGAGAGTTATCTGCCTCCTCCCTCTATCATTTTCCTCTTTGAATAAGTGCATCTAACCCGTTAGAATACAAAGGCCAACCTTAACTGCTCCCAGCTGACAGGGGATGCTGTTTTGGGAAGATCTCCCTTGAGGTCTGTCTAAGGGACCCAGTAAAAGGGAGCCATTATCCCAGGCTTCACTTGGATGACCATTTGGAGTTGATGCCTGAAGGTGAGAAGAGACAAACCGGGTTATTAGAAGACATGTATCAAAACCAAACAAGGTGGTAAGGACAGTTTGAAAAAAAATTCCAAGGCTGCTGACACACCCAGATAACTGGTGGCTGTAGTTATGCCTGCTAAGATTTGGGTGCATGGGGCTTGGCTTTCGTTACCTCCCTTGGACTTATTTTCCCAAACAAAGAAACCTCCGGGTTAGGGGGACCCTATTTATTCCAGTCACCTGGCATGATTTGCAGGATAATTGCTCAGAATTAAAATATTCGTCCAGATGTTTATATAGCCCATGCCTGTGTTTCTTCTGAGCTGCAGCCAGAGATCATTGGTTGGTTCACAGCGATAAGCAGAGTTAGTCTAAAATGGAGGCAAATACTTAAAACTTATTTCTTCTCTCAGTTAATGGATTCTATAGAGAAAAGTAGCTACTCGGCATGGGAATGTAAAAAAATGAGTAAACTATGATCTTATTCTGAACTCATTAACAACAAACCTGAAAAACCAATTGAAGAGACTGTAATTTAAAGACAAGTGTATGATATGTTTTGAAACATAATTTTTCTCTCTCCAGTTCTGATTTTTGTCAGAAACTAATCATTATAGGACTGAGTGATTTGCAAAATAAACTTTAGTCTTATGGTTGGTCTGATCATTTGCATAAAGCGAAGCCATAATAATTAATAATAATTCTGTAGGAAAAGCCTGCAAGCACGAGGAGCTTCACAGTCTAACACTATGAGCACATGCATCCTCCAGCAACTCACTGAATATTTTCAAGTCAGCTGGTTCTTAGCTTAAATAACATCCAGTTGGTATCTGTCCCAGGAACACTAATATATGGTTCTCTCTGCAGGCCCCTTTCTCCACAGATTAAGGGTTTTTTTTTTTCTCTGTAATATCAACTCAGATATGTTGAATGCTTTTTCCTTATTAGTGGTTTTTCAGGTTTGTTGTTAATGATTTCAGAATAAGATCATTGTTTACTCATTTTTTTTAAATTCCCGTGCCGAGTAGCTACTTTTCTCTATAGAATCCATTAACTGGGAGAAAAAATAACATTTTCTTATGGGTGAACAATTAAATAGTTTGACATATATTTATGTACTGGTATATAATGCAGCTTGAAATCAAGGCATGCCTCAATCATAAAAATCATGGCTAAATTCTCAAAGAATTGTGCTGAGTGAAAGAAGCTAAGGAATTAAGAGTAAATTTTATATAATTCATTGTAGAAATATTAGAAGATGCCACTACCATAAATTAAAATGAAGAAGACTTAAATTTTTCTGAGAAAATGGTGTTGGGAATGATGCGGATGTGATTTAAGTTTCAGAGGAATAAGAAAAAGATTTAGGGATTAATTTAATTATTCAAAAGTTGATTGAAGTGCCGAGTGAATGGCTGCAAACATAGCTCTACATTTTTCAAATCATTCCCTATAAATTTGAATTAATTATTTATTTTTATACTTGAATAAAGCAATAACAAAGAAATAAATGAATATTTTTGCTAAAATGGAGCAATAAAAAGACTGATATTGACAGAAGAAATATGACTGACTTCTGAAAATACACACACATGAGCCGTGGTTCTCTCTACATATTTAGATAAATTACAGAAAGTTGTCATAACTGATGGGGAATCCTGCAGACTTCACTAGGCATAGTCCACACTGCCCTGGAGTTGTCTCAGGGGAGCTGCCTCCTCCAGTGGTTAGAGCACAGGCCCAGGTAATAGGACTCATTTTTTTAGATGTGTAATTTTAGACACACTGCACAACTGCTGTGTTCTCTGTGCAAATTATCTCCTGTAAAATGTAACATTGAAACCTGCCTTAAATATATTGTGTAAATATGTAAAAATAAAATCAGATTGTGAGAGCTAAATGCTAATCAAGGCGCAATCACGTAATATACAATTATATTTTCCTGAATGATGGAATTAATACCAATCTCCCCCAGGACACTTCATCTGCACGGAGCCCGGCCTCTCCTCAGATGTCCCACCCCAGAGCTTGCTATATAGTCGGGGACATGCAAATAGGGCCCTCCCTCTGCTGATGAAAACCAGCCCAGCTGACCCTGCAGCTCTGGGAGAGGAGCCCAGCACTGGGATTCCGAGGTGTTTCCATTCGGTGATCAGCACTGAACACAGAGGACTCACCATGGAGTTTTGGCTGAGCTGGGTTTTCCTTGTTGCTATTTCAAAAGGTGATTCATGGAGAACTAGAGATATCGAGTGTGAGTGAACACGAGTGAGAGAAACAGTGGATATGTGTGGCAGTTTCTAACCAATGTCTCTGTGTTTGCAGGTGTCCAGTGTGAGGTGCAGCTGGTGGAGACTGGAGGAGGCTTGATCCAGCCTGGGGGGTCCCTGAGACTCTCCTGTGCAGCCTCTGGGTTCACCGTCAGTAGCAACTACATGAGCTGGGTCCGCCAGGCTCCAGGGAAGGGGCTGGAGTGGGTCTCAGTTATTTATAGCGGTGGTAGCACATACTACGCAGACTCCGTGAAGGGCCGATTCACCATCTCCAGAGACAATTCCAAGAACACGCTGTATCTTCAAATGAACAGCCTGAGAGCCGAGGACACGGCCGTGTATTACTGTGCGAGAGACACAGTGAGGGGAGGCCATTGTGCGCCCAGACACAAACCTCCCTGCAGGAACGCTGGGGAAATCAGCGGCAGGGGGCGCTCAGGAGCCACTGATCAGAGTCAGCCCCGGAGGCAGGTGCAGATGGAGGCTGATTTCCTGTCAGGATGTGGGACTCTGTCTTCTTCTGACGGTTCCCCAGGGAACCTCTCTAAGTTTAGCATTCTGTGCCTATGAACGTCTTCTCTAAGTATTTGAAAGAGATTATTTTAATATGAAGAGCAGTTCTCACTCGCACAAAATGTGGATTGATGCTTACTGGGATGAAAAGTCCTCAAACATGGTCACCACGATCAGAGTCTGAGTGAGCTCAGGGCTTCCTGCTGAGTCTCCTCCTATCAGACCAAGGACAGGGACCTCAGTGAGGTTCCCCGTCTAGAACAGTCTTTATGGATACTGATTGTGGGCGGCAAGCCACCCAGGTGCCGACGCAAGAGACCGAGGACACGAGCTGTTCCAGTACAATAAAATATAAAACAAGAATAGTTATACCAGATATAGATCTTAGATATGATTATATATGAATATCATTAATCATTAGTTGGTAGCAATTACTCTTTATTCCAATATTATAATAATCCTCACTCTACAATCATAACCTAGGAAAAGCCAGGCCATACAGAGATAGGAGCTGAGGGGACATAGTGAGAAGTGACCAGAAGACAAGAGTGCGAGCCTTCTGTTATGCCTGGACAGGGCGACCAGAGGGCTCCTTGGTCTAGCAGTAATGCCAGCATCTGGGAAGACGCCTGTTGCCAAGCGGACCATGGTCTAGTGGTAGACTCAGTGTCAAGGAAAAACACCTGCTACTTAGCAGACCAGGAAAGGGAGTCTCCCTTTCCCCGGGGAGTTTAGAGAAGACTCTGCTCCTCCACCTCCTGTGGAGGGCCTGATATCAGTCAGACCCGCCCGCACTTATCCGGAGGCCTAACAGTCTCCCTGTGATGCTGTGCTTCAGTGGCCACACTCCTAGTCCTCCTTCGTGTTCCATCCTGTACACCTGGCTCTGCCTTCTAGATAGCAGTAGCAAATCAGTGAAAGTACTAACAGTCTCTGATAAGCAGAAATAATATTGTAAGCTGTTTCTCTCCTTCTCCTCTCTCTCTCTGCCTCAGCTGCCAGGCAGGAAAGGGTCCCCTGTCCAGTGGACACGTGACCCATGTGACCTTACCTATCATTGGAGATGGCTCACACTCCTTACCCTGTCCCTTTGTCTTATATCCAATTAATATCAGCGCAGCCTGGCATTCAGGGCCACTACTAGTCTCCGCATCTTGGTGGTAGTGGTCCCCCGGGCCCAGCTGTCTTTTCTTTTATCTCTTTGTCTTGTGTCTTTATTTCTATGCTCTCTCGTCTCCGCACACGGGGAGAAACCCACTGACCCTGTGGGGCTGGTCCCTACACTGATCACAGACAATAGAGGGTAGGCCAGGATCAGTGTCATGTAGGACATCACAGGTTTCACCTCTGAACCTTTTCCTGACACTAAATATGCAAATCAGCATCAGCACTGATCTGGTGATTCTTTTGTTCCTAATCCATTTAATTCCTTTTTCAGTCGTTGTTTTCATTTTTCCGTTTGCTTTTCCTGCTTTCTGCAAAAGGAAGATTTTTCCCTGTGGTCAAAATTCCGGACCTCAAGCCCTTTCCTGACGCTCAGGTGGGTCTCAGGCTGTGGCTGCTGCAGTCACGCGGGAGAGGCTGGTGGGACTTTCTTCACTCCTCGTCACTCAGGGCCCTCCACTGTGTTGCATGGAGACTTATCTGGAAATGCAAGTTGCGACTGAGAACTGAAGGGGACAAGCTTGTTTGGTTAACATGGGATGTGGATGTGTTTCTAATTTTGTTCTGATAAACTTTCACAGAGTAACTTTCTGCACTAGTCATGTGAGGAAGAGGATGTGAACGTTGTCAGAATAAAAATAGAACAACTTGTGTTATAATCTTTACAGGTGAAGCTGGAGAAGGTCATGAATAGAGGGTTCTCATGCACACATCCCTGATAACAAGAACTACCATAAAATTACTCTGCACAACCACAACTTTCAACAAAGGCTACCACAACAATAAGAGAATTAATATTGTGAGGATATCTGCCCTGCAACTCCCAGTACAATCTTAAACTGATTCCACCCTTGTTATTAATTCTTCTACCCCCAGGATAATTGCCTCAGAACAGCTCATGTAAGTCCTCTCATTTATCCTTTAAAACAACCTTTACCAACCTTTACTAACCTGACTTCCTTTACCTACCTAAATATGCCCAGGGATAATCCCACTGGAATGCTCATTTTCAAATACATATTATTTGATTTTGGAGAATTTCTTTCTGTCTGATATTCAGGTGTGACAAGCTGTAGAGGGTCACACCACTTTCCTGTGAGATGTAGGGGATGACAATTTGGGGGGATGGCTGGAAACATCCAATATCCTCAGGGTCGGCCATCAGTAAGCGCAGGCTGGAAGTCTCAGAACGAGTTGAAGCTGCTTAACCACGGAATTTTACCTTCTCCAGATCAGCTTTGATGGAATCAGGGCCAAACTGGTTATCAATGATAATCTACCTAACATTGAGTCAACTGATCACAGTTTTAATAACCTCTATTAAAAATTCACACCAACACTTGGATTAGTGTCTGATCAAATAACTACAAAGTATTTTCCAGCCAAGTATACCATAAAACAGACCATTACCCATGGAGAAAAACATTTAACATGAGTTCTAGGTCCTTACATTGTTAAAGGTGTAAAACTGATTATTTTTAAATTATGCTTTTTATTTTTGCTATTGAGTTGTAGAAGTTTCATT
Organism: Homo sapiens; assembly: GCF_000001405.40. Taxonomy (NCBI): domain Eukaryota; kingdom Metazoa; phylum Chordata; class Mammalia; order Primates; family Hominidae; genus Homo; species Homo sapiens. The sequence continues at coordinate 1,081,508 of NT_187600.1, read as the reverse complement.
TACATTTTGGATATTAACGCTTTTTTCAGATACATGATATATTATCCAATTCTGTGAGTTGGAATTATTTCATTGCTTTGCAGAATATTTTTTTAATCTAGTCCAACTTGTTCAATTCTGCTTTTTTTTAAATGTGCTTTGAATGTAAAATCCAGAAAAAGATTGCTAATTTTTGAGGATTGGGAGTTTTACAGTTGCAGGAATTTCATTGAAATATTTAATGCATTTAAAGTTAATTTTTGTGTTTATTCTAACCTAAAATTCTTAATTCTTCACATGTGAAAATCCAGTTTTCATAACATGCTCTTTGGAAGACACCATAATTTAGCCATTGTATGTTGATGTTTCTCATGCTGAAAATCAGTTCGCCATCAATATGTGGGTTTATATCTAAGCTCTCTATATGCATTTATGCTGATACCATTCGGATTTATTACTCTGTGTTTGTAACAAATGTTGAGGACTGGAAGTGAAATGCCTCAAGCTTTATTCTTGCCTTATTACAGATATTAGACCAAAATATTCTAACCTTCTACTAGTGAGTATAATAATAGCTGTCGCTTTTTTTTTTTTTTTGATTCAGAGTTTCACTCTTGTTGTGTAGGCTGGAGTGCAGTGGTGTGATCTCAGCTCACCGCAACCTCTGCCTCCCGGGTTCAAGCGATTCTCCTGCCTCGGCCTCCCGAGTAGCTGGGATTACAGGCATGCACCACCACACCCGGCTAATTTTGTATTTTCAGTAAAGATGGGGTTTCTCCATGTTGGTCAGGCTGGTCGCGAACTCCAGACCTCAGGTGATCCTCCCGCCTCAGCCTCCCAAAGTGCTGGGATTACAAGCATGAGCCACTGCACCCAGCCTCTTCATTTTTTTTTTATTCATATGTTCATTCAGCAGCCACTATGTCTTCCCATTGATTTCTTTGGTTTCCTCTTTACTATCTTTTTCTTTTTAGTAAAGCTGTTACTCCTAAGGGAAGATGGGAGGTGGGCCTGGACAGGGATTTGGTGCATTCCTCTCTTCACTCCCAGTTCTTATTGATCTCTCCAGTGTCTCTAGAACACTGGTTTTCCTGGCATTACCGCTGCAGATAATTTCTCTTGCAATGTAGTGCTGATGAGGAGGTGTGTCTGGATGCATTTCAGCTATAGTTGCTGTTTTGCTTACCCTGACACAACCGTCCCAAGGGGTAGAGGCTGGAGCATTTTGTGATGTGTCCCCAGTACTGAAGAAAAAGGCTTCAATAGCAGGAGGAATTCCTCAACTGTATACACTCTGAGAATTTAAACAATAACTTCTCTATCACACTCAAATTTAAACCATCCAATGAATATGTCTACTTTAATCGTAACTTAAATGATATTTGGCAGCCTCTGTCCCAGAAAAGATTATCGTCTGCTCCTGTTTATTTCCCTGCAAGTCTTTATCTCTCTTCAGATTTCAGATATCTTGTTTGTCTTATAACATCAAAAATCTGATGAATTTAAGAAAATGTGCTAATTTGCAGATCAGTAAGCTTTAGTAGTTGTGAGAATAATAACAAATTTTTATGGGATGCCTACATCTCCAAGCTGAGTAGCATCTTTATTTCTAACACTCAGAAACTAGAAACAATGCAAATATCAAGAAGATATATAGATAAAGAGTAATGGCATGCTAATTTACGGTAATCATAGCCATCACTAGAATCAATACACTGTTGATGCTCAATGTGGTTGAATCACAAGTAGTTATAATGAGTGAGAAGCCACACACATAAAACACATACTATATAATTCCTGTATAATAAATTCTTGAAACTCAAAACCAAAGTATTCAATATGAAGGATTGACTCAGAATATGGCAAGGGAAAAAAATAATTGGGAAGGAGGAATTGTAGAGTAACACAAGGAAACTTTTAAGTGTAATTTATTTGTTCGTTATCTGGATGGTTTTTGGGGATGCACAGGTGAGCACGAGTGGAATTACATTTTGTTGTGTTTGTTTTTTTCTGAAGAGATGTGGTCCTACTCTGTGACCCAGGCAGGACTGCAGTGGTGGGATCATAGTTCAATGTAGCTTCCAACTTCTGGTCACCAACGATCCTCCTGCATCTGCCATCTAAGTAGCTGAAACTACAGTTGTGTGCCACCAGGCTCAGCTTGAGTACTTATTAAATCAAACACTTTATGCAATATTTAATGTATGGCAATAATGTCTCATTGAGAGTATTACAAATAAATGAATGGATAATTTGTTCAGTACAGATTGATGGAAAATAGACACTAACATGAGGAATGTCTGACATTTATGAACATACAACTGCATAAAATGTGTTCTCTTACATTCATTAGGTAAACACAATAGTGCATACACATCAAACCATGCTTTCATTACAGGAAGGAAGTTCTGAAAATGTCACTGGGGGTGACCCACGCTGTGCTGGGCTTGGTTCGGGGGCAGTCAGGCCCGGTGGTGAGAAGCACAGGCCCAGATACCCAGGCTTACTCTGCAAATGTGAGCTCTGGGGACATTGTACCACCCATCTGTGCTTCTGCTGGTAATTTTCCATCTGTAACGTGGAAATAACATTGATACTACATACCGTGATTTCTCCACATATGTAAAAATAAAATAAGATGATTGCTGCTAAGTTTAAATAAGGGCAGTTTTCATAGGTCCATTGTACCTCAATAAAATTACTTTAAAATAAAAATTACAAATACAGTTGTAGGTTTAAAGAGTTTATCACAGAACAAACTTATAATAAGAAACTATATTTTCAAAAATTGTATCAATATCTCTAAACTCCCCCAGGACACACTCACCTGCTCTGGGCTCTCCACTCTCCTCAGGATTCCCACCCCAGAGCTTGCTATATAGTAGGAGACATGCAAACAGAGCCAAACCTCTGCTGATGAAAAGCAGCCCAGCCCTGACCCTGCAGCTCTGGGAGAGGAGCCCCAGCTCCAGGATTCCCAGGTCTTTCCATTTAGTCTTCAGGGCTGAGCACAGAGGACTCACCATGGAGTCTGGGCTGAGCTGGGTTTTCCTTGTTGCTATTTTGAAAGGTGATTCATGGGGAATGAGTTGAATGTAAGTGAATATGAGTGAGAGAAACAGTGGATGTGTGCGGCAGTTTCTGACCAGGGTGTCTCTGTGTTTGCAGGTGTCCAGTGTGAGGTGCAGCTGGTGGAGTCTGGGTGAGGCTTGGTACAGCCTGGAGGGTCCCTGAGACTCTCCTGTGCAGCCTCTGGATTCACCTTCAGTAGCTCCTGGATGCACTGGGTCTGCCAGGCTCCGGAGAAGGGGCTGGAGTGGGTGGCCGACATAAAGTGTGACGGAAGTGAGAAATACTATGTAGACTCTGTGAAGGGCCGATTGACCATCTCCAGAGACAATGCCAAGAACTCCCTCTATCTGCAAGTGAACAGCCTGAGAGCTGAGGACATGACCGTGTATTACTGTGTGAGAGGCACAGTGAGGGGAGGTCAGTGTGAGCCCAGACACAAACCTCCTGCAGGGGCATCTGGAGCCACAAGGGGGCGCTCAGGATACACAGAGGACAGGGGCAGCCCCAGGGCAGGTGCAGGTGGAGGTCAAGGGCTGCTCTCCTTCAGGGTCTGTGGCTTCCTCTCATCTAACAGTTCCGCAGGGAGCCTCTTGTATTTACAGTGATGTGCTACTGAGGTTTCTAAGTTTGTAAAGTTTATTACTACAGGAGGAACCACTATCAAACGCCCTTAAGGCAGGTGTCACTAATGGAGAAAGGAAAGTGCACAGGAGGCTGGGTGAGGCTGTGGACACTGTCTGCCTATGATTCAAGTTTCACAAGCAGTGACGGAGAAATGGGAGTTTGATGGAGCTCCCTAACTACCATGTGGTCTAAACTAAGTCCAACTAAGTCCCTGAGCTCTGGGTGCCCATCAGGGATCCGCCATGTGCCCGGCAGCCGCGTGCCTTTTTGTCTCCTCTGCGCCCAATCACTGTCTGTGATGAGCTTCCAGGATGTGTGTGTTTGGCACAAACCAGGTGATGGACGTCAGACAGCAGCAGCTGGTGCCCGGATCATGGGCTCCCTAATGCTGGAGGAATGAGAGGTGCATTCTCAGGGACAAGACATTGTTGATGGATTTTTATGTAGAAACCACGATTTTACTTGCTTCTCTCAGGAGACATAGAAGAAGCAACCATGCAGTCAGCAAATAATTATAATTTCCACAATTACCCCAAATGGTTAATCCTTAATTCTGCGCAGGGTCCCACCGTAGAGTCACCTTTCTCATGAGGAATGGTTGAATCTAGAATGAGTCCACATGATTTTCATATTTTTGGCTTCTGTCCATGTTCAGAGAGTTAGAGTAGAGTAAGTTTGGACCTTTCCACACACTAAGCCTCACCTCCCCCACAGAAAGAGCAGAGACTTCAACTATTCCTGAGTGTGGGGTAGGGGCTGGTCCTGCACACCTCAGAGCCTGCAGAGACTGCCACGTGCAGTGTTATAGACTTGGGTGTTTTCTCATTCAGGAGGGGTGACCTCCACGGCCTCCGATTTCTGCTAAGATATAACTGTGAGTGCAGAATTAGGACACTATTAGGCTATCATGCCTCACTTCTATTCTGAAAATCACCCTCTTTATAGTAAAAGAAAACAATTCAATGTCCATGCCCCTGAAAGTCATTTCTTTTTAATTTGGTTGCGAGTTTACCACATAGTGCCTGAATTTATTCTCAGAATCTACTGAATTGTTTATAAATCTCACAAATTGAACAAAAGTGAATTCTTCATTCTTACTAAAATGTGTGTATGTAGGAATTTCAGTGTGTTTTCCAGAAGCCATGCACACCAACCACTGTGTTTCATGGTCATTTATTGGCCTGGTGAGGCCCTCACAGACCCCCTCCCTCACCTGTGCTGTCTCTGGATTCTCCATCACAACTAGTGCTTCCTGCTGGAGCTGGATCCGCCAGTCCTCAGTCAAGGGAGTGGATCAGGGCATAGGTCACGAGGGAGCACAAATTCTAACCCACTCCTCATGAGCTCAGTCACCATCTCCAGATCCACGTCCAAGAACCAAATTTTCTTTTAGCTGAGTTCTGTGACCAACAATGCCACAACCTTGTATTACTGTGAGAGGAACAGAAGAGATGTCAGTGTGATCCCAGACACAAACTTCCCTGGAGAGGGGCCCAGGACCACCAAAGAGCACTCAGGCTCCATGAAAACAGGGCCCAAGCTGGAGAACGGGTTTCCTGTCACCCTCACGTTTCACCATTAGATACTCTACACTATGCCTATGCTGAGGTGTGTGTTTAATATAATTAGAAAATGGTATTTATATACGTGTATAATCATATCTAGTGTAAGAATTTGTAGTTTCCACCTTATGTGACCATTAAAGACAACATCTCTCACGTTATTCAAGGACCTTATAAAGTATAATACTTTTACATAAGATTTATCTCCTTTTTTGTTTCTCCTTCTGTCTATATTCTCTCTGTCTCTCTCTTCCTCCCTCTTTCTCTCTCTCTCTCCATCTCTCTCTCTCTGTCTCTCTCTCACACACAAATACACACACATGCAATCGTTGACAGTATATAGGCTAATTAAGAATATATTCCCATATGATTTAAAAATAACAGTTTTACAAATATTTGCCTTTAATTTTTCAAAGAAAATTAAATCCAAATGCCAGTGATTTTTTATGTGACTTTTAAAATTTAAATTGTTAATTTTTGTTTTCATCAATGCTTGTATGTGTGCTTTTGTATTCTTTCAGATTATTTGGTGCCTTCACAGAATTAAACATGTGAAACTCTCCACTTGAATTTCTGTGACTCAGGACTGGTGAGCAAAAAGTTAGAAGTCACTCTCCTGATCCTTCCCTACAGCTGCAGATTCCTGAAGGTAATGACCTCACAGTAGACCAAGGCCCTCAAAGGTGACCTTGAGTTCCAGCACATCTTGGGAGGCCAAGCGGATGTTTGTGAAAGAAATAGTGGCTATGTGACAGTTTCTAACCAGAATATCTCTGTGTTTTCAGGTATCCAGGGTGAGGCCCAGCTTACAGAGTCTGGGGGAGACTTGGTACACTTAGAGGGGCCCCTGAGGCTCTCCTGTGCAGCCTCTTGGTTCACCTTCAGTATCTATGAGATTCACTGGGTTTGCCAGGCCTCAGGGAAGGGGCTGGAATGGGTTGCAGTTATATGGCGTGGTGAAAGTCATCAATACAATGCAGACTATGTTAGGGGCAGACTCACCACTTCCAGAGACAACACCAAGTACATGCTGTACATGCAAATGATCAGCCTGAGAACCCAGAACATGGCAGCATTTAACTGTGCAGGAAACATCGTGATGGGAAGTCCACGTGGGCTCAGAGACAGACTGCCATGCAGGACACAGGGGGTGGCTTGGCTGAAGGGGGCACTCAGCACCCACAGAAGACAGGAGCAGCCCAGGGCAGGGGCAGGTGGAGTTCAAGGGCTGCTTTCCTGTCAGGTTCTGTGGCTTCTTCTGCATCAAATGCGTTCTCCTGGGAGCCTCTCTATATTTATGGTTCTCTGCCTACCACTGAGGCCTCTGGATTGGAAAAGATTACTACTAGAAAAAAAAATTCTCATATACCCCTGAAGAATACATCATTAATTGAGGCAGAAGATGTCACAGGAGGCCAGGGAGGCTGTGGAAACTGTGCGACGTGGATGCACATCTGACAACAAAGACATAAAAAATCAGGGAACACTGATAAAACCTCCTAATTATGCCATGGCCCTCTCTAAGCCTAGTAAAGCCATTGATGCCTTCCTGGGCCAAACCCACCCATCAGGGATCACTCCTGTGTCCCAGCAGCAGACATGCCTTAGAATCTCCACTGTATGTAATCACTGTCTGGGAGGAGCTCCCAGGGCATGTGTCTTTGCATTAACCAGGTGATGGGTGTCAGAGAACAGCAGCTGGATGCCTGGTCTATGGGTTCCCTGATGTTGAAGAAATGGGAGGTGCAGTCTCAGAGCCAATACACTGTTTATGCATTTTTATATAGAAACCATGATTTTTCTTGCTTCTCTCAGATGACACAGAGGATCAAGAAAACAGTCTGTAAACAATTGTAATGTCCCCATTTCTTCTGAATAAATGCATTATTTCTTAATTCTGAGTGGGGGTTTGTCAGACCATGCCCTTCTCCTAAGCAATTGTTCAATCCAGGCTGAAACCACATGGGGATCACATACTTTGGTTTGGTTCAGGTGCAGAGGTCTTCAGTAGAGCAAATTTGGTCCTTCCCACACAGTAAGCCTCACCTTCCTCAGAGAAAGAGCTGAAATTGATCCAACTTTGTCTGAGGTGGGAGCTGCTTCTCCACACCTTGGAGCTTGCAGAGACCCCTAAATGCAGCTTTATTGAGTCAGGTGTGTCTCCATGTGGGGGACTTCTGCTGCTAGTGATCTCTGCTCAGTTCTAAATGTGGGTTCAGAATTAGGACACTTAGGTTATCACGCCTCAAAAATTACCATCATTGTAGATAGAAATAATAGTACAATGCCAATTGTTGTCACTTGTTTCTTATTATTATTGGAGTATAAGTTTGAAGAGACAAATTGTTACCATATATTTGCATAAATCTAATGTCAGAATCTCTTGAATTGCTCTTGAACACTTACAAACTGGTTAGAAGCAGATTCTTATTTTTTTCTATACTAGTGTATTTTGGGATGTCAACATTTTGTCCAGAACATGTGAGTACCAATAACTGTGTGTTTCAGAAATGACTGTGAGATTCAGTCATTTCTATCGAGTGGGAAAACCAGTTAACTTTGTCTTTGATATATGGATGGAAGCCCAAGATAGAGGCTTGTCAGTCATTGTTTCTGTGCCTTCTCCCTTGGGAATGTCTGTATTTTTTTATGCTCTGTCCTGGGTCTATACCCCAATGGTTCCCCTACTCCATGGCACCTGCCTGTGCCTGTGCATGCCCCTGCCCACACTCTCCGTGAAACATCTGCTTTGGCTCAGGAAGAACCCCTCCTCTGCCTTTTTTCCTCCTGCCCCTGGTCCACATTCTTCTCCATCCACAGGCTCTCAGCAGCACCTCCCATCCACACTAACCCTACATGGGGTCATACCTTGTCCACCACTTCCTCTCTCTTTTCTTCTGAGCTTTGCCTTTTATTCCAACAGCCTGTTTCCATCTCACCTGGACTTGTGTACAGGAAAGGATTTACCGAGCAGTCTTGGGTTGTGCAAACCCTGAACATTCCTGAAAAAGTGCTTTCTCAAGCTAGGCCCATATTCAGCTCCTGGGAGATGATATCTGCCTTTTTGGCATACTCCTCCTGGTAGTATTATTAAACCACTTGATTAAGATAAGGTTTACATCTGTAAAACTACACATTATTTAACATACTTAACTCATTGAGTTTGGAGTAAGTATACATCTGCAAAGTTATCCCCATCATCAAGGTCATAACCATAGAAATCACTTCCAAAACATTCCTCTTATCTCTCTTAATATTGTGATTATTTTATTAGTTAAAATGTATTTTTGTTTGTGTTTGTCTGTGTCTCTGTGTGTGTAGCCTGGGTGCACGCTATACTAGCTGTTTTCATAATGACTTATGGTGAATGCCTATTAGTGCTCAAGAGGCCGGCGTCTGAGCACTGGAGGTCAATTGTGCAGGTGTCACACACATCTGTGATGGGCCCAATAAACAGCCCTGGGCACAAGCACTCAGGTGAGCTTCCCTGGTGGACAATGCTTCACACATGTTGTCATGCATCACTGCTGGGAGAACTGGGGACAAGAGACTCCTCAGGGAAAGAACACCTGGGAGCTCATGCCTGGATTCTCAGGGCCTTCTCCCTGGTGCCTTTGCTCATTTTAATTCATATTCATTCGCTATAATAAAGCTGCACCCATGAGAATAACAGCTTTTCTTGTGTCCTTTATTTGTACTGATTAAGGGGCCTGAGGATGGTCTTGGGACACTCAACACAATTACATCAGAGTTGGAGAATGCTAGAAAGTTCCTGATTGCTGACGCATGGCTAGAGGATTTTTTATAACATCAAAGGATGAGAAAGTGCGGGATAAAAGACATTCAATGCCCAGATGGCTACAGAATCATATGGCATGAGATGGCATGTACACTCCAATAAGGAGCAGGAAGTGAAAGTAATCCATGGAATTTAGAAACAACAGATACAGCTTCCTAGGAGTTGTTCCCTGAAAAAGGAAAAGTAAAAATAATGAGGAACAACCCGAATATGCAATTCATATCTGTGATAGCTAAAATAATAGTAAAAAGATGCACATCCAGCCCTGCAGTGTGCCCTGTGAGCCGAGGCTGCTAGACTCCCATTCACCACCAAAGGGTACAGTTGTCCAGAAACAACACACAACACATAAGAGTGACACAGAAGGTAGCCCAGAGTTTGGGCTGGGGAGAGGAATCCACTAGACAACTATAACAAGGAGGACAGCATGGAAAGTGGCATCATTTTGTGATATGATTGATATCATTAATTTATATCATCGGATTGTGAACAAAGTTAGCCAATGGACTATGAGAGTGACTGACGTAGCAGCTTCTCTGGCTTCGTGTGCTGCAGATGAGAGGAGAATGTTTGGGAGGATGCTGGACCCACAGCTCACAACAGACATATGACAGACGTAGCTGATCCCAACCTCAAGTAGGATGTTCTTGATGAGACAGCTTCCCTGGTGCACTGGATATCAGATCCTGTATAGTTTCAGAACTTGTGTAGTTTGTGTTGCTTTGGCTTTTTCTCTGGATCTTTTAGGTGCTAATGAAATGAGAGTGCTTCACAAAAAAATGGGGCAGACAAAGGGGATAGTTAAGGGCCTCCTCCAAGCAATGTGGATATCATAAAATAAATGTTAAAAAATGAAAGAACTAAACAAGAAGGTGCTGGGGTTGACACAAAGGACTTAAAACAGCACTACCAGGAGTTGGGTGCAGCAATGGGCATCCCTTCAGGTCCATCAGCAAGTCAGAGACCTAAACAAATATTCCCTATTCATGTTGAATTGGCAGAGTGTAAAAATCTAGAAGACAAAATGGCCAGGAAAAATGTGCGATTTTGCATGGGTGAAGGTCTGGCAAGTTAATCATCTTGAGGACTGTTGAGGTCCTGAGGTGGTCCTGCCCTTGCTTGATGCCCAGGCCGTAGTCCAACTCACACGAAATTGCCAGGGAATAGACAGTAGTTTTTTTAGTAGTTCTTGTTATCAGGCATAAGTGCATTTGAATTTTCTCTTCATGGCCTTTCCTGGCACTATTTCTCATTTTTTTTAACACACATAGTTTCAACTAGATTTATCACCTTCACAGGGTCACAGAGAAGGGTGGAAGAAGGGAGGCCCTGTATGGGTCTCGAAGAAACATGGAAAAGAGTGGAGAGGGACAATAGCAGGGTGTAAGGAATTATTGAGACCTTACTCTGCCCCTCCCAGGAGGCTCAGGCCAGCCTTTTTCTGCATTTGAGGTTCTGGGTTATAAACGCTGTAGACTCCTCCCTTCAGGGCAGGGTGACAACTATGCAAATGCAAGTGGGGGCCTCCCCACTTAAACCCAGGGCTCCCCTCCACAGTGAGTCTCCCTCACTGCCCAGCTGGGATCTCAGGGCTTCATTTTCTGTCCTCCACCATCATGGGGTCAACCGCCATCCTCGCCCTCCTCCTGGCTGTTCTCCAAGGTCAGTCCTGCCGAGGGCTTGAGGTCACAGAGGAGAACGGGTGGAAAGGAGCCCCTGATTCAAATTTTGTGTCTCCCCCACAGGAGTCTGTGCCGAGGTGCAGCTGGTGCAGTCTGGAGCAGAGGTGAAAAAGCCCGGGGAGTCTCTGAAGATCTCCTGTAAGGGTTCTGGATACAGCTTTACCAGCTACTGGATCGGCTGGGTGCGCCAGATGCCCGGGAAAGGCCTGGAGTGGATGGGGATCATCTATCCTGGTGACTCTGATACCAGATACAGCCCGTCCTTCCAAGGCCAGGTCACCATCTCAGCCGACAAGTCCATCAGCACCGCCTACCTGCAGTGGAGCAGCCTGAAGGCCTCGGACACCGCCATGTATTACTGTGCGAGACACACAGTGAGAGAAACCAGCCCCGAGCCCGTCTAAAACCCTCCACACCGCAGGTGCAGAATGAGCTGCTAGAGACTCACTCCCCAGGGGCCTCTCTATTCATCCGGGGAGGAAACACTGGCTGTTTGTGTCCTCAGGAGCAAGAACCAGAGAACAATGTGGGAGGGTTCCCAGCCCCTAAGGCAACTGTATAGGGGACCTGACCATGGGAGGTGGATTCTCTGACGGGGCTCTTGTGTGTTCTACAAGGTTGTTCATGGTGTATATTAGATGGTTAACATCAAAAGGCTGCCTAACAGGCACCTCTCCAATATGACAGTATTTTAATTAGTGAAAATTTTACACAGTTCATCATTGCTTGCTTGCCTTCCTCCCTCCTGTCCACTCTCACTCACTCCTTCTTTTATTTTCTACTTAATTTTACAAAATCATTTAACCCCTTTTTGAACTATTAATAGGTTATCTTTGTTTGGTGATTGTTTTCCTTTCAATAATATGTACTGAATAATTCATCTTTGTGCCAATTCATAAGTATTCTGGTGTAATAAAGACTTCTTTCATAAAAATTGGATAAATTAAAATAAAGATAAATTTTTAAAAACATACGATCTATCAAAACTGAACCATAAAGAAATAAAAACTCTGGGTTGGGTGTGTTTGCTCATTCCTGTAATCCCAGCACTTTGGGAGGCCATGGCCGGTGGATCACCTGAGGTCAGGAGTTCGATATCGGTCTGGCAAACGTGGAGAAACGCTGTCTCCACTAAAAATACAAAAATTAGCTGGACATGGTGGTGCTCGCCTGTAGTCCCAGATACTTGGGAGCCTAAGGCCAGAGAAGAGATTGAACCCGGGAGGCAGAGGTTGAAATAAGCCGAAATCTAGCCACTGCATTCCAGACTGGGCAACAGAGTGAGACTCCATCCCGAAAAAAAAAACTGAACAGACCTATGAGTAAAGAGATTGAGTCAGTGATTTTTCAAACATCTCAAATCAAAGAAAAGTCAAGAACTTCATGGCTTCACTACTGAATTTTATCAAAAATTTAAAAAAAAACTAGAATCTCTATACAAATTTCCAACAAAATAAAGAGGAAAAAATACATGCAAGCTTATTTTGGAAGGTCCTATTTCCAAAGCAAGGAAAAGACACTCCAAATAAATAAAATTACAGGCTAATATCCCTGATTATCTAGTTTCAAAAACTCTCAAGGGTGGTGAGAAACCAAATTCAACAGCACATTAACAACAGAATTCACCATGATCAGGTGTGGTTTATCTCTAGGAAGCAATGAAGTTTCAACCTGCAGAAATAAATGTGATATATCAAATGAAAATATTGAAGGACTAAAACCATATGCACCATATGTCCATGTCAATAGATGCAGAAAGAGCCTCTGTCGAAATCCACTACACTCTAATTTTTAAAAATCTGAACATATTATGCATAAAACATATATACCTCAACATAATAAAGACCACATATCACAAGCCCACATCTAACATCATACACAGTGATGAAAATTTTATTTTCCTCTAAGACTAGAAACTAGACAAGATGCTTCACTATCACCAATATTATTAAACACAGCACTGGGTGGTCTAGACAAAACAGGCCAGAAGAAAAAAATAGAAGTCATCCATATAGTAATGAATAAATATAAAATATATTTTTACATATTACATGCTCTTATTTATACAAAGCCTTAAACACTCCACCAAAAAAGATTGAAACTAATGAAGAAATTCAATAAAGTTGCAGAATCCAAAATCAAACTTACATTTCAAGATGGCAGGTTAGAGGCATTGCTAGTATACCTCTTCCACTTGGAAGGACAAACTGATGTGGAGAGATGAACATCGCGGACTTATTTTCAAGAAGCAATGCAGGAACTGAACAGAAACACTGAAATAATCTACAAACTTTCTGAAAAAGCAGGAAGCTGCAGCCTACACTGTGAGTCAGGTGAAGGGCTGGGAGTCCCCAGCATTTGAGGGAGAACAGCCAAAAATTTCAGCCAGTGGTCCCAAGTTGAAAGTAGCTCTCAACAGGGGTGTGTAATATAACCTAGGGTTGGGACGAACTCCCTTGGCCAGGGCCTGGGTAGGGAAGTGTTAAAAGTGGGCTCTGCAAGTTTAGGAGCCATGGGTGCAGGAGCTGGTGCCCTGCTTTGCAGCAGACAGGAAGGGGCATGGCATGAAACCCATGGCTGCAGTCTCCATGGGGACAGCCTATGACTCCTGGCATTTGCAGGTATTGATCACAGATTGACTGAAACTCATCTCACTGCTGCCAGTGGAACACCACGGGAGTGGATCAGCCTCACCAAGTATGTGGGAACTGTGTGGGGCCTACCACCACCTGCCACTCCCCACCCCCTGCCCAAACTTCTGTGCAGCAGAGGCAGCCATGGTCCCATCTGGAACATCATCCCAGTGGCCTGAGAACCACCCCTGTCCCCCACACCCACAGGGGCTGCTGCTTGCCCTGCATACAGAGACTCAGAGCGGAAACCCACCTGGCCCAACCCTCACCTTGCTTTGTGCAGCCACCTGCCCTGGCAGCTTAACACAAAAGACAGCATCTTTTGGGAGCTACATAGCCACACCCACTGCCTAAGAATCCATAGTAGCCCCCATACCTGGGCAACACAAGGCTTGCAAAAATCCCACCGCTAATAATGCAGCTGGTGCTCTTTTGCAAGCACCACCTCTTAGCTGGAGGCCAACCAACCATGCATTACAGCATCTCCTAGTAGACTAACACTGCATCCTGGAAGGAGAAAATGACTGTGCGATCTCAGTTATCACCATGGCCTGCACCACTTTGGATGACCAGGAGATCCTGAGTCTCTCCATGTGACCAGTTCATTGCTACTATAACCATCATTCAAGAAAGCCAGTACACAAAGGCTATCAATATCCATGGAATTTCACAGAGTCTCCTTCACTCTCCTGCCTGCCACTCCCATCAGACCCGGTTCTGCTGCTCACTGTTGAAAAATATGAGGACAGTTCACATCACTGGATCACTTAGAGACATTTGCCCACACCAGCCTGAAGTGTGTCAACGTCACTGGGCAGCTAGACCTAGAGAAGAAACATAACTCACAGTACCATGGCTCCCAGGTTCTCCTCCTCTTAGGGGAAGGGAGTGCACCACATTGAGGGAACACCTCATGGGACAAGAGAATCTGGATGGCAGGCCTTGGACACCAGATCCCTCCACTGGTGGGAAACTTCTTCTAGCAGAAGTACAGTTGCAGCACTGGGCTCAGCTGGGAAAGTCTTCAGCTCTTTCTCAACAGACAGCCCTGTTGCTTGTGAAGAATCTTGAAGAAGAGGAAGCCTTTCCCCCTTGTACACCACTGTAGGCACACTTGGGGTCTCTCCCACAAGACCTCAGCATGGGTGCAACTATAGACAGCCTTTCTGGAACACATCATTGTGACTGCATCCCCCAGAAACAGCACTTTCTGGATTCAGGCTTGCATGAGACAGAGAGTCACAGTTCCTCTCTATTTGGCACATGAACATTTGTACAGATGAAAAAACATGCCTGTCTTATCTGAATAGCCGGAATACTGGGACAGCAGTATGTCTGAGAGGTGGATAAATTTCCTACTGACTTGACAAGAGAGCTGAGGTGGTTCCAACCCTTCCCACCGATAAGACCTCAGTGGGACTCACTAAAACCTCTTTCAGCCAACTCTGTCAAGGCTGGGACTTAATTTACCCACCTGCTTTAGCCACAACTAGTTTCTACCCAAGGAAAAGTCCTCCACTGATGTGAAGCTTGAGCCATCAAGCAAATAAATAAATCACTGGGGACAAATAAAATAAACATGTGCATGCCACAGAGGAATGAGATAAGGTTTAAGAGACCTCTACCATTCTAACCCCATAGAAGACAGTGAACTTGCTCACAGACCGAGCAGATTTCTACTGCAATCAACACATAGGAAAGCCATCATACAAAGATTCTCCATAACCCCGGAACTCTTACAGAGTCTTCACCCCTCTAAGGACCAAAAACCAAATCAGGTTGTAATTAATTATAAGCATTAAAGTCTCATTCTTAAGGGAAAAAAATCCATTTAAAAACAAACACAAGAAACAGTCAAATCAAACATAAATTCAATAATAATTAGAAAATCTACCAAAATGAGAGGAAATGAGAAAAATAACTGGGGAAAAATGAGAAAACAGGGTGCTGTGCCAGTGCCAAAAGGTCACAAGGTCACACTACCTCTCCAGCAATAAACCATAACAAAAATGGAGTCTTTGAAATATCAGAAAAGAAAATCAGAATGTTGATTGATAAGCTACTCAAGAAGATATCAGAAAAAGGCAAAAATCATAATAAATAAATTTATAAAACTGTTGAGAATAT
Source organism: Homo sapiens (assembly GCF_000001405.40). NCBI lineage: Eukaryota > Metazoa > Chordata > Mammalia > Primates > Hominidae > Homo > Homo sapiens. Next base: position 1,066,030 of record NT_187600.1, on the reverse strand, counting down.
GAATACAAATTTTTACAGAGAGATAGACATCCTAAAGAGAAACCAATCAGAACTCCTGAAAATTTAAAAAAATGCAGGGAATTGGAAAGGGAATTACAAAATGCCATGGAAAGTTTGAAAAATAGACTAGAAAAAAGTAGCAGAAATAACAATAGACTAGAAACAGTACAAAATAAAAGTAGAAGTAAAATATTCGAGGAAAAAGAAAAAGGAAACAGTTAAAGAAAAAAGTAGAAAGACCAGACTATTATTGAAATAACCAAATCAGAGAAAAATAAATTTAAAAAGAGCCAAAAGAAGTGAAAAAAGTCTCCAGGAAATATGGGATTATGTAAAACAAACAAATTTAAGAATAATTGGTGCTCCTGAAGAAGAAAAAATAATAATAAGTTTGGAAAACTTCTCTGAAGGAATAATTGAGAACTACTTCTCTGGCCTGACTAAAGACCTAGATATCCAAATCCAAAAAGTTCAAGGAACTCCTGGGGAATTCATTGCAAAAATACCTTCACCAAGCATACAGTCATCAGGCTACCTAAAGTCTACATGAAGGAAATAATTCTAAGAGCAGTAAAACGAAGAAACCCATCAGAATAATGGCAGACGTCTCAGCAGAAACTTGACAAGCAAGACAGATTAGGGTTCTATTTTCAAACTCCTTAAACAGAAAAACTTTCAACCAAGAATTCTTTTTTATCCCGCCAAACTGTTTTATAAATAAAAAAGAAATAAAGTCATTTTCAGAAAAACAAATGCTGAGGGAATTCATCACTATCAAACCAGCACTACAAGAAATGCTAGAATAAGTTCTAAACCTTGAAACAAAAGGCCAATATGCACAAAAATGGAACCTCTTAAAAATTAAAAACTCACGGGGCCTATAAAACAATAACACAATATCAAAGAATAAACAAAATTAGGTAATGACATGACAAAGAGAATAGCAACTCATATCTAAATATTCACATTGAATGTAAATCATAAAAGGCATGGAAGAAGGAATTTCACAAAAATAGAAACCAGGAGTGAGCAGGACTAGCTATTTTTGATCTCAGACAAAACAGGACTTCAAAGCAAAAACAATTTAAAAAGACATAGATGATCACTATACAATGATAAAAGGATCAATTCAACAAAAAATTACAATTACATATTTATATGCACCAAACACTGGAGGAACTAGATTCATTAAACAAGTACTGCTAGACCTAAAAAACTGAGAGAGTTAGCAAAACAATCATAATGGGAGATTTTAGTACAATCATGACAGTACTAAACAGATCTTCGAGACAAAAAGTCAACAGATAAACAATGCACCTAAATGACTCACTGGAACAAATGGATGCAGCAGATATTTACAGAACATTCTATCCAAGATCTGCAGAATATACATTCTTCTAATCAGCACATGCAACATTCTCCAAGGTAGAGCATATACTAGGCCACAAAACAAGTCTCAATAAATTTTTAAAACAATGAAATCATATCAAGTATCTTCTCAGACCACAGCAGAATAAAACTAAAAATCATCTCGCTAAAGAACTGTCGAAAATGAACAAATACATAGAAATTAAGAAATTTGCTTCTGAATAATATCTGGGTTAACAGTTACATCAAGATGAAAATTTAAAAATTATCTTAATTAAATTATAATAATGAGACAAGTTATTGAAACCTCAAAAATAAAGGAAAAGCAGTGATAAGAGGAAAGTTTATAGTGCCAGCTGCCTGCATCAAAAAGTCTGAAAGAGCACAAATTCACAACCTAATGTCACACCTTGAGAAATTGGAGAAACAAGAACAAACTAAACATAGAGCCAGAAGAAGAAAAGAAATAACAAAGATCAGAGCAGAACTAAATGCAATCCAAACAAAAAAAAGCAATGAAACAAACAGTTGGTTATTTGAAAAAATAAACAAATTCATGGGTCATTAGCTAGATTAACAAAGAAAAGAATATCAAAGATCCAAATAAGCTCAGAAATGAAACGAGACATTACAATCTACACCACTAATATAAAAAATAATTTGAGACTACTAAGTTCACCTTCATGTGCACAATGTAGAAGACTTAGAGGAAATGGAAAAATTTCTAGAAACATACAACACTCCTAGATTAAATAAAAAAGAAACAGTTACTTTGAATAGACAAATAACAAACAGTGAGATTGAATCAGTAATTCAAGAATTGCCAACAATAACAACAATGAAATAGGGCCAGGTGAATTCACAGCTGAATTCTATCAAAAAATTTAAAGAAGAATTGCTGCCAATTTTGCTGCAACTATTTTTTAAATTTAGATAAAAAAGAATCCTCCCTAAATTATTCTATGAAGCTAGTATAACCAAGATACCAAAACCAGGAAAACACACACACACAGACACACACACACTCTACAGATGAATTTCCCTGATAAATATAGATGCAAAAATAGCAAAAAAAAAAATAGCTAGTTGAGTTCAACAGCACATCAAAAAGATAATTCCTCATGATCAAGCGTGTTTCATCTCAGAATTGCAGGGATTATTTGAACATACTCAAGTCAATAAATGTAATACATCACATAAACAGAATTACAAATAAAAACCTTACGATTGTCTCAATAGATGCAGAAAAAGCATTCAACAAAATTCAGCATTTTTTAATGATAAAAACTGTAAATAAATGAGGCATAGAAGAAACCTGCCTCAAACTAATAAAAGTTACATATGAAAAATCCACAGCTAATATCATGCTGAATGTGAAAAAGTTAAAAGCATTTACCCTGAGAACACAAACAATACAAGGATGCCCAAGTTCACCAATTCTATTCAACATAGTTCTGGAAGTTCTAGCCAGAGCAATTAGTCAGGAGAAAAAAAATAAGGGTATCCAAATTTAAAAAGAGAACGTCAGACTATCACTGTTTACAGATCAAGGGATTATATATATTAAAACCCTAGACTCCTCCAAAATACTAATAGTTTTAGTAAATGAATTCAGTTAAGTCTCAGATTACAAAATACATGTACACAAATTAGTAGCACGGCTATATATCAACAACAGCAATGCTGAGAGTTAAATCAAGAACTCCATCCCTTTTACAGAAGCTGCGAAAAGATAGTATATTTACCAATATACTTAACCAAAAGGGTAAAAGATCTCAACAAGGAGAACTACACAACACTGCTGAAAGAAATCATAGATGATACAAACAAATGCAAATGCATCCCCTGATCATGGATTGCAAGAATCGCTATTGTGAAAATGACCATAATGCCTAAAGCAATCTACAGAATCAATGAAATTCTTATTAAAATACCAACATTATTTTCTACAGAATTCAAAAATAATAACGCTGAAATTTATTTGAAACCAAAAAAAAGCCAAAATACCCAAAGAAATCCTAATAAGATAAAGAAAATTGGAGCCATCACATTACTGAACTTCATATTACACCACAAGGCTGCAGTTACCAAAACAACATGGCACTGACATAATAGTAGGCTCATAGACCACTGGAACAAAATAGAGAACCCAGAAATAAAGCCACATATGTAAATCCAACTGATGCTTTGCAAAATGTACCAAATTTTAAATTGAAAAATAGACACCACATTTAACAAATGGTACAAGAAAAACTAGCAAGCCACATGTAAAAGAATAAAACTGGATTTCTATCTGTCACCATATAAAAGACCAACTCAAGATGAATCAGGTACTGAAATATAAGACATTAAACTCAAAAATTCTAGAAAACAATATTGGAAAAACACTTTTAGACATCAGGGTAGGCAAAGAATTTATAACTAAGACCCCAAAAGCAAATGCAGCAAAAACAAAACTAAATTTATGGAACCCATTTAAACTAAAGTGTTTCTTCACAGCACAACTAAGAGTCAATGGAGTAAAAAGACAACTCACAGAACGGGAGAAAATATGTGCAAACTTCACATCTGACAAAAAATTGGTATATTCAGAATCTACAAAATACTAAAACAAGTCGCCAAGAAAAAACAAACGATCCCATTTGAAAGTGGACAAGGGACATAAATAGATAGTTCTCAGAAGAAGATATACAAATGGCCAACAAACATATGAAAAACTGTGTAACATCACTAATCATCAGGAAAATACAAATTAAAACCACAATCTAATAACACCTAATCCTGCAAGAATGGCCACTATAAAAAGTCAAAAAACAAAAGGGAATGCTTATACACTGTTGATGAAAATGTAATTTAGTATAACCACTATGGAAAACACTATTGAGATTTCTTGAAAAGCAGAAAGGTAGATCTACTATTTTTTTTTTCTTTTTTGAGATGGAGTCTCTCTCAGTCACCCAGGCTGGAGTGCAGTGGTGCAATCTCATCTCATTGCAACCTCCGCCTCCCGTGTCAAGTGATGCTCCCACCTCAGCCTCCAGAGTATCTGGGATTACAGGCACCCACCATCATGCCTGGCTAATTGTTTTTTGAATTTTTGTAGAGAAGGGGTTTCCCCATGTTGGCCAGGCTGGTCTCCAACTCCTGACCTCAGCTGATCCTCCCCGCTCGGCAGCCCAAATTACTGAAATTACAGGCGTGCAGCATCACACCTGGCCAGATCTACTGTTTGATCCAGCAATCTCATTACTGGAGAGCTACCCAAAGGAAATAAAGTCATTATATGAAAAAGACGTGTATATGTATGTTTATAGCAGCAGAATTCAAAATTGAAAATATGTGAAACCAATTTAAATGCCCATTGGCCAATGAGTTCAGAAAGAAAATGTGACATCGCCTGTAATCCCAGCATTTCGGGAGGCCGAAGAGGGCGGATCACGAGCTCAGGAGATCGACACCATCCTGGCCAACATGGTGAAATCCCGTCTCTACTAAAAATACAAAAAATTTGCCGGACCTGTTGGCGTGCACCTGGAGTCCCAGCTACTCGGGAGGCTGAGGCAGGAGAATTGCTTGAACCCGGGAGGCAGAGGCTGCAGTGAACCGAGATTGCAGCACTGCACTCCAGCCTGGGTGACAGAGCAAGACTCTGCCTCAAAAAAAAAAAAAAAAAAGAAAAGAAAAGAAAAGAAAAAGAAAATTTGACATATATACATCATGGAATACTACCAAGCCGTTAAAGGGAATGGCATAATGTCCTTTGCAGCAACTTGGATGAAGCTGGAGGTAATGAGTATAAGTGAAGTTACACAGGAGTAGAAAAGCAAAAACTGTGTTTGCACACTTACAAGTGGGAGATGGGCTATGAACTGGCAAAGGCATACAGAGTGATATAAGGGACTTTGGAGACTCAGAAGGGAAAGAATAGGATGGATACTAGAGAGAAAATAACTACACTTTAGGTAGAGTGTACACTATTCAGGTGATGAATGTACTAAAATCTCAGAATTTATTGCTATATAATTCCTCCATCTAACAAAAAAATATTTACCCCCAAAGCTATTGAAATTAAACAAAAATCAACCTACAAAAATAAGCATCTTCTGTATACACTAAAAAATGATTATTCAAAATTAAAATCAAGAAAATAAATCTAAATACAACAGCTTAAAATTCATAAAATAAATTTTACCAAAATAAATTTAACAAGGATACAAAATATCTGCACATTGAAAATTATAATATATTGATTAAAATGTAAGAAAACACAAATAAATGGAAGGCTATCTTGTGTTCTTGTGTTACTGGAACATACATTGTTAATATGTCCATCCTAACCTAAGCATTTACAGATTCAATGCAATCCCATTCAAAATTTCAAAGATATGCATTTACATAAATTGAAAAAAAAAACCTCTCTCATTTGAATGGCTGGGGTGATTGACCCGGACTATCAATTTGAAATCAGACTACTACTCCACAATGGAGGTGAGACAGAGTATGTCTGGAATACAGGAGATTTCTTAGGACATCTCTTAGTATTACTTTGCCATGGGATTAAGATCAATGGGAAAAAACAACCTAATTCAGGCAGGAATACAAATGGCCCAGATACTTCAGAAATAAAAGTTTGGGTCTTCACCCAGATTAAAAATCCTGACCAGCCAAGGTACTTGCTGAAGGCAAAACAAATACAGAATGGGTAGTGGAAGAAGGTAGTTGTCAATACCAGGAATGACCACACGACCAGAAGTGGGGACCGTAATTGTCGTGAGTATCTCCTTAAGCTGATAAGCAACTTCAGCAAAGTCTCAGGATATTTTCTCCATATCTTGTTAGGAATATATTTCTGCATGTGTATAACTGTACTAAGAAAATATCTTCATTGTGCCGGACACGGTGGCTCACACCTGTAATCCCAGCAATTTAGGAAGCCAAGGTGGGTGGATTACCTGAGGTCTAGAGGTCGAGACCAGCTTGACCAGTATGGTGAAACCCCGTCTCTACCAAAAATACAAAAATTAGCCTGGCATGGTGGCAGGTGCCTGTAATCCCAGGCTTCTCAGAAGGCTGAGACAGGAGAATAGCTTGAACCCTGAACCCGCGAGGCAGAGGTGGCAGTGAGCCAAGATTGCACCACTGCACTCCAGCCTGGGCAACAGACTGAGACTCCATCTAAAAAACAAACAAACAAACAAAAATATATTAATTGTTTTCATTGAATTTGTTTTCTTTTTATCATGTGTCACAAGATTTATTGACTTCCTAACAGCATTTAAATGTTGTTAACTATATGTAGTGGTATGTATGTAGGTTAAGGATTAGTGCACTTTCAGTTGTATGAAGGATAGCTGTATTATGTTAGGCATAATTATGACCTTATTATTGTCTTTATTTGGAGATCAAGCATGATTGCAGCTAGATGTGTAGGGGTGCTAAGTTGACAAGAGGTGGGCTTTTGATGCTTGATACTAGGTGTCAACTTGATTGGATTAAAGGATGCCTACATGGCTGGGAAAGTATTGTTTCTTGGTGTGTCTCTGGGGGTTTTGCCAGAGGAGGCTGACATTTGAGTCAATGGACTGGAAATTTGAGTTTGTCATGTTGCATGATCCTTTTAAAGTCTTATAGAACTTAGTTGACTATTATTTTGGTGTAGTTCATTTGTATAAATATTTCTTTGAAGTTTAATTTTCTTCCTTTGTGTTTGTCTGTCACTGGCAACACGGTAATTGTAGCCTTTTAGAAATAGCTTAGAAGGTTGGCGACTCATCATTTTTTAAAAAAGTTAGAGAACAGTTGGCATGACTTTTTTAAATTCTGAGAGCCATTTTTTATCTAACATATAGGCTATCATGAAGAATATTTATAGTGTGCTTGAGAAGCATGCGTATTACACTGCGCTTGGTTGGAATGTTCTGTAGATGTCTATTAGGTCAGTTTGTTCAATAGTGTTGTTTAAGTCCATGGGCTTCCTAAGAATTTTTTTATGGATGTTCTATACATTATTGAGGGTGAGGTGTTGAAGTCTCCTCCTTTCTTATTGTTTTCTATTTCTCACTTCATATCTCTTAAACTCTTGTTAATGCGGTTATATTTCTATTTTTATAACTATGTAAAATAGAAATAAAATAATAATTGCTTAGTAATTTTAATGGGAAAATCACATAATAAGAAATTATATTTTCCCAAATGCTGCCATCACCACTAAACTCCTCCAGGAGTCTCACATCTGCTCTGGGCTCTGCTCTCTCCTAAGGGGTCCCACATCAGAGTTTGCTACAGAGGAGGAGACAAGAAAATAGGGCCCTCCCTCTCCTGATGAAAACCAGCCCTGCCCTGACCCTGCAACTCTGGGAGAAGATCTCTAGTCCAGAATTACCAGGAGTTTGGATTTGATGATCAGCTCTGTACAAACATGGCTCACCATAGAGTTAGGGCTGAGCTGGGTTTCCCTTGTCATTATTTTAAAAGGCGAATAATGGAGAACTTGAGATATGGAGTGTGAGTGGATATGAGTGAAAAAACAGTGATTCTGTGTGGCAGGTTCTGACTCAGATGTCTCTGTGCTTGTAGGTGTCTAGTGTGGGGTGCAGATGGTGGAGTCTTGGGGAGAGTTGGCACAAGCTGAATGTGCCTGAGACTCTGCCGTGCATCCTCTGAATCCACCTTCTGTAGCTACTAGATCAGCTGAATCTGCCAGGCTCCAGGAAAGGGGCTGCAGTGAGTAGTAGATATAATGTACGATGGAAGTCAGACATAATATGCAGACTCTGTGAAGGTCAGATTCACCATCTCCAAAGACAATGCCAAGCACAGGTTGTATCTGCAAATGAACAGTCTGAGAGCTGAGAATATGGCTCTGTATTATTGAGTCAAAGGTACCAAATGAAGGGACATCAGTGTGAACCCAGACACAAAATTTCCTGCAGGGAGGAGGGAGGAGGCTGGGCTGCAGTGGGCACTCAGCACACACAAAAGGCAGGGACAGTTCCAGGGGCAGGTACAGGTGCAGGTGAAGGCAAAGGTCTACTTTCCTTCCAGATCTGTGGATTCCTCTGCATCCAACAGTTCGCCTGGGCCTCTGTCTTTATGGATCTGCGCCTACCACTGATGTCTCTGGGTTAGTAAAGTTTGCTACTATAGGAGGAAACATTGTCATTTGTCAGAAAGGCGAATAATGGAGAACAAAAGATATTGAGTGTGAGTGGATATGAGTGAAAAAACAGTGATTATGTGTGGCAGGTTCTGACCAAAATGTCTCTGTGTTTGTAAGTGTCTAGTGTGAGGTGCAGGTGGTGGAGTGTAGGGGAGAGGCAAGAGGCAGAAAAGCGCGCAGGAGGCCGGGTGAGGCTGTAGACATTGTCAGCTCACTATGCCAATCTCACAACAGTGCTGGAGAAGGTGGGAGTCTGATGGAGCTTCCCAACAACCCTGTGGTCTAAGCTAAGTCCATCAAGGCCGCTGGTTCCTCCTGGAACACAGCTGTCCATCAGGAATCCCCCATGTGCCCAGCAGCAGCCACGCGTTAGCATCTTCACTGTGCACAGTCATTGTTTGGGAGGAGCTCCAGGATGGGTCTCTTTGTCAAAAACCGGGTGATGGTGTCAGAGAGCTGTGCCGGGTGCCTGGTCCAGGGGCTCCCTGACGTTGGAGGTATAGGAGGTGCGTTCTCAGGGTGGGAACACCTTTTATGGAAATGTACAGAAGAAAACATGATTTTCCTTGGTCCTCTCAGATGACATGGAGAAGCAAGCGCGCAGCTTGCAAACAATTGTAATGTCCTTGTAATTTCCTACTTTATCCCAAGTTCATTGATTCTTGTAAACCTTGGTTTCTGTCCAAGTACAGAGATATTGATTAGAGTGAGTTTGGTTCTTTCCACACACTAACCCTCACCTCCCCCAGATAAAGAGCACATTGTCCTTACTCTGAGTCTGAGGGAGGAGCTGTTCCTGTACAACTAAGGGCCTGCAGAGACCCCCGTGTACAGCTTTGCAGAGTCAGATCTTTCCACATGTGAGGCGACCTCCACGGCCCATGATTGCTGCTCAGGTCTAATTGTGGATTCAGGATTAGGACATCCTTTAGGCTATCACAGGTCAATCAGATTCTGAAAAATCACTGTTATCATAGACAGAGGTAATAATTCAATACCCACTCCCCTGACAGCAGATTCTCTTTCTTATTTGGTTGAAAGTTTGAAGAAAATAAGTGACCATTTATTATTCTTATTCTAACTTTAGTATCCACTATTTGTTCTAGGGGATTCACAAATTTCAAAACACTGAGCTCTTCATTCTCATGAAAATGTGCATATTTGTGAATTTCAACGTGTTGTTCAGAACCTGTGCATGCCGACATCTGTATTTCTCGTGCGTTCTTGGCCTGGCGAAGCCCTCACAGACCCTCTCCCTCATCTGTGCTGTCTCTGCTTCTCCATCACAACCAGTGCTTCCTGCTGGAGCTGGATCCCTCAGCTCCCCAGGGAAGGGACTGGAGTGAATCAGGTGCACAGGTCATGAGGGAGAACACAACGCAACCCACGCCTCAAGAGTCCAGTCACCATCTCCAGATCCACATCCAAAACACAGTTTCTTCTACAGCTGAGCTACCTGAGCAACGAGTACACAACCATGAATTTTTACACAAAAGATACAGCAAGGGGAAGTCATTGTGAGCCCAGAAACAAACCTCCCTGCAGGGAAGCTCAGGAACTGCGGGAGGCCCTCGGGACACCAGGGGGCGCTCAGGACACACATCAAGGCAGGTGCAAGAGGAAAAGGTGCTGGAGATGGGGTTTGGCATCATCATCATATTTCACTGACACCCGCCACTGTGTTTATTCTCATGTACGTGATTCTTTGTATTATTAGAAAATGGCGTTTATGTAAATAAATAACCATATGTAGGTGCATCAAGTCGTCCTCTCCCTTTTTTTTTTTTTTTTTTTTTTTTGAGTCCTGCTCTGTCACCCAGGCTGGAGTGCAGTGGCGCGATCTCGGCTCACTCCAACCTCCGCCTCCCGAGTTCAAGCGATTCTCCTGACTCAGCCTCCCGAGTAGCTGGAATTACAGGTGTGCACCACCGCGCCTGGCTAAGTTTTGTATTTTTAGTAGAGACCGGATTTCGCCATATTGGCCAGGCTGGCCTCAAACTCATGATCTCAGTTGATCCGCCCGCCTTGGCCTCCCACAGTGCTGGGATTACAGGTGTGAGCCACCGCGCCCGGCCCGTCCTCTCCATCTTATGTGGAACTTTTCCATTAAGACTCTGAGTCCCTGGATTTATTTGAGAACCTCATAAATCATGGTCAATTATGTCTCTTTCTCCTCTTTCTCCCTTCTTCACTCCTCTCTAGCTCACAAACTGAAACACACACAGAATTTTCTAACTTCAATTACCTGATGTGTTGAAGACAATTGATTAAAGCGCAGCTTTTCCAGTTCAGCCACTGTTCATATTGTTGTAAGAATAAGAACGTTGTGTTTCTCAGCTGCGTGCTTCTCTAAGATGAGTAGCAGCTTTTTTTTAATAATACCCAGAGGCTGAAAGCAATCTGAATACCAATCATCAGCTTAATCAGTAAACACAAGGTGGTAAATTCGCTCACTGGAAAAACACCGACTGTTACAATCAGGTAAGGCTGGATACTCTCAACAGCAAGTGTAAATTCACAAGTATATATGCTTATTAAAATAAGACAAACAAATACAAGTACATACATACTGTTCCACTTTTACAAATTCTATAAAATGAATGCTAATCTAAAGTTACATAAAGAAAACCAGTAGTTGACTCTGGACCTGGTGTGAGGAGGGAAGGGTTAGGAACCAGAAATTGTAGGAAATGAAGAAGAAATGCTGACGGTAGTGGAGTTTTTTCTATGTTGATGAAGGTAATAGTTATGTCACTATTAATCAAATCGTACACATTGTGGGATGCCTATTATTTGTGAATTTCACCCTATTAAAATATTACAAGTTAAAACAAGTATAATTTTGTAGAAAATTAGTTAGACATAGATGAATAAAATGTATGATAAATAAAAAAAGAAAATCACAGAACAATAGCATAAGGACTTCACTCATCAAACTGAAGAAATTTTAAATTTCTCAACACAGAATTAAAGATTTAATTAGATATACATAAGAAATCAAAGACTCCCGGATATACACACGAATAAACCCTAAGTCCACCTGTATTTTTAGGGAAACGCTAGAATACAAGAAAATAATGTCATGATTTCATTACATAATGGGGGTTAATGAAACCACATCAGGCATGTCCAGCTGTGTCCTGGGGTTGGTTCAGGGAACGGGTGTGTCCTGTGGTTAGGAGACGTGGCAACAAGCTCACAGCATCAGTTCTAGCTGACACCATAAAAAGGCCAAGAGATCACAATTAAAATGTCATGTGGATGTCACATCTGTGGGTGCCACACACTCCCCCATGTGAATACGGAAAGGTTAATTACACTCTTCAGGTGTCTGCTGAGAGTACAGCTGGTCTCTCAGGAATGTCCAAAATGGCTCGATAGAGCAAGAAAGGAGACTGGCTCAGGGTTCCTGTAGTGGCTTGGTGGTGTGGGCAGAGTGAGGGTTCTCACTCAAGAAAGGAGTTTGTGGCGTTTGAACATCTACATGGCTTCAAATAGGGTAACTCCTGTGATTCCTAACTAGATTCACCTCGTGTGGGAAAGAAAGGAGATGATGAAGGAATGAGCCTTAAGCTATCAGCAGTCAGATATCAAAACAATAGTCTGATGACTTATTCTATGTAGCACCTATAAAAATCGTTCTGGTCACGGTGGCCTAAGTCTGTCATCCCAGCATTTGGGGAGGCTGAGGCAGGTGGATCATGAGGTCAGGAGTTCAAGACCAGCCTGGCCAATATGGTGAAACCCCGTCTCTACTAAAAATATTTAAAAAAAAAATAGTTGGGTTGTGGTGGTGGGCGCCTGTAATCCCAGCTACTCAGGAGGCTGAGGCAGGAGAATAGCTTAATCCCAGGGGGCGTAGGTTGTAGTGAGCTGAGATCACACCACTGCACTGCAGCCTGGGTGACAGAGCAAGACTCCATCTCAAAAAAAAAAAAAAGAGTAAAAAAATATCAGCCCAAGATGGGTGGACAACAACCAGGCCTACAAAAAAGGAGAAGACTGCTTATAAGAATAAGCAAATCATAATGAAAATTAGGAGGAAAACAAGGAGAGTGAGGTGAAAGGCATGGGGCAGGGGATTAGACAAGGGTCCTGTTCCAATGTCTTGTGTGGAGACTTTTCACTATCTAAAATCATCCACCTATTCTGAATGTCTTAGGTGAACTGTCTGCTCCAAAACATCAGAACCACCAGAGGATTTTTGAGGATACTCAGTTTAATATCTTATATTTGAGGTGCCTTACAACTGTGTAAAATGCTTAGTTATTATCAGTATAATTAGAGATAGGGCCTCACTGTGTCACACAGGTTGGAGTGCAGTGGCACAATCATAGCTCACTGTTACCCTGAACTTCTGGCTCACATAATCCTTCTGTCTCAGCCTCCTGAGTAGCATGGACTAGAGAGGTGCACCACCACACACAGCTGATTTAAAAAAAATTGTTTCATAGAAATGGGGTCTCTCTATGTTGCCCAGGCTGGTCTTGAACTCCTGGTCTCACGTGATTCCCCTGGTTTTGTTTCTAAAAATGGTGGAATTAAAGGCATGAGCCACCATGTCTGCTCAGAAATGATTATTTGGTTGCAAAATATTAACCCAAGAATTGACTCCCTGAATTTTCTCTGCAGCGTTTTGGTTAATAATGTCTGATAAGATTTATTTCAATAGTTTCAACAGCAGAGTGTTCTCCTGATGTTTCTTCCAATAGTGATAATTTCATGGTTGAAGATCACAAAATACTATTAAAAGATGACATAAAAAGGCAACCTTAAACTTTTGGTGATGGAGTGAGTATAATACAAAAATTACGTTCAATATTGTGTAACACACGCCTGCAGTAGGAGGAAGGTGAGCAATGAGGGTAAAATTTCTAAATGTATGAATCTTCCAGCTCCCAAGTCACAGGGCAGTAACTGATGAGTCCTGAGAGAGGGAACGTAATGCCGTAGTGCTTGTGGGATAACTCTTGGCCAAGAGAGTTTCCATATTTTATTAAAGTGGTTATAATTTTTAAATTTAAAGATGCCATTTTTTCAACATATCCAGAATATTGTGAGTGGGATTGATTCTGTATGATACGAACAATGGCAATGCCTTCTGTTTGGATAATATTACAAACCAGGTTAAGACTGAGTGTTTGGTGTAATGATGCACCAGAACATTATTCTAGCTTCCATACTAGATTTTGTTTTTCTCTTTGTTTGCATTAGTTTCAAATTTATATGTAAGGTCTCTAGAATGTAGGAGTTTATTTGAAAGTGTCTTTTCTTGTTGGCCATTTTGATGGGGCTTCCAGGAGATTTAAAAACCTCCTCTGCCTGCAGCACAGTTTAAAATTCTGCACTACAGTAGAACATCTGTATTTAATCCTGGTCTTTGGTTAATTGACAAGCTCTAGTAAGTGCAATAACTTCTGCCTTCTGGGCTGATTTTATATCAGGTAGAGGAATATATCCTAAATGAAAATTTGCACTAGTAATATATATTATTAATTAATAACCACTACTTTTATTATTTAAGTGTTATTAATCAAGAACTAATGTTAAATCAAGGGTCTCAATGGGAATATTACCTAAGGGATACACAAGATATTTTGCTAATCTAGATAAAATAGATGTGAACACTCTCGTAGTATCCAGCCATGTCTCCTGTCTGTCACTTTGTTAACCACACAGTAAATTCACTTGGCACTTGTTCTAATTATCTAATTAGTCACTTACTTATCTCAAAGCCTCCGGATTATTATGTGTGACTATTTCAGCAGAGAGTGAAGAAAGACAACCCAGGCTGACCAAACAATGAGGAAAATCACAACCTGATGAAACAGGAAGCCTGGATGTGAGTGGCTCCAGGATTGAATAATTTGACAGCTCATGTGCCCAGGCTGTTTCTTGTCTCAATTTTCCACACTGATACATCCAGAAAGGCAGCTTCACCCCCCAGGGGACTCCTATCATGCTGTGACATGGTGACAACATTCCCAAGGCTCACACACATATGTTAAATATTGGCTGGAAAAGGGGCAGAGACATTTCTGGAATTCTCTTCTGAAGGACCATGAATGCCTCAACCAACCATCTCCCCTGCCTCCATGACCAGAAATGCACCACGTGCCCACACGGATATTCATCCCTGATGGGGATAAGACTCCATTGATGAGGCTGACTATTTTATCATATAAAATTACTAAAGACTGATTTCAGGGTTTCAAAAACTAATTGAACTCTGTTGTTCTATGTCCACCAGAGATTACAAATCTTCCAATGATGCCTTCTTTGTTTTTTGTCTGCTTGACTTTGTCTCTTCAACTTGTTCTGTACCCCAGAGAATCTCTTTCAGCTCCCTCAGGTGCATTCAATTGTTTTATTTAACTGACAATTTCTAAATCGGTTAAAGACATTAGGCTAAAGACTCCATATTCCTAGGTCCATATTCCTTTTTCCATATTCCTAGGAAGGCATTGTGACCCAGAGTCTGGGCATGACCTTGTGAGTGTTCCTGACCCTCCTCCATATGAGATGCTGGTCTGGGTGTTCTTGCCCCTTTCCCTGGGGTAGAGTCCTCCTGTTTTCCCCAGGTGCTCCCTCCCACAGCTCTAGTGTTCTCAGTCAGTGTCATCACCTTCCAGATCTTCTGCCCTGCCCTGCAGACTAAGGCTCTGATTCCATAAGCAAGATAGGGGAGCTGCTCCTCAATAGATCTTTGGTGAGGATCTCTGTTCCCATCTCAATTCCTGTAGGGTTGAACCAGTGTTCCTAGGATTCTGGTTTCAGTAGCTTGTCCCTGCAGAGTAAATTCTTAGTTCTGTAGGGGGATTAAGGGAGTTGGGTCTGAATACATTTTAGATGTCGAGGATCTTGTTCTCTCCCAGAAAGACACTTCGGGAAAGTAAGACTTTAGTAACTGTCCCCTTTCTTGGGGAAAGGGATTCAAGAGGATAGGTTGCTTTTGGGCATGTGGTCCCTTAAAATTTCACACTAAAAAGCGTTTCCCACACTCAATTTCAAGCAGCCCAATATATATTTGTATTTTTTCTTGGAACAGACAATATTTTATATTCCAGACTCTGCCTTAGGTAATTTCAAACCCTGGCTTTGTTACTCTCTACAAGAAATTGCTTCTCCATAAGCTTCAGATTTGTTGTGTGTTTTGAAATTTTATCAGAAATATTAAAGAAAATTGGCAAAATTCCATCCTCCATGTTTATCTGTTATTGTTGATGCAGTTGTAAAAAATAAGAAAAATACATTCCTTTTTTCTGTACATTTCCAAGCTTAGTAGCAAATTTTTAGTAACACCCAGAATAATAAAAAATTCAAATATTGTTTAGCTGCTTAATAGGAAAACAAATTATAGTAAATTTGTTTGCTAGAATGCTACCCAGCATTTATAATAAGTAAACATTTGATATACCCAACTACAAGGTAAAATATCCATTTATGCTAACTAAAATAAGCCAAACAAATGAGAATGTATACTATGTTATTTCATTTTTATAAATTCTGAAAAATTAAAATGAATTTGCAGCAATGTAAAGATCAGTAGTTGCCAGGGAAATGGTAGAAGAAAGAAAGGAAAAGGAGAAAGAATACAGAAGAACAAAAGGAAATGTTAAGAATTCTCTTGTCCAACTTGATAAGGATGACGGTTACATCATTTTTATCAACTGTAATCTTTAAATATGTGAAAGTTTATTATCTGTAAACTA
This sequence comes from Homo sapiens, assembly GCF_000001405.40. NCBI lineage: Eukaryota > Metazoa > Chordata > Mammalia > Primates > Hominidae > Homo > Homo sapiens. The sequence goes on along the minus strand of NT_187600.1, from coordinate 1,049,791 downwards.
AACTTATAAACTTTATTACAAGCAAAAATTGAAAGTTAGACAAGAAGGAGTGATAGAAAGAGAAAATGTATATTAAATTTCAGAAATATTTAAGAATGTATCTGCCTGAACCCTAGTTCTCACCATATCTTTAGGTGAATGCTAAAATGCAGCAAAATCACGCATGTTCTCACTACAGAAAGTGGGTTCTACAAACCACACTCGGCACATTTAGCTTTGTCCTGGAGTTGGTTCAGGGAGTTATTGGGGCCAGTGATGAGGAGCACAGGCCAAGATACCAGCGATCACTTATCCCAAACATGAGCTCTAACATACACACTTAGTCCCTTTTCCGTGTGTGGTTTACTTCCACATCTGTACATGGAGAGACCACTGACTGACAAAATATAATTTATACAAATATGTAAAATTAAATAGGGTGATCAGTTCAAGGTGTTTATCACAGCATAATTTTACAATAAGACAGCATATTTCCCAAATACCATCATTGTCACCAAACTCCTTCAAGGCACAGTCATCTTATCTGGGCCCCGTCCTCTCCTCAGGTGTCCCACCCCAGAGCTTGGTATATAGTAGGAGACATGCAAATAAGGCCCTCCCTCTGCTGATGAAAATGAGCCCAGCCCTGACCCTGCAGCTCTGGGAGAGGAGCCCCAGCCGTGAGATTCCCAGGAGTTTCCACTTGGTGATCAGCACTGAACACAGACCACCAACCATGGAGTTTGGGCTTAGCTGGGTTTTCCTTGTTGCTATTTTAAAAGGTAATTCATGGTGTACTAGAGATACTGAGTGTGAGGGGACATGAGTGGTAGAAACAGTGGATATGTGTGGCAGTTTCTGACCTTGGTGTTTCTGTGTTTGCAGGTGTCCAATGTGAGGTGCAGCTGGTGGAGTCTGGGGGAGGCTTGGTACAGCCAGGGCGGTCCCTGAGACTCTCCTGTACAGCTTCTGGATTCACCTTTGGTGATTATGCTATGAGCTGGGTCCGCCAGGCTCCAGGGAAGGGGCTGGAGTGGGTAGGTTTCATTAGAAGCAAAGCTTATGGTGGGACAACAGAATACGCCGCGTCTGTGAAAGGCAGATTCACCATCTCAAGAGATGATTCCAAAAGCATCGCCTATCTGCAAATGAACAGCCTGAAAACCGAGGACACAGCCGTGTATTACTGTACTAGAGACACAGTGAGGGGAGGTCAGTGTGAGCCCAGACACAAACCTCCCTGCAGGGGCGCACAGAGCCACCAGGGGGCGCTAGGGACCGACTGAGTACGGGACAGGTCCCAGGAGCAGGTGCAGGGGGAGGTTTCCTTTTTCCTTGGCTGGAAAAGTCACCTTTATCTTCCCAGGACTCGAGCCTTCTAGGCTGTGATATTTTATTACTTGTATTTACTGTTCATTTATTATCATTAGTTTTTAAATTTTGGTAATTTTTACAACTCTATGGATATATTTTTAAGTGTATACTTTCAAGAAATAAACATTCCTAATTATTTGCACTGATTCTCCCAGAGTTTTATTAACATTTGTTGACATCAGCAACTACATAGCTATAGGGACAAACACTTTTAACGATAGACAGTTGTTTAGGCCTGAAACCCCGTTTATACTAAAAATTTACAAAAATTAGCCTGGCGTGGTGAGGGGCGCCTGTAATCCCAGCTACTCGGGAGGCTGAGCAAGGAGAATTGCTTGAATCCGGGAAGCGGAAGTCACAGTGAGTGGAGTGGACTGCCACTACACTCCAGCCTGGCGACAGAGCGAGACTTTGTATGAAAGAAAGAAAAGAAAAGGAAGAAAGGAAGAAAGGAAGGAAGGAAGGAAGGAAGGAAGGAAGGAAGGAAGGAAGGAAGGAAGGAAAAGAGAGAAAGAAAGAGAGAGGAAGGAAGGAAGGAAGGAAGGAAGGAAGGAAGGAAAAGAGAGAAAGAAAGAGAGAGGAAGGAAGGAAGGAAGAAAGGAAGGAAGGAAGAAAAGAAGGAAAGAAAGAAAAAAGATATATAAACACGCAGACCTATGCATATAACCATAGGGATTTATATTAAACATTACAATAAAATAATTCTAAAAATGTGTCCTAAGGAATCAAACATAATGATGAAGTAAATATAAATGTTAGAGTAATTTATAATTGATTTGTTATTTTTAATCGTTTACTTGAATTTATTTCTATTTGTTCATTTAAAAGTAGTATATTGGTCATTTCAAGAGAGCTAACAGTAAATTTCAGATGTTGTTGTTACGATATATGATAAGAATTTGAGGTGGTGAATGATAATTATCTTATTTCTCAATTATCTTAGTTATTCCATATTGTATTCACAAATCATAACATTGCTTCTTACCTTATAAATATAAACAACCATAATTTGTGAAATTACAATAATTTTCTTTATTTTAATTTTTTAATTTATCCCAGATCATTATCTTTTTCTTCGCTTCCAGATCTCACTGGATCATCTCGAGGGCCCATCCTCACCCCTGTCTCCCGAAGACTTCTGGAGAGGCTGCAGGACGGGCAGAAGGAGGAGCCCCGTGTGAGTCCACACGACCTGGAGCCTCCCTCTCCTTGGATTAGGCCATCTCCTCGGGATCACAGGGCTCTTCATTATCCTTACCCCGCTGTTGTACCAAACAAGCAACATCACACTTCAATTCATCAGGGTTTGCTTTAATTTTCTAAATCATCGTGAAGGTGATAATTTTAACAGTAACGTATCACAACCAAATAGGATAAGCCCTTTTCCATGGAACAGGGTTTCTTATCAGGATATACATGTATTATGGATTCTCAATTTATTTGTAGATGAGATGCTATTATCTCCATATTGTAGATGATTCTGCTAAGTCATCTCTTAAAATTAATTTTTCCAAAGACTCAAACAAATAAATGATATAATTACAAATTTCAGGTGTAATAGCTGAGCCAACATTGAGATTATATTAACATTTAGAACATGAACTTGCAAATATTGTTATTTTCCTGTCAGCTGTCCCCAATTGTGATTTTATACAGAATATTAGAAATTTATCCTGATAAATCAGGTTAAAATATTATATCACTAGTTTATTAACTTTTATAACTAATAATATAAAATGTTCCACATATTTTTTAGCCATGTTTTACTTACCCGTGATATGTGTATTTATTAATTTTTCATTTTAAGATGCCACCTTTATCTTTCTTATTTCTGGGATTTTATTCTAGTAGATAGAGCTGAATGCATTTTAATAATTATCATAATAATCACATTTACATTTTGCATTTTAATTTTCATATACATTTTATTAATATTTTAATTTCAATATAAAATATTTTCCTACAAATGTCAATTTTTGATTTTTATGAGATAAAATTAACCTATACAAAATACATATATTTTCAATGTACAGTTTGAGGGTTTCTGGCAAATGTGCACACATTTGTCTCCAGCATCTAAGTTATGATGAGGAGCAGGTCCATCTCCACAACAAGTGTCCTCTTCGGTGCTTCCAGTCAGCTCTCACATAAGGAATTTTTTTTCAAATTTAATATAGATACAGAGGGTAAATGTTTGGATTTGTCACGGGGGATTATTGAGTGATGCTGAGGTTTGGAATACAGATTCCACCATCCTCTCCCTCCACTCTCCAGCAGTCCACAGTGTCTATCATTCTCATAATTATGTCCATGTGTGCTCAATGCTGAGGTCTTACTTAGGAGAATATGTGGTATTCAGTTTTCTGCTCCTACATTAATTTGTTTAGGATTAAGGGCCCCAGCTTCTTTCATTTTACTGCAAAGGACATGATTTCATTCTTTTTCATGGCTGTGTAGTATTATACATTGTAGATGTACCGCATTTTGTATATTCAGTCTACCAATGATGTGCATCTGGTTTGATCTATGTCGTTGCCACTGTGAATAGCACAGCAATGAACATAGATGTGTATGTGTCTTTTTGGTAGAATTATTTGCTTACTTTTCAGTGTATACCCCGTGGTGGGACTGCTGCGTAAAATGATATCTCTGTTTTAAGTTCTTTGAGAAATCTCCAGTCTGATTTCCAAAATGGAAACACCAATTTATATTCCCCTCATCAGTGTATGTGTTCTCTTTTCTCCACAGTCCCAGCAGCATCCATTGTTTTTTGACTTTTTAGTGATAACCATTCTGAGTGGTGCATGGCTGCACACCTACAGTCATCTCATCTTTGATAAGGCTGATGAAAACAAGCAATGAGGAAGGGACTCCCTGTTCAATAAATGGTGCTGGGACAACTGGCTAGGCATATGATGAAGATTGAAGCTGGATATCTACTTTCAACATGTATAAAATTAACACAAAATTCATTAAAGTTTTAAATGTAAGACCTCAAACCATAAAAATCCTTGAAGACAACCTAGGAAATACTCTTCTTGACATCAGGTTTGACAAAAAAATGTTGGCTGAGTATCCAAAACCAATTGCAACAAAAAGAAAAATAGACAAGTGGGGCCTAATTAACTGAGGAGCTCCTGCTCAGCAAAACAAACAAAGAAGCAAACAAAACTAACAGCACAGTACTCAGACAACCTACAGAATGTGGAAAGATATTCACAAACGTTCCATCCAACAAAGCCGTAATATCCAGAATCTATAGGGAAATTAAACAAATCAAGAAGCAAAAAATAATAATAATAATAACCCCATTAAAAATGGGCTGATACGGTTTGCTGTGTCCCCACCCAAATATCAACTTGAATTGTATCTCCCAGAATTCCCATGTGTTGTGAGACGGACCCAGGGGGAGGTAATTGAACCATGGGGGCCTGTCTTTCCCGTGCTATTCTCTTGGTAGTGAATAAGTCTCACCAGATCTAATGAGACTTATCAGGGGTTTATCTGATGGGTTTATCAGGGGTTTCCGCTTTTGCTTCTTCCTCTTTTTCTCTTGCCATCACCAGGTAAGGAGTGCCTTTTACCTGCCACCGTGTTTTGGAGGCCTTCACAGCCATGTGGAACTGTAATTCCAATTAAACCTCTTTTTGTTCCCAGTTTTGGGTGTGTCTTTGTTAGCAGTTTGAAAATGGACTAATGCGTGGGCAAATGACACAGACACTTCTCAAAGGAATACATACAAGTGACCAGCAAATATATTTTTAAAATGTTTAACATCACTAATCATCAGAGAAATGTAAATAGAAAAATGTTCTGATTTCTGTCACTATAGGTCCATTTTCTTGTTTTGAATTTCATATACATGGAATAAAATATTATAGCTCATTTTTGTAAGAAGCTTTTACTATCTGTGAGGTTCATTCATGTGATAGCATCTATCAAGGTTTTGTCAACATATGTATAAATATGTATGTACTCATACACATATAGATATTTCATATCTGAATCAGTCCATTGCATTAATAAATGACAGATTATTAAATAAATCAGTTCATTAAGGGAATAAGTGACAATATGTATATCTATTTTCCTGTTGATGGAATTTAAATTTGTTTCCAATATAAATATCATAAACAAAACTGTCATACATATCTTTGTACAAGTTCTTCTGTTTATATTCACACATTTTTATTGATAAAATATGTTGAAATATAAGTATGCATTATACCTTTTCAGCTTTATGGAGCTATCACTGACAAATAAAATTTTCTGTATTTAAGGTACACCAATTGATGTATTGATATTCTTGGGGAAATGCTCATAATGATCAAGGTAATTGGCATGCCTATCATCTCAGAGAGTTAACATTTTATGCCTTTAATTTATTGTGTATGTGTGATGAAATCACCTAATATCTACTTGTCTGGCAAAAGATATGTTTATAATGCAACATTCATTAGTATAGTCACATTGCTGTAGGTTTGATCTCCAGAACTATTTCAACCTGTGTATTAGTCCATTCTCACCCTAATGTAAGGAACTACCTGAGACTGGGAAATTTATGAAGAAAAGTGGTTTAGTTGACTCACAGTTCTGCAGGCTTAACAGCAAGTATTACTAGGAGGTATCAGGAAACTTACAGTCATCACAGAAAGTGAAGGGGAAGCAAGGACCGCTTCACATGCTGGCAGGAGAGAGAGAAAGAGCAAGGGGAGATGCACCACCCTTTTAAACCTTGAGATCTTGTGAGAACTCTGTCACAAGAACAGCAAAAGGGAAGACCGCCCGCATGATCCAATCACTCCCCATCAGACACCTGCTACAACACTTGGGGATTAAAATTTGACATGAGATGTGGGTGAAAACACAGAGCCAAACCATATCATTCCACCCATGGTCTATCAGAAATCTCATGTCCTTCTCACATTGCAAAATATCATTATGCCTTCTCAACAGTCTTCCAGGCTTAACTCATTTCAGCATTATCACAAAAATCTATAGTCTAAAGTCACCTCTGAGACAAGGTAAATTTCTTCCCCCTATAAACCTGTAAAATTAAAAAGAAGTTAGTTATTTCCAAGACACAATGGAGGTGCATGTACTGGGTAAATGCTCCCATTCCAAATGGGTGTCATTGGCCACAGAAAAGGGGCTACAGGCCCCATGCAAGTCCAAACACCAGTAGGGCAGCCATTAAATGTTAAAGCTACAGCATAATTTCCTTTTACCCCATGTCTCACATCCAGGACACACTGATACAAGGGTTGGGCTCCCAAGGCCTTAGGAAGCTCCACCCTGTGGCTCAACGTGGTACAGTCCCCATGACTGCTTTGATAGGCTGGCATTGAGTTTCTATGGCTTTACAGGCACAGCATGCAAGCTGTTGGTGGATCTACCATTCCGGGGTCTGGAGGAAGGTGCCCCTCTTCTCACAGATCCACTAGGCATCTAGTGCCTAGTGCCCAGTGGGTACTCTGTGTGGGAGATCCAACACCACATTTTCCTTCCACACTGGCCTAGTAGAGGTACTCCATTAGGGCTCAGCCCTGCATAAGACTTCTGCCTGAATACCCAGACATTTTCATACGTCATCTGAAATCTAAGAGGAAGCTCCCAAACCTCAACTCTTGCCTTATGTGCACCCGCAGACTCAACACCACGTGGAAGCAACCAAAGCTTAGGGCTTGCACCCTCTGAAGCAATGGCCTGAGCTGGACCTTGGCCCCTTTAGCCATGGCTGGCAGGAGAGGGACAGGGATGTCCCAAGGCTGCACAGAGCAGTCGGGTCCTGGGCCTGGACCATGAAACCATTTTTCTCTACTGGGCTTCTGGGCCTGTGATGGGAGGGACCGCAGCAAAGATCTCTGAAATGCTCTCAAGATGTTTTTCCCATCGGGTTCCTCATTACTTATGCAAATTTCTGCAGCCCGCTTGAATTTCTTCCCAGGAAATGGATTCTTCTTGTCTACCACATGGTCAGGCTGCAATTTTTTTCAACCTTTTATGATCTGCTTCCCTTTTAAACATAAGTTCAAATTTCAGACCATCTCTTAATGAATGCATATGACTTACATTTTCAGAAACAGCCAGGGCAAATATTGAATGCTTTGCTACTTAGAAATTTTTTCTGCTAGATACCTTAAGTCATCTCTCCCTAGTTCAACATTGCACAGATCTCTAGGGCAGGGGCAAAATGCCACTAGTCTTTTTGCTAAAGCATAGCAAGTGTGAGCTTTACTCCAGTTCACAAGAAGTTCTTCATCTTAGCATCTGAGACCACCTCAGCCTGGACTTTATTGTCCATATCACTATCTGCATTTTGTTCAAAACCATTCAGTAAGCCTCTAGAAAGTTTCAAACTTTTCCACAGCTTCCTGTCTTCTTGTGAGCCCTCCAAGCTTTACCAGCCTCTGTCCATTACCCAGTTACAAAGTCACTTCCACAGTTTTAGGTATCTTAATAGCAGTGCCCACTCCTAGTGCAAATTTTCTGTATTAGTTGATTCTTACACTGCTGTAAAGAACTACCTGAGACTGGGTAATTTATGAAGAAAAGAGTTTAGTAGACTCACAGTTCTTCAGGCTAAACAGGAAGCATTACTGGGAGGCATCAAGACACACAATGATGGCCGAAGGTGAAGGGGATTCAAAAATCTTCTTTGCAAGATGGCAGGAGAGAGACAGCAAGGGAGACGGGAGGTGCCACACTTTTAAACCATCAGATCTCTTGAGAACTTTATCAGGAGAACAGCAAAGAGGAAGGCCACCCCATTACCCAATCACTTTATATTAGGCCCTTCCTTCAACATGTAGGGATTACAATTTGGCCTGAGATTTGAGTGGGAACACAGAGCCAAACTGTATCAACCTGCATAACTGAAAGTTATAACCTTTGACCAACATCAGCCAATTTTTTCCTCCTCCCAGCCCCTGGGAACTACTATTCTACTTTGCTTCCAAGAGCATGAATATTTTAGATTCTACATATAAATGAGTTCATGCAACATTTGACTCTCTGTGTCTCACTCCACTTAGCAAAGTGTTCTCTATGTGTTGTACATGTTAGAATTTCCTCGTTTTTAAAGGCAGAATAATATTCACTTTTAGGTAGGAATAAGCCACATTTTATCTGTTGATTCATAGATGGACATTGACCTATTTTCTATATCTAGGCTATTATGAATAATCTCACAATAAACATATATTTGTCACACTCACTTTATTTTCTCTAGATGTATACTCAGAAGTGGGTATATTCTATGTTCAATTCATTGAGTAATCTTGATGCTGTTTTTTCATAATGGCTGTACTAATTTGCATTTTGTTCCAAACCATACATGGATAACTTTGTACCACATATTCAGGTCTTTGTTTAAGTCTTAAATCCATTTTTAGCTGATTTATATGTATTGTGTGAGATAAGGTCCATTTTTTTTCTTCCGCATATGGATGCCCAGTTTTCACAGCACTTGTTGAAGAGACTGTTTTTTCTCTATTGTGTGTTCTTGGCAGTTCATCAAAGATCAGTTTATTGGGAAGAAATTGGTGGACTTCCAGATTGTCTGTAATGTTCTGTTGGATTCTATGTCTGTTTAAATGTCAGCATTATACTGTTTTGATTTACATAGATTTGATTTTGAAATTATAGAATATGATATATTCAGTTATATTTTACCCAAAATTATTTTGGCTATTTAAAGCTTTTGTATTTTTACATAAATTGGAGAACTTTTTAATATTTTTGTAAAACCATGCCATGGAGATTATATATTTATTTTATAGGCATATAATAGATATACCTAATTTATGGGAACATGTAATATATTGATGCATTTATAAACGTGTAAAGATCAGATCAGGATTGGTATATCTATCACATTAAACGTGTATATTTTCTTTATGCTAGGCACATTTGAACAACTCTCTTCTGGCTATTTTAACGTATACATTAGATTATCGTTAACTATAGTCACCTTACTCATCTATCAAACATTTAGGTTGTATTTCTCCTATATAACTGTATATCTGTCTTCAGTAATCATCCTCTCTTTATCCTCTTCTCTCTTGTATCCAACCAGGCTTCTGGTAAACAACAATCTACTCTCTGTCTTCAGGAAATCCAATGTTTTAGTTGTGACATAAAAGTAAGAAGATGCAATATTTGTCTTTCTGTGTTTGGTTTATTTAACTTAACATTATGGCTTCCACTTCCATTCATATTGTTGCAAATGACAAGATATCAACATTTATGGCTGAATAATATTCTATTGCCTACATCGATTATATTTTTATATCCATTTCTCCACCTACAGACACTGAGGTTGCTTTCATATCTGGGCTATTGTGAATAGAGCTGCAAGAACATGGAGTGCACATGCCTTTATGAGGCAGTGATTTTATCTTCTTTAGAACATACTCAGAATAGGATTTGCTGAGTCATCAGGTATTTCTATTTTTCTTTTATTTTGGAGTCTTCATACAACTTTGCACAATAGTGGAAATACAAACGGAAAAACCATTATAAAAAGCAGTTTCAGTTTTGAGGTATGATCCAAAAACACACAACATTTCATCATGATTCTCATTGGGAGTCTCTAATGAATCTGGTGGAAAGGCAGGAAGTTTTCTAACCTTGTTAAGAAAATTATGAGTTTGCACATTTTTCTTTTTGAGGCTGGAAATTGGCATGATTCAAGATGCGTAATGTTAGCAGGTTTCAGAATGATATAGCGAAAATCATAATGAGAAGGCAAGAGAGAGAATAAGAGAAAGACAGGAAAACAAAGAAACAAATAAATTTCACAAGAGAAGAAACTGCTGGATGTCAGTGTTGGGTTTTGTTCCTAGACATATCTGTACTGAGTGAGAAACCATGAAGCCAAGGGAAGAGTCTAGAACTTGTTCAAGTGAAGCATCAGCATATTTCTCCAAGGCACCTATTGTCACCCCATCACAAGGGTGATGAGTTTTTGAATACCATTAAATATGAGTTCCTAGTAAGTAATCATGTTTCCATGAAATTCAGTTAAAATGCAAAGGGTGTGTCCAGATCACTCATGCACAAAAATACAAAATTTGCCTTTGCATTTATGGCTGCATAGAGGTAAAGTCCATTGAGACTTCAGCAGGTTACAGAGATCTGTTAAGTTTTGGATTCCCATAGGAGAGTGCCTCTTAGTGAAGGTTGGACTATTAATTAAGTATGTACAAATTCCCTCTATGGGAGTAGTGTTCCATTTGTGTGGAATTTTTAATTCCTTATTGAATTGCAAAACAAATCCCAAGGACTGACTCCATGGAGTTTTACTGTAGTGTTCATAAAAATATTTAATAAGATTCCTTCCAGTGTTTCAAGGAAAGTTTTTCTCTAAAATTTTTTCTAATACATAAATTTTCCTGCCTAAAATTGAAACAGGCTGTTGTTAAAAAGACATACTGGAATGGCAGCTTTAATCTGTTGGTGATAGGAATGAGCATAATACATGAATCTCTTTGAGTGTTCTGCCTCATCCAAATACTGTATGGCAAAGGCTAGTATTGGAGGTAAAATCTCTAAATGTATTTGTTCCAGCCATCAAGTCATGGGGCAATAACAGATACATCCTTGAGGCAGAGGACCATAATGCCACAGTGCTAGTAGGAGTACATGTCGCCAAGGGAGTTCAAGGGTTCCTTAAAATTGTGATAATTTTAATGTAAGAACACCTTATTAGAGACAGGGTTTCAGCATGTTGACCAGGCTTGGTCTAGAACTCTTGACCTCTTGATCTGCCCGCCTTGGCCTCCCAAACTGCTGATATTACAGGAGTGAGTCACTGTGTCTAGCCAGTCCATTTATTTTCTTCTGCACATGGATACCCATAAACTTATGTGGAAGATTGTGGGAGGTTATAACAGTGTCATACTTTAGTATCAGCCATACCTCACAGAATCATTTTATAATAGTTCCTTTCATGGGTGTACTTCACTCAGTTCATGCAAAACCTGGCAGGTCACAGGCTAAAAACACAAAATACCGAAGTGTTTAACCAACTGAAAGGGCTGTAGCCTTTTGTCAATGAATTATTTCAAGACACGGAGAACACATATAGATTATAAATAAAATACTTTCACATCCCCTTAAGGGTGGAAATTGAGGAAATTTTACCTAAATGTGTCCAAAGGGCCCTGTGGCTTGGTTTCTGTCTAGGTCCCAATGATAGGGTTCTCCCAGGATTTTGTGGCTGTCTTGTTACACTTCATCAAGAATTAACCTCTGCTGTTTCCTCAAAGTGTTTAATTGGATAATGAATTTGTCTATAAATTGAAGAGTTGAAATACATCAAATATTAATTTGTAATAATCTGGCACAAATTATCTAAGCAAAGTCAATAACTAGATGTTTTTTCATTTATTTTTATTTAAAATCAGGACCTAAAGTTATGCTTTAATAACATCTGTGACCCTCTCAGCAGTTTTCTCTTCTGAGGATATGATCTGCTGTGGCAGTTTTCTTAGCTTCAATGTTACCTCTTTTTGCAATGACTACCGTCTTTATATTTGCCAGGAATCTGGGATAAAGGAGTGCTTCTAAGAGTTCCCTAACTTGCCCATTTTGGTGGGTGTTCCGGAACATATGAGATGCTCTGTTGTTAACAAAGCATCCCAAAGCCATGCACTGCCCTAAAATGTGTTTGTTTCCTAGTTTGACAAATTGGAAGTTCTAATAAATACAATCACTTCTGCCATCTGGGCTGATTTTACATCAGATAGAGGGCTGTATTCCAAAGAAAAGCTTACATTAGTAATAGCAATTTTAGTCAAAAGCCTAGAGTTTTATCATTGAGGTGCAATTCATAACAAATAATATTAGGTCGAGGTTCTCAGTGGCAGTGTCTAAATCTCTTAGGTGTACAGGGTCTTCCCTGTTAACATGAAGCATTTATAAGCACAGTCATAGTTTCCAGCCATGCTTCTCCCTGTCTCATTATCACCACAAACTATGGCCTCACCTGGAACTTGGGTTAATTTCCAAATAAGTAATTTTTTAGTCTTTATGCCTCTAGATTATTATGTGAGAAAGTTAACATTCAGTAGAAAGTTAAAAAGAACATTTGAACTGACTAAACAACACAGAAAATCAAGAATAAAATTCAAAGCCTAGATGTGAGAGGCTCCAGGCCTGGATAATGCAATAGTTCATGTAGGCAGGCAGTTTCTTTGCCCAGTTCTACACTGATACACCCAGAATGTCAGCTTCATGCCAGATTTGACTCCTATTATGTAGAGACATGGCAATACATTCTCAAGGGTCACATGAAATAATATGAAAATTGGTGGGAATAGGGGAGGAGACAACTCTGCAATTCTCATCTGAAGGACCAGGAAAGCCTGGACAGACCATCTCCCCAGCCTCCGTGACTGCACCACGTGCCCACATGGACACTCATCCCTGATAGGGTAAGAAGACTCCATTGATGGGGCTGAGCATTTTATGATAGAAATTACTAGAGACTGACGTGGAGGTTTCAACAACTAATATTTATAACCAAAATTTAATTACCCCCACATTGTTACCATTTTCTTCAGTGAAAAATTGCTTGCCATGATTAAGTTTTAAGTAGATTTCCAATGTTCACAACTGAGCTTCCAAGAGAGTCTTGAGAACAAAAACAATGAGGGCAGAGAAATCTATCTTTTCTGTATTCACCACTAAACTCAAGTGGACTCAGCACTGCCTTTGATCACTGCTGCTTCTCTGCAGAGTTCAGGTTTCTACTTCTCACAATTCTGACACACATTCTACCTCTCCTCAAATGTTTGGCCTCTGCTTCTTGTAAGGTCACCCTCTGTTCTTAACTTCTTCTCTGAGTCATTTTGTGAGGTGGTCATGAGCCATTAAATGGATATTTTATATTTTCCCAACATGAATCACATGAGTGGTCATGAATTATACTTCTGATTATGGCAGTTGATTTTTCTTGGCATGTTCATGACTAGTAATATTTGAAGCCATTTCATTCAAATCTTCGGGGCTTCGTTTTTGTTGCTATGACATTTTTTCTTCTATTGAGTCTTTCCACTAGTATTATAACATGACCTAGTATCCAGGCTCAGTTGTCATTAATAATAACCACATATGTCAAAAATCATGCATTCTTTTCACAGCAGACATAATTTCCTCTTTTCTGCAGATGAAGACACACTGCTGAGCTACCCCCACTTACAAGAATATATGCACAATTATGATATCTTCATTTATTTGACTAATAAGCTATATCATTCTCCCTTCAAATTCTTTACCCCCCAGAAGTCCTGGACAAATTTCTGCATCTGCTCAAACCATAAACTCAGAACTACATGGTGAGTAAAAGTCACCTGGTTCTGGATATTGGGTCCATCTCTTCCCCTCCAATGTCCCAGAGCACCTCAGCACACCTGTCCAGGTTCTATCAAGAAAGAGTAGCTCCTGCACACTGAAGGAAACAATTGAGTTAAGAGAGGACCTGCAGATGATAGACAATATTGAAAACTATTAATATGACAAAGGATTACTACCAAGCATGTGAAATAAGCTCAACGGGTGTGGTGGTTCATGTCTGTAGTACCAGCAATTTGGGAGGCAAGTTGCGCAGATCACCTGAGGTTAGGAGCTCGACACCAGCCTGACCAACATAAAGAACACCCTGTCTCTACTAAAAGTACAAAATTAGCTGGGCATGGTGGCATGCGCCTGTAATCCCAGCTACTCGGGAGGCTGAGGCAGGAGCATCACTTGAACCTGGGAGGTGGAGGTTGCGGTGAGCTGAGATGGCACCATTGCACTCCAGCCTGGGCAACAAGAGGGAAACTCCATCTCAAAAAAAAAAATTACAAAAAATTAGCTGAGCGTGGTGGTGGGCGCCTGTATACCCAGCTGCTAGGGAGACTGAGGCAGGAGAATCACTTGAACCCAGGAGGTGAAGGTTGCAGTGAGCTGAGATTGCGCCATTGCACTCCATCCTGGGCAACAAGAGTGAAACTCCATCTCAAAAAAAAAAAAAAAGAGCCTTGCAAAGGGCAAATAGATCATAGACAGACAGATAGATAGATAGACCTATTAGTATACATACATACATATATATACACTAATATTCAGGAAAATGCAAATTCATAATGAGATGTCTTTTCACCCTTCATCTCTGCTAGAAAGTTTGTTATCTGAAAAACAAATACATACATACATACTTATTAAAAGCTGGCCAGGATGCCTAGAAAGTAAAACTCATAGACCACTGGTGGAAATGTAAATTAGTGCAGCCATCAAGGGAAAAAAATAGAACTACCATATATTCCAGCAATCCAACTGCTAAGTATATATCTATTTAAATATTTAAAAGAAAAAACTAATATTGAAGAGATACCTGTACACCCATGTTTATTGCAGCACTAATCACAATTTCTAAGATATGAAATCAACATATGTGTCCATCAACAGATGAATGGATACATAAAATGTGATATATTTACACAATGGAATATTATTCAGCCTTAACAATGAAATTCTGCCATTTAAAGCAACATGGATGGAATGGGACACCACTATGTTGAGTGAAATGAGTCAGACACAGAAAAATAAATACCGCATTTCTCAGCGTTACTTCTAGAAGTAAATAGTAGAGTAGTGGTGATGAGATGCCAGGAATGAGAGAAGGCTGAGAGATAAGAAGAGGTTTGTTAACAAACACACAATTACAGGTAGACAGGAGGGATGTGCTCTAGTGTTCTACAGCACAGTAGGGTGACTACAGTTAACAATATATTGTACGTTTTCTGTTTACAAGAAGCCAGAAGAGAGAATTTTCTATGCTACCAACACAAATAAATGTTAGTGTCTGAACTGACGAATTTGCTCATTGTTCTGATTTTGGTCATACCAAGTGGCACACATGTATTCAAATATCACACTGTATCCCATAAACATAAGCAGTTATTATGTGCCAACTTTGAAAAATCCTTTAATTAAAAAGAATTATATTGGCGTACATTACAAATGATTCAACACAGAGACAGGAATAAATACCATTTTTCTTTGAAATAGTTAATTAACTAACAATGTAGTTACATTCATTTGCACCAAATCGTGTATTTGATAATGGTATGCATAGACAGAGTTATGCATAGGATAATATCTTTTAATTTTAGACTACTACTTAATACTATAAATATAAATAATTTTAAAACAACTAAGTAAAAAGAATAAAGCTGAGAAAATGTGTGTGTGGTGTGTGATGTGTGAGCTTTTTCTTGTGCACCACTGTGTCCTTGGTGGATGTGTGGTTCATGTGTTTGTTTTTATTTACTCTGTTTGGGGTTCTCTTTGCTTCTAGGATCTGTAGTTCAGTTTCTTTCACAAAATTGGGAACATTCTTCGCTATTATCTTTTTCAAATAGTTTCTGTGTATTTATAATTTCTCCTTCTCAGATTTAAAATATACACATACTATAATTTTGATATTAATGTTTAGTTTCTTTCTTCACTCTCTTTTCGTTTGCAATTTACTTTGTGAAATTTCTAGTGACATACTAATCACATGGTTTTATTGAAAAGCTGAGCCAGCTCTACTGAGGTGTGTGCCAAAAGATTGCTCGATGTTCATACAGCATTGCTTTTGATTTCTTACGCATTTCCATTTGATTTATTCTTAGTATTTTCATATTTCAGTTCCCTATCTATGTCCACGATTTCTTTAAGAGATTCTTGCATATGAATCATAGTTACTTTACATATCTTGTTTAATTAGATATTTATAATATCTGTTTCATCTACAAATCTCATGCTGATCATTTGTTTATTACGACTTTGGTACTTCTCATTAATGTATGTAATAATTGTTGATAGCCACAGATACTGGGATGGACAGTGGATACTGGCTTATTATTTCATTTTATGCATTTCTGCCTGTATTTGACCACACTTTACCTTTGCCAGGCCTTTACTGTGGAAGTATCTGTGAATCTTCTCAGAACTATATTTGACATTCACTTTTGCAGTGGACATCAAAGTTGAAGTCTGTTCTTCTGTGTCCACCAGAGACTTCAGATCCTCCAGTGATATCTTGTTTTTCTTTCCTGCTTGGCTTTGTCTCTTCACCTGTTCCCTCCTCCAGAGAATCATGTTCAGCTCCCTCAGGTGGATTTAAATGTTATTTAACTGACAATTGTGAAATTGGTGGAAAGCAATAGAATAAAGGGAGATTTTCTGACCTTTCCTGGGTTCATATTGTGAACATGAGTCTGGGTGTGACCTTCCCAATGTTTCTGAACTTCCTCCAGATGAGATGTTGGTCTGTGTGTTCTTGCTCTTTTCCCTGCTGTGGAGTCCTCTTGTTTTCCCCAGTTGTTCCCTCCCACAGCTCCAACGTTCTCTTTCGGTGTTATCACCTTACAGATTTGCTGACTAGAACTGCAGATTAAGGCTCTGATTAAATAAGAAGGAGGGGAGATACTTCTCAATGGAACTTAGGTGAAGACCTCTTTTCCCATCTCAGTTCCTAAGGGATTGCCCCAGTGCCCCTAAGATACTGGTTTTGGTGGCTTGCCCCTCCAGAATAATTTCTTTGTTCTCCAGTGGGGATATGGAAGGTGGGTCTGAACGCTTTTCAGAAGGGTGGGCACTTTTTCTCTCCTAGACAGACACAATGGGACAGAACAATTTTGGTGACTGTCCCCATTTTGGGGAAAAAGGATTCAATAGGATAGGAAAACTCTTCAGTCTGTGGTCCCTAAGAAATTCACCCTACAACACATTTACCACACTTGACTTCAAGCAATCCAATATATATGTGTGTTTTCATCTTGTAATAGCCTACATTTTACATGCCATACTCTGCCTCAGTTCAGCTCATACCCCAGCTTTGTTACTCTTTACAAGAACTTGCCTCTCCCTAGATTTCACATTTGCTGTTTATCTTAAAACTTCAAGTATCTAAAGTATTATTTTTAAAAAATGGCCAGTTGTGGTGGCTCACACCTGTAATCCCAACGCTTTGGGAGGCTGAGGTATGTGGATCACCTGAGGTCAGGAGTTTGAGACCACCCTGGCCAACATGGTAAAACCTGTCTCTACTAAAAATACAAAAAAAAAATAGCTTGGCATGGTGGCAGGCACCTGTAATCCCAGCTACTTGGGAGGCTGATACTGGAGAATAGCTTGAACCCAGGAGGCAGAGTTTGCAAGTCGTACCATTGCACTCCAGCCTGGGCGACAGAGTGAGACTCTGTCTCAAAAAAAAAAATTCCAAAATTCCAGCTCCTCTGTTTATCTATTTTTGTTGATACTGTTGTTGTAAAACATAAGTAAAATATATTATTCATCTATGTACATTTCCAAGCTGTGTAGAAGAATTTTTAATAAGACCCAGAGTAAAAAAAGAATGCAAATATGTAGGGGCCAGCCCTACAGGGTCTGTGGATCTTTCTCCCCATGTGCAGAGATGAGAGATCGTAGAAATAAAGGCACAAGACAAAGAGATAGAAGAAAAAACAGCCGGACCCAGGGGACCACTACCACCAAGACACAGACTAGAAGTGGCCCCGAATGCCTGGCTCCGCTGTTATTTATTGGATACAAGGCAAAAGGGGAAGGGTAAGGAGTGTGAGTCATCTGCAATGATTGATAAGGTCATGTGGGTCACGTGTCCACCAGACAGAGGGCACTTCCCTGTTTGGCAGCCGAGGCGGAGAGAGAGAGAGGACAGCTTAGGTCATTATTTATTCCATTCTCTTCTCAGAAAGATCAAAGACTTTAATACTTTCACTAATTCTGCTACTGCTATCTAGAGGGCGGAGCCAGGTGTACAGAGTGGAACATGAAAGTGAAACAGGAGTGTGACCGCTGAAGCACAGCATCACAGAGAGACGTTTAGGCCTCTGGAGGGCTGCGGGCAGGTTTGACTGATGTCAGGCCTTCCACAAGAGGTGGTGGAGCAGAGTCTTCTCTAACTCCCCCGGGGAAAGGGAGACTCCCTTTCCAGGTCTTCTAAGTAATGGGTAATGGGTGCCTTCCCAGGCACTGGCGCTACCGCTAGACCGAGGAGCCCTCTAGTGGCCCTGTCCGGGCGTGACAGAGGCTCACACTCCTGTCTTCTGGTCACTTCTCACTGTGTCCCTTCAGCTCCTATTGCTGTATGGCCTGGTTTTTCCTAGGTTATAATTGTAGAGCAAGGATTATTATAATGTTGGAATAAAGAGTAATGCTACAGACTGATGATTAATGATATTCATATATAATCATATCTATAACCTATTTCTAGTACAACTATTCTTATTTTACATATTCTCTTCATTACACTGGAACAGCTTGTGCCCTCAGTCTCTTGCCTCAGCACCTGGGTGGCTTGCCGCCCAGACAAATATTGTTAAGCTTCTTAATAGAAAAACAAATTATGGTAAATGTGTTCACTGGAATACTACCCGTCATTTATAATAAATTAATGCCTGATACACAGAGCAACAAGGTAAAATATCTAAGTATTTATGTTGAGTAAAATAAGCTAAACAAATAAGAATATATACTATGTAATTTCATTTTTATAAATTCTGATAAATAAAAATGCATCTGAAGTAAAATAATGAAGATAAGTAGTTGCCTGGGGTAATGGTAGAAGAAGGGAGGGGGAGAGGAGGAGGAATACAGCAGAACAAGGGGAAATGTTGAGAAGAATTCACTTGTCCACTTTCTTGGTAATGATAGCAGTTACATCATTTTTATTAGTTGTACATTTTAAATATGTGAAGTTTATTATCTTTCAATTAAGCCTCATAAAATGTCTTACAAGCAAACAAATGGAAACTTAGACAAGGAAAGAGTAATAGAAAGACAGAAAAAATAAGTTCAATGTCAGAAGTACCTGAAAATTAATGTGCCTGGATCCTAGTTCTCTCCATATTTTCAGAAGAGTGCTGGAGGGCAGCAAAACCACACATGCTCTTATTACGGAATGTGGGTTCTGATAAAAACACTAGACACATCCAGCTTTGTCCTGGAGTTGGTTTAGGGGGATGTCAGAGACAGTGATGAAGAGCACAGGGCCAGATACCGGGGTTCACTCATCCCAGACATGAGCTCCGAGACGCATACAGAGCCCCCCCATGTGTGGGTTTACTTCCACTTCTGTAAATGGAGAAAATATTGTCTCCTACAGAACATAGTTTACATGAATATTTAAAATGAAATAGGGTGATTAGTGCAAAGTGTTTATCACAGCACAATTTCATAATAAGACAGCATATTTTCCAAATGCAATCATTGCCAGCAAACTTCTACAGGGCACCGTCGTCTTATCTGGGTACAGCCTACTCCTCAAGGGTCCCACCCTAGAGCTTGCTATATAGTAGGAGATATGCAAATAGGGCCCTCCCTCTACTGATGAAAACCAACCCAACCCTGACCCTGCAGCTCTCAGAGAGGTGCCTTAGCCCTGGATTCCAAGGCATTTCCACTTGGTGATCAGCACTGAACACAGAGGACTCACCATGGAGTTGGGGCTGTGCTGGGTTTTCCTTGTTGCTATTTTAGAAGGTGATTCATGGAAAACTAGAGAGATTTAGTGTGTGTGGATATGAGTGAGAGAAACAGTGGATATGTGTGGCAGTTTCTGACCTTGGTGTCTCTTTGTTTGCAGGTGTCCAGTGTGAGGTGCAGCTGGTGGAGTCTGGGGGAGGCTTGGTACAGCCTGGAGGGTCCCTGAGACTCTCCTGTGCAGCCTCTGGATTCACCTTCAGTAGTTATGAAATGAACTGGGTCCGCCAGGCTCCAGGGAAGGGGCTGGAGTGGGTTTCATACATTAGTAGTAGTGGTAGTACCATATACTACGCAGACTCTGTGAAGGGCCGATTCACCATCTCCAGAGACAACGCCAAGAACTCACTGTATCTGCAAATGAACAGCCTGAGAGCCGAGGACACGGCTGTTTATTACTGTGCGAGAGACACAGTGAGGGGAAGTCAGTGTGAGCCCAGACACAAACCTCCCTGCAGGGGTCCCTTGGGACCACCAGGGGGCGACAGCACACTGAGCACGGGGCTGTCTCCAGGGCAGGTGCAGGTGCTGCTGAGGGCTGGCTTCCTGTGATGGCCTGGGGCGGCCTCATTGTCAAATTTCCCCGGGGAACTTCTCCAGATTTACAATCCTGTACTAATATTTGATGTCTCTAAATGCAACCTTTTTTTTCCTTTTTGTGTCTGTTTTTTTTTTTTAAAACAGGAGGACACATCCTCACCTCCACAGAAGCCACAGTGTCACTTTGGGGGCAGAAATAATCCTTTCGTGGTCAACAGGGTGAGAGTTTTGAGGAATCCCAGGGAAACCTGGGGAATGTTTTCCAATTAGACTCAGGGCAGAGACCTCCATGGGAATCTCTGATTAGAACAGGCTTTGAGTTCTGATGGGAGCCAAGAGAGAGGCTCACCCAGGGTCAGGGTTCTTAAAACCTGATGGTTTTCACAGCAATCCCCCTTCATCTTGTGAAACTGGGCACATCTGACTCAGACTGATTCAGTTGACCCTCTTTCTGCTAATCCATTTTCCTTCCCAGTAGACTTGATTCTCACAGATCCCTTTCTTCTTCTCTTTCCTGAAAACAGAGGATGTGTTTTCTGTAGTCTAAATTCCAAGGCTCAGGTCCGCAGGAGCTGGGTAGGCTGAGGGGTCTTCCTCACTCACTATTGCCTGGAAAATCCTGCTGTCTTCTGTGCATGGAGGCATTTGGAAAATGAAGCAGGCATTAGTCATGAAGGGAATAATACTAGTTTTCTCCAATGGGATGTTGATGTAGAGCTGATCTTATGCTTCTCACACTGTCACAAAGTTTGGACTCTCACCTGTGACTTTGAGGAGAGCTTGTGATACCTTATCTTGTTTTAATATGAATAGACTCTCCCTTAGCTCAGGAAGCTGGAACAGACTCCATTTGGCTCCTTCATTTGTAAGACATCAAGGGCTCCTCACCCACCCCCTTCCTCAAGGACTTAACTTGTTTAAGCTGACTCCCAGCATCTCAAAGAGTGCGATTAACTGATAAGGTACTGTGGCAAGCTGTGTCCGCAGTTCCCAGGAATTTGGCCAGGTGATGGTACCCTAAAGCCCCTGCATTTGTGTCTGGCAGATAACACCCAGAGCCCCCACACCTATCATCTTGTGATGAATTTAAAGCCCCTGCACCTGGAACTGTTTGCCTGTAACCATTTGTCCTTTCAACTTTTTTGCCTGTTTTACTCCTGTTAGAATGCTACAGTTAGGCTCCCCCTCCCCTCTCTAAACCAAAGTATAAAAGAAAATCTAGCACCTTCTTCGGGGCTGAGAGAATTTCCAGCGTTAGCCATCTCTCAGTTGCCAGCTAATAAAGGACTCCTGAATTCATCTCAAAGTGCGGCGTTTCTCTCTAACTCGCTCGGTTACAACAAGCTGAGGATGGACACTCCATTGTGCAGTGAGCTCTGGGTGACAGTAATCGTAGGGTCTCCCCGGGCAGCCTAAGGTCAATACTGCTGGCCGTCGGGAAAGACAGGCTGGAATTCCTGGGAAGACCTGCATCTGCCATCTACCACGGAGTCCTATGGTCTTCTGTTACACTCTCTTTGAATCAGCACCACCTAGATTATCTAAAACACTCTTTGTGACTTCATGACTGGGAAAAAATAATGGCAGTCTCTACTAACACCTGTGTTAAGCCATGGGAGCAACACCTAGGCTAGTGTGTGATTGAGTAGTTGAGACTGTGGTCTAGTCAAGGTGACACATAAAATTGATTGTTGCCATTATGATATTTTATTTTATATTTGACAATATAATCATGCTCATATTATAAATATTTCTGTTACATTATTTGTGTCAGAGGCTTTGGAACCAGAACAACTTCATCTTGAATAAGGGGTAGGAAAAATAAGACTGAGACCTGCTGGGCTACATTCCCAGTAAGCTAAGGCGTTCTTAGTCACAGGATGAGATAGGAGGTCTGCACAAGATCCAGGTCATAAAGACCTTGCTAATAAAGTTTACAGTAAAGAAACTGGGCTGAAGCCCACCAAAACCAAGATGGTGACAAAAGTGACCTCTGTTTGTCCTCATTGCTCATTATATGCTAAGTATTATGCTTTAACATTCTAAAAGACACTCCCCACAGAGCCATGACAGTTTACAAATGCCATAGCAACATCAGGAAGTTTCCCTAGAAACTAAAGAGTGGAGGAAACCTCAGCTTTGGGAATTGCCCGGGGAATTCATGAATAATCCTTCTTTTGTTTAACGTATAATCAAGAAATAACCATAAAAATGGACAACCAGCAGCCCATACCACTTCTCTGCCTATATAGTAGCCATTCTTTATTCTCTTACTTTCCTAATAAACTTGCTTTCCTTTTATTCTGTAGATTTGCCCCAATTGGGATCCCTTTCCAGTAACATTTGTGTTATTATTGGTTTTCTAAGCAGAAAACTCTGAGAGGAGGTGTCAGCCGGGCTTCCTGGGTTGAGTAGAGGCTCAGAAAGCAGTGAAACTCACTCATTTCCTGCATCAGGACTTACTTTGGTCCTGGATGAATAATATTGAAGATATATGCTTAAAATATTCCTAACATCACAATTTGTGCATGTGTTTTCTTCCCTAAGAAAGCTATAAACAGTGAAAATTTTGCTGTAAGCTTCCCTGTGTCCTCTCTCCCTCTCTCCATTCCCCCTCCCCTGAAACTAAAAGGAATGTTTTAACATTATGGGCTTTTAAGTCTGTATTTCTGTGACCAGCAGACCTTATCTATGCTCCCAATTCAAATTCCTTGTAAACACAATTTGTAAAATCCTGCGAGATCCTGTCTCCTTGGCCACGCCACTGCAAGGTCATAAAGTAGATCAAACTTAAGTTACAATTCTGATTTTCCTCAAGATCTGAGACATGTTAATTGTCTTTGTTTCTTGCTCAGGTAACATCTCTTTTTGCTCTTTTTTATCTCTTTTTGCACTTAAATCTAAGTTTACATTAGTCATGTATCTAGAATGTAGAAATATGTCTTAAAGTTACTTAACTTTTTAAAAAATTTATGGGGTTTCCAGAAGATGTGAGAACCTCCTTTATTTATAAAATAGCTGATTGCACGTTGCTCAATAATTTCCTCTTTAATTTATCTCTCTCCTGTCACATTATACTATGATAAGCAAAAAGAAATGAAGGCATACCATCAACAGTTTACTTAGATATCTCCTCAGCTAAATTTCTAAGGTATAATTTACTAATTCTAATTTTATCCAATTTAACATAATTAAGATAAATTATATAACAAGGTACACATATGTTCCAGTTCTAACACCATGTTTGTGACAGAAATAAAACAGAGCTTCTCTCTGTAATGTGGTCATCTGAGCCCTGAGGTGATGGGTCACACAGGTATTTTTATGATATTTAAGGGTTTGGTCAAGAACAGTGATAACAAGTCTGAACAAGACTGGTCATACTTGAAAGGTTACAGGTAAAGTTACTGCTGTTATTTTATATTAACGCCTTATTAGAATAAAGCTCAGAGGAAGAGGCCACATCCTAGGTCACAGTAGGAGGAGGAATGGAGCTGTGCTCTGCTCTCCACACTACTTTTCACATCCCAGGCACAAGCCCAGGTTCCATGACGCACGGCATCTAGAGGGCAGTTCTCAGGGGATGATCTCAGGGCACCTGCTTCCTCGGGCAGGGCGCTTCCTTCTCTCAATTGCAGACTTGCTCCTTCTGCAAGGTCTGAAGTCAGCACTTGTATTCCCATGATTTTTACAGGTTCTCTTCCCTAATATGGCAAAAATCTTTTTATTAAATTTTCAATTTTATTTTCTCTGAAGCACACTGCATTAGCAGAAACGAATATATCACATTCCTTATCCGCCCACACAGCCAAAGATTCCTGAAGACAGAGCTGATGTGACGTACTCATAGGTGGATCTCTGCCCCTCAGAGGTGGCCTTGGTCTTCAAGTTTCAGCAATTTCTAGGAAGCCAAAGACACCTCCATCTACTCCTCCCTGCTCGACAGCTCACCTGAGAACAGCTTTCTCATTGGAATGTCTTGTGTTTAAGAAATAAAAGTTGCTGTTTGAGGTTAGGGAGCCCAGGTGCACCTACCAGATCCAGCCCAGGATTGGAGATACTTTTCAGAAGACAACATCACCTGAGACACGACCAGTCCCACTGTTTCACTTTCACAATTTCAGCTTCTTCAGAAGAAAATTAAAATTGTTGAGACTTGTTCATAAGCGTTGTGCCATGTCCTTTCTCTGTTTTCTTGCCTGTTCATTGATGTCATGCCAGGTGCCACTTCTATGTAATAGGATCAGAATTCTGCCTCTAGTAACACATCAGAGGTGAGGTTTGATTGTACTTTTGGTTTATGCTCCAAAACGTAGATTATAAAATTCATCACCCTCATTTTTATGTCAAAAGTAATCTGCATAATCTGGATGTCAATACTTTTTGGAATCTATGAAATAACAGAAATTGCAAGAAATATTACCCACTCCAAACCTGGAGAGACAGGCATGTGCAGAATGGCAATTGACACCTGCTTAACTGGAGCAGAAGCTGCAGAAGCCACAAGCTGTTGAGGGCACTTACATGGTAAGCACTACAGACGTCTGAAGACAGATGTGGACTCAGTAAATGTAACAGTTCCAGAGGGTCTTATACTTCTAAGTTTTCTGGAATTTCTTTCCAGAAACCTCAAGATTCTAAAATGTACATTCCAAAGACATTTCCTATAGATCAAAATTGCAGATATTAATTACTGAGAAACATACCACGAGCCTTCTTCAAAAGCTTCTACAGGAAAGGACTTTTCCAGAACCTTATCCTATGTGAAGGAAGACAAATCTCCCACTGCAGATTTCTCTCCCATTCTTCCATAATTGTAGAAATGAGTAAAGTTAGCCAATAGAGGTAAGATATAAGTAAATAATCCAGGGATGCTGAAAACAAAAAAGGGAGTAATCGCCCAAAATGAGCTTTTCCCCTGGAGACGCCTGGTCAAGATCATAGGCCAGAAGAGGAAGCTGACTGTGTCTCTAGGTTTCCACTGTCAGAACAGGCAGTGCTTACCTGCACTGCACAATCCATTCTAACCAGGATGATGGCTCTGGATTAAAGGTGAAAGTGTGGCAATGCACAGACTCTATCTGAGGAGAACACAGGAAAACTAAAGGACAACGGCAGAGGGTGAGACAAGAACAGTAGAGCAATCTGAAGCCTCTGACATCATGATTTTTAAGACCAATGTCTTAAACACTCCTTCATTGACCTCAGCTTCTTTCATCATGAAGCCTTTGCAGTGACTCTATCTGAGAAAAAGAAAATAACCTCCTGCATGCACTTCTCAAGTCTCTGCTTGTATCCTGTTTGCTTTAGGTCTCTAGGGGAAAAAGTCAGATACCTGGACCTAGTGTCAGTGTAGGAGGCACATCCTAAAAGCTACAAACTAGGAAGAAGGGAAGATGGGTGTTATTGGAATAGTGGATATGGAGTGGGCTTTCTTCTGAAAGTATATGCACCTGCTGGTATTCTCAGATGCAACATTCAACTGCAAGAGCCCATTGAAGAAACAAGGCACTCCCAAATCTCCTGTAAGATTCTGTATTCATTTCAGATAAGCCCACATGTCCCCGCATTAACTTTTTCTTCAGACAAGCACATACATCTGAAACTGAACAGCTATGTGGCAAAATAAGCTCAGGATAGAAGTAATTGTGGACTCCAGCTCTGACAATTTGTAGATCTGCATTTTTAAAATTCTAACTGAAGACTTTGCTTTATTGTAGAGGACAGTGGTTTACAGCTCGAATTGCACAGCCTACAGGCAGATGTCCATTTCCTCTGGGCAAGGTTTATTTTTATTTGTTTACTGTACTTATTTGTTGACAAACATTGATACTATAAAGATACCCTAACAGCGTCCACATGAAAGAAAAAGAAAGAGCAATGGACACATCAACCCTGAACATCCAGTCCCAGGAATCCTTTGACCCTGCCCTCCTTGCAACCCAGAGATATAGATTGGATGAGCCCTGCTGAGCAGAACACACATGTCCCCAGGAGAAAGACATGGAAATGAGGCCCCTCCCTGCTAATGAAAAGCAGCTCTTCCCCTCTTCTCCTGCAGGTCCTGGTGAGGAGCCACCCAATATCTGTGCCCTTCCTCAGTGTCCACACCATCGGGTCTATGATGATCTGGGCTTCACTTGTCATCACTCTCAATATTGAGGTTCCCCGTTAAACAGACTGAGTGAACTGTGGCTGCTCCACGTGGGGGCTGTTCTCAGTCTGTTGCTTCTGTGCTTGCAGAGGTCCCCTGTGAAGTTAATTACTGGAGTCTCTCAGAGAAATACTACAGACCAAGAATTCTCAGACTTTTCTGGAAACCCTGTGGATTCACTTTCACTGAAAACAGCATAAGCTTGGTCCAGCAGGCTTCATGACAGGGGTGGGTGTAGGTGATAACATCAGTAATTCAAGTGGAAGTTCTCAGTGGGACTCTCCTTGAGTACAAAGAAGATTAACAGTCCTCAGAGACACGCTTTTCAGATGATTCTCTCTTAAGATGATTAACCTGAGAGCTCAGGAAAATTCCGTTTATTACTGTGAGGGACACGGTGAGGGGACATCTGTGTGAGCTCAGACACAAACCTGCCTGCAGGGAGACACAAACCTCCCTGCATGGTAGATGCTTCTCAGAACCACCAGGGGGTGCACAGGAAACCAGAAGGTGCTCAGGACACCAGGGGGTGCTCAGAACCACCATGACTCACTCAAGACGCCAGGGGCGCTCAGAACCACCGTGGGGCACTCAGGACACCAGGGGGACTCAGGAAACTAGGGGGTACTCAGAACCACCAGGCGGTGCTCAGGACACCAGGGAGCTCTCAGAACCATCTGGGGGCACTGAGGAAACCAGGGGACTCAAACACTAGGGTGTGCTCTGAAGCACCAGCGGACCCTCAGGACTGCAGGGGGCGCTCAGGACACTAGGGAACACTCAGAACCACCAGGAAGCGCTCAGAACCACCAGGGGGCCCTCAGGACATCAGAGCGTGCTGAGGACCTCCGGGGGCGCTCAGGACCTTCAGAGAGTGATCAGAACACCAGAGGGCGCTCAGAACACCAGGAGGTGCTCAGGACAGCAAGGGGCTCTCAGGACACTAGGGTGTGCTCAGTAAACCAGGGGTCCCTCACAACCACCAGGGGGCACTCAGGACACCAGGGGATGCTCAGGACACCAGGGGCCACTGAGGACACCACCGCTCCCTTAGCAGGCAGCTCCACATCAGGCCCCTGGGTTGGGGCAGGAAGGGTGTTTTCCTTTTGGATCTTGCCACTAAACTCTTGGGAGTTTTTCTCCTTCCTTTGTGGTTTCAAGAAACATTGGTAGATTCTTCTCAGGTATAAAGCTCTGCTTTCTTGGATTATGTAATGTTTTTGGTTTCGGATGTTACCAGAATTACACTGCACTGTGAGAGGATTCATTCCTCGTGTGTGCAATAGTGAATGAAAGCTCCAATGTTAGGGGTGGCTTTGAAAGCTACGTTAGGGGTGGCTGAGGGCAGTTAGCAGGAAATGATCATCACTATAGAAGGCTACTCATTTCTTTGCACATTTCCATAAATAATTGTAGTTTATGCCCTAAAAACTGCATGTTTTCTTGGCCCTTTTTCTTAAATGCCTCCAATCCAAGACCAGTCATCTAATTAAGCTGTATGTCAAAGACCACCAATCAAGTTAAGTCTGTTTAATGAAACACTTTGTAAACAAAAAAGTACATCTGTGTTTGTATAGTCAGCTTTAAATTTTACATTGCTTTACAAATATTAATTTTGTAAATTTAGTCTCATAATTATCGTCAGTATTTAAAATCTTAAAGTCTTGCTATGTTAAATTAAGTAATCTTAGCTTTCTCACTATGAATTAGAGTTACTAAGAATTAGAATAGTAAGAGCATGTAATAAGCTTTTGGTGAAGTTTATAAAGAAAGATGAAGATACATTTTTTGCTTTAAAATATTTTGTTTTCCAGTTTACAGGACCTTTCTACTGGTTTTAAGATAACAATCACTGTTTACATCTAACCCTTTTTTTAAACACCTGCTGTTTAAGATTATAAAATTATAAAATTAAAAACCTAGTTAAAACCAGATTGATCTTTGTAATTTAACAAGATGTTCAGTATTGTTGTTTTAATAAAAAAAAATAGGTAAATACTTAGCTACTAGAAAAATAATCATCTACTTAATCATAAGGTTTTACTTAGGTAAACACCTAAATTTCATGGGTTATAAACATGGTTAATAGGTGAAAAACTTTAATGGACAAGTATTACAGTTTTCATAAATATTCTAGGTAAGCTATTTAAAAAATAAATTAGGTAAATGAAATAAAATAAACCATTTAAATAAACTTGTTCTACAATTTAAAAATCTAAAGTTTAATTAAATAATATATATTATATAAATGTTTATGCATTACTAATTGTTTAAAATATATATACTATAAGGAAAACTTTTTAAAAATACATATTATAAGAAAATATTTTTTGAAAACATTTGTTTTTAGAAAAATAATTTATTTAATTCAAAGGTTAATTATAAAATGTCATAAACATACCCAGTTAATAAGAGAGGTTTAAAGAAAGTTCTAGACATAGAGAAGTACTTTTGGTAAGAAAGGTTAAAATAAAAAAAAATTATATGAGAGGGAATTTTGTAGGATAACTTTTTATATATAAAAGTGACTATTTATGAAAGAATAATGTTTAGAATAAAACAAGATGTTCAAGTATGCCATAAATGGTTCGTGTAAGTCAAAATAAGGTTTATAGAAAGCTAACTTATTAAAAAAACTTCATGTTATCGAGTTGACTATAATTGAAAGGGAAGAATTTATTATAGTCTTTATAGGGATCTGGCTTTCATATGAAAATATACTAACACACTGAAGATTGGTTAGAATGACAAAATTGTCTTAAAGTATTGATTTATTCAATAAAATTATAAGGTATTATAATTTTTTAACCCAAAATTTTAACTTTTGTTGCATCTTGCCATTTTTATTTTTTTCCATTTGAGAAGGCTTGAGAGGATCTCAACTTTTTCATCAGCTCCTTTAACATTGTTTCTTACTTACAGCAGTTAGCCTCTGAGTTAACTTCTAACTGTTGTTAGTTTCTGACTGCTATTATTTCCTGATGTTAAAATCCTCTATCTTAAAGTTCTAAATAAAATGTTTTCTTTCAATATAATATTCAGTGTCGTTGGCTTTTCTTTAACTGTCTAAATTTTTCTATGAAACCAAAATCTTCACTTGTAAAGACACATTCTTCCTAGGTCTGATTAATTCAAATACTTTTTTCATTAGAGTTGACTTGCAGGTTATGTACATGGAGTTCCCCATAGGAAAAAACAGTCACAGTGCAGAAGGCTTTATTTTTGCTATTTGGTAACTGGCATGAGACAAATTTTAAATTTCATTGAAATAATTCCTATGTAAGTGTTATTAAGTTTTTCAACTACTTAGTAATACTGAGAGTTTAAGACAATAGAAATTAATGTTATGACATTCATGTAACTATCTGTATAACTTTTAAAGTCCTTGTGCTGCTACTTTACTGAGCTTTGAATCCTAGGTCTAAAAAGGACACACAACACTTTGGGAGGCTAAGGTGGGCAAATCACCTGAGGTCAGAAGTTAGAGACCAGCCTGGCCACCATGACAAAACCCCATCTTTACTAAAAAATACAAAAATTAGCTGGGCATGGTGGCAGGTGCCTGTAATCCCAGCTACTTGGGAGCCTGAGGCAGAGAGAATTGCTTGAACTCGGGGAGGTGGACGTTGCAGTGAGCAGATATTGCACTACTGCACTCCAGCCTGGGTGACAGAGTGAGACTCCATCTCAGAAAAAATAAATAAATAAAATAAAAAATAAAAAGGACACCAAGTCCAGCTAAATCTTAAACACCGACAGCAATTAAAGCCCCATCTACAGACCTGGAAGAAAATGACAAGAAAAATTGATCACACTCTCAAGACACAAGCCCAGAAATTGAAACTACTTAACCACCCCAGCCCCAGGGACTATTACAGAAGAAGTGGCTTTGTAAGATTGTAAAAGCTAATTTTGAGAGATGAAATCGGTTCAGAGTTTCTTTATAAATTAAACATTAATGCAAGGCTAGCATCTGGGCCCCTGTGCCAGATTGACCAGGGTTTCTTGAAGAATTAATCCACATTTAAATTTAAAAAACAGATAAAACTGTATAAAAGATCTATGCAAATTATTTTTATGGTAAAAGTAATTATAATTTAATAGATTTATTTTTCAGAATTGATAGTTTTAACTTTTCTCATGCTGTTCTTCTAAGGGGTTATATTTTAGAAAATCAATTCTACTCTTTCAAAAATATTTTTTTTCTTTTTTTTAGAAATCACTGAGTTTTCATGTGGCTAAATAAATAACTTATTTTACAATAATCTGTAATCCTATTTTGTAATATCAAGTGTTGTAAACTTTTGATATTTGACAAAGTTCACAAAATAAAATTCTAAATTCAGTCATTTGAACACCCTGAAAAGAAACACATTTAGCTTATTTGGTACAGTTAAATTATACAGGAAGTAATGTCAAATTTGCAATGGTTATTAACTTTGGACTATATTTATATAAATGTGGACTATATAATTTGAATATACTTATGTAAAGAGTATATGTTCCAAAATTCTATTAGATTCAAGTGATTTTTATATGTCTTAGTATCAGTAGTACTTATGATTATAATTTAAAATTTTTGTTTATCACAGAAATAACCAAATTTTCTCCTCAATTCTGTCTTTAACCAGGGGTATTCTAAAAGGTCGGTCATTCACAATTGTTGTTTTACTTTGATTCTTTATCAGGTGGCTTATAATAATCTATAGAACTTTGAGTAGTACTCTTAAATATACAATATACAATTTTGACAATTTTATAAATTGTGCCTTTGGTATAGAGAGAAAAACTTCCATGAGTCTCATGAGACCTGAAGCATTTATGATGATTGTTAATCTAATATCAAGCAGGACAGGATGTAATTGCATGAACTGAATGAAAAGGAGACTGAAATAATTTTTATAACTTATTCTTTAAAGCATTTGCTATTTACTTATGTTTTATTGTTCAGAATCAAGAAAACTTTGTCTTTTAAGCTATTCACAGTTTTTAACAATTTTAACTATACTCTATTGAGAAAAATTGAAAATATAATTTCTTCTTCTCTACATAATTTCTCCAAAATTTGGAAACTGTAGGTATTCTTATATCAAAATAGTTATTTGCATAGGTTCGATAAAAATCTGCTTTCTTCCATAACAGAGCACAATTAGAGACAATGGTCACTTTACCAAGGCTTTAACTTGAATGACATATTTTCTGATTTACTTTATAAAATGAAGAGCTGTACAGCTGATATAAGCCCCTTTGGAAAACTGGCATTTTACCTTTTTTTTTTTTTTTTAACAGGGCCCTGAGCTGTAGTAAGTAAATAATTTTGCTTTCTGACAGGCCCAGGAAACCCAAGTTTTCTTGGATACTTGAAAAAATAAAAAGTAAACCAATCCATATAGCTATCTGATGGCACAGATAAAATATTGGCTGGGCTTGAGGCTTTTAAAGATCTTACCCTTAGATTCCTTATAAAAAATAGCAAAAGCAATGTATGAATAAAACAGCCTATGTACAACAAACAACAACAAAAACAAAAACAATAAAAAGAGAGCTAATATGTTAAGTGATTATTTTTGCTGCATCTTATACAAAAAAATCAGGCCAAGTATAATAAGCCTAAAATTTATTTTACAAATAAATTAGTCCTATTATGATTTTGTCTCCAATAAAATTGGGGAATTATAGGGAGAAATATTCTTTCAAAATAAACTATAGTGCATCTGTTATTAGGTTCTAACCTTGTCCACTTGTTTTTCAATTTACAATATTTTCTACAATTTGGACTCAATTTTAAAATATTTCTTTCCACAAGTCTCCAAAATAACATTTTCAGTGATTTTCTTTTTAAATATTTTTTTCCTATTTGAAATCTCCAGAAGGTAAACTGTGCTTTCTTACAGCTAGTCAACTTAAACTCTAAAATAAAATAAAATCAATGATATGGTTTGTCTCTGTGTTCCCACCAAAATCTCAGTTTGTATAGTAATAATTTCCACATGTCAAGGGTGGAAGGAGGTGAAGATAATTGAATCACGGGACGTGTTTTCTCCATGCTTTTATCCTATTAGTGAGTGAGTTCTCACAAGACCTGATGGTTATATAAAGGGCCTCCCTCTTCACATGACACTTCTCTCTCCTGCAGCCATGTGAAGAGGTACGTGTTTGCTGCCCTTTCCATCATGACTGTAAGTTTCTTGTGGCCTCCCCAGCCATGTAGATCTGTGAGACAATTAAACCTTTTTTTTAAATAAATTATCCAGCATCAGGTATGTCCTTATAGCAGCATGAAAATTGTCTAATACCAGCAACTTAATTATATACAAAAATTCCTTTTATACCCTCCTACTGTGAAGGGAAAATAAATCTTGAGACCCCAAAATTACTAAGCTAAAGAGAAGAGTCAATGTGGTGTTACAGGAGATAGAAAGAAATTATTTAGGTAGATAGTTGGGATGAGAGAGTCTCTGGCAAAATAACTTTTCTTCTAACAAAAATCAGCTCAGAAATAACTTCTTCTCTAATTACACACAGTTCAAAGAAATCACTTCTAACAAAAAGCAGACTAAATAATCAGGCTGTGAAATATAGATAAGCAACTCTGCCACAGAGAGGGTGTTTCTGGGTGTAATCACCAAACCTCACATATATAGGATGGGTCCCAGTAAAAACAGTGAGCCTTAATAAGCACATTCCTTTTCTTTTCTGGGAGTACACTAAGATAGAAAAGCTGGAAGCTTGCACGGGGTTTGCGACGCCGGCACCTGTGAGGAAGTACCTGGGACCAGGCAAGAAAACCCTTCTGGCCTTTCTTAGCACATGCACGGTGGAAGAAGATAAGCAGTGTGGAGGAGATCAAGCAAAGTGCCCGCCTGCCCAATGAAAGCATGAGGTGGGGTTGCCAGAGACTTTGCTCTATGCAGATGGCACACATTGTCCTAACTGTTTTTGCACCCTATGCTGATAAGACACCGTCTCCCCACGAGCACATTTATAAAAATCCTTACATTTTACTGCAGCACGATAACCCATTTGGGACCCCTCTCTGTGACAGACAGCTTTTTTTTTATTTTACCTATTAAACTTGTGCTCTAACCTCACCCTTAGCATGTCTGCGACCTTGATATTCACGGCCGTGAGACAAAGAAGTTCGGGTGGTATTCCAGACAACGAGGCTGCCATACTGGAAAGTGCTTTGGGCAAATCTGCCTCCCCTTCTGTTTAAAGTGATTCCTCTGAGGCTAACCTGAGACCAATACACAGCTGATTGCTTCCTCTTCACTATCATTTATGTAAAAACGAAGATCCACTGAGTCAGACTAAATTGTGCATTCAGTGGTAGGCTAATAAAGTACTCAAAAGAACGCAACCTATTGTCTCTTATCTACTTCTAAACTGCAGTCCGTGCTTTTGATTCGTCCTGCCTTACAGGAAAAATCCAAAGTACATTTTACATATATTGATTGATGTCTCATGTCTCTCTAAAATGTATAAAAGCAAGCTGTACTTCAATCGCCTTGGGCACATGTCTCAGGACTTCCTGAGGATGGTCATGGGTGAGTTATCTTTGGCAAGATAAACGTATTAGTCTGTTCTCCTGCTGCTAATAAAACATAACAAAGACCGGGTAATTGATAAAGGAAAGAGGTTTAATTGACTCACAGTTTCACATGGCTGGGGACACTTCACAATCTTGTCAGAAAAGCAAGCGACATCTTACACGGTGGCAGACTAGAGAGAGCTTGCTCAGGGCAACTCCTCTTTACAGAACCATCAGATCTAATGAGAAGTATTTACTATCATGAGAACAGCATGGGAAAGACCTGCCCCTGTGATTCAATTATCTCTCATTGGGTCCTTCCCATGACACATGGGAACTGCAGGACTAGAATTCAAGGTTAGATTTGGATGGCGACACAGACAAACCACATTAGTAAACTTCCTAAATTGACTGAGACCTGTCTCAGATATTTGTCGTTTACCTTATTCATGTTCAGCCTTCAGAGTTCCAAGGCCTATATCAGTTTTCCAGGATTGTTTCCCCTTTTTGTTGTTTGTTATTTCCTCCTTTATTTATATGTTTTACTTCTCTTTTTTCTCCCACTATTTTCTTATTAATGGATGTGAAACTTCACAACATTTGAAATATAGGTAACAATGAACTATAATAACAACTTGGGACCTATTTATCTAGAAATAATCCGTCCTACCCATGAAAGAAAAAAACAAAAACAAAAACAGAAGCCCAGAAACTTATTTTGTGGTAAAATGCTTCCTCTGAAATATTTTGGAAAGGAAAAAGTTGGGAAGATATGAAATGAAAATAAAAACTTATGATGTCAATTCATTACGTCATGAGGGGGGAAAAAACTAAAGGATGATCCATGCAAGAAACTGATTTTCCTTTCATTCCTAAGAAAATAGCCACAGACAGATAAAATGTTAGATATCTTCACAGATAGCTACAATTTGTTCATCTTTGAAATACTTAGTGCAGGAGAACCACTTGATATTCTATTTCCCTATGTGCTTCTTTTTCATTACTACATGTAAGTTTTCATGCAATTCCTCTTTCCCCTCTAGCCAGCTTTTCCCCTTTATATATTGAAAGCCCTAAAAAATGTCTTTTGGGAATGGCACTAACCACGCATTGTTTCTGTGATTACTTTTCTTCCAAGCATGCCATAACTTTGGAAAAATTAATTTTAATTTGATTGAGAGCTCTCTCAGAAACCTTTGGTTACACTAGGCAAAATCCAAAATCAGGAGCCAATTATTGTAAAAATCAGCCATAGTACACTGTGCGTCTGTGTGTGTGTGTGTGTGTGTGTGTACATGTGTGTTTTAATTTTTGCGAGCTTTGAGCCATGTAGTTCTCTCTGTGGAGATGCTATTTGGCGTGACTTTGAATAGAGAATTCTAAAAGAAATAAGAAGCTCCTATGAGTTCTCTGAAAGTTTCTGGACTCACCATGGATCTTGACTGTGTCACTGCATCTGACAGTCCCAGGGAACAGACTCTCTGGTGGTTTCATAGAATCTATGCTTGGGCTCTCCCTGCAGTTTACTGGGTATAGTAATGACAAATCACTGTTTCAAGAGACAATTTCAAAAGCATTAGATGCTGCTGAGAGAGGATTGTGAACCAGGGAACTGCCCCTTTCTTCTTGGAGAGCGACATTGGGAGAATATGCTCTGTGAGCCCAAACAGCATCCTCCCCTGCAGGGTGAGGGCAGAGCTGCAGGACAGGCCCAGAACCCACTCCACACAGATGTCAGCCCTGGAGCTGCTGCAGAGGAGTCTGAGGAGAAAATTTTTCCAGCACCTGAATTACACTTATTTCAAAACAAAAATGCAATTAAAAAGTTAAAACAAGTAATTAATGTCCAGGCACAGTGGCTTACACCTATAATCCCAGAAATTTGAGAGGCTGAGGTGGGAAGATTTATTGAACCCAGGAGTTTGAGATCAGTCTGTGAAAAATAGTGAGGCTTCATCTTTATTTTTGAAAATAAAAATAAAATAAAACATAAAAAATTTAGCAAAAACTACAATGCGTCTTTACATACCCCATCATACTTGAAGCATTTACCTAACCCAATGAGGTGATGAGGACCCAATTTGAAAGGAGAAAATTTTAGACTTTTCATATATCTTAATAGTTGGAAG